>NC_000008.11:7667127-7971608 GCF_000001405.40 Homo sapiens | reverse complement strand
CACAAATACACCCACAAGCGCGCACGGAAACACACACACACCCACACAAACACGAACACCGTGAATCCTACATAAAGTAATGAGGAGCCCCAGTTTCTGTCTCTACAACAGGGACAATTGGATAGTGATGGCTGCGTCTCAGGATGAGCCCACATATGGGAAACATCATGTTTTGGGGTCGTGAGTCTTCCGAACCTCTGGAGGGACTGTCTGTGTGTTTGTGTTCATGGTAGATGACATTCAGTGTGTATTTCTTAATGTGACCTATTGACCTGTAGGTTTGCGTGTGAGGTTATTGCAGGCGACATGGTTTACTATTTCCTCTTGGGGTTTGTTTCTTTCGTCAGTTGTTGGTCGTCAAGAGAAGGTGAAATTTTGCTCATGTGGTACATCCGTGGATCATTCTTGCCACCTTGAATAGTGGATACTGGAATTCAATTGGAAGATAGGAACGGTGCTCTTCTTTCTTACCCTGGCTCGCCCATTTTATTTTGGTTTCTGAATGGACCTCAGGTGCCCTGGGACTTGTGCTCTTGCTGGAACCCACATAATGCGGGAAACAGACAGACCGACTTACCTGTTTCACGGTGTCCACTTCCATTGCGTGGAAACGGAAAATTTTCCCACTGGCACGGAAGTCATTTGGAACTAATTCTCATTGATACTAAAGGAAATCAAACACTGGAGTGTGTGTATTCATCTAAAATACATTCAGAAAGCCCTGAAATAAACCTCATTTGGTGTGTTTACAAATGGCATTTGAGGAGATTCCGGGTCATTCGTCCAGCTGCGAAAGCTGCATCTCTGAAACACAGTCCCTGTCCTGCAATCAGACTTATTTATCCGACGTGGTGTTTCTGTGGAAATTATTGTGGGAAATGGCCCCTTCCTTTTCTGTATTTGCTGATTAGATTTCATGGTCCCTTTCTTGTTAGGTGCAGTGATCAAAGTTGACCAACCCCTGAGGAAAGCTGTCCAGGTCACAACTCAGGGCTCCGTAGAACCACAGAATCTTGGGCACAACCCTGCTCAAGCACCCAAATGTGCATACGAACAGGGTCTCTGTGTGACGTGTGTGAAAACTACAGTGTGATGAGCATGACTTGCAGACAGGTTATCGATTGGGCTCCCCTCAAAATTAGTTATGAGCATTAAAGCACACCGATGCCCAGGTCCCGGCTGCAGGAATAAGACCCTCCAACGTCTTGTGTGAAGCCACGACATCTGGATTGCTCATGCTTCTGGGGATCATTCTCCTGAAAATTGTGGCTCCTTCCTGCCTGTGGAGCACCTCTCTAAGCAGTGCCCTTTCTTCACCCAGGACACTTTACATCAGGCACAGAAAGCCTTCTGATGGAGCACACCTGGCCCATGAAAAGACAAGGGAGAAGAAACGGGGCCAAAGATCACAGTCCTCTCATTCCACCATCCTCCTTAAAATCATCCGAATTTCATGGGCCCTGAGGCCACGGCTGTTTCTTTACACCTCGAGACCTTGGCGCCGGGCCTCAATTCTGCCCCAGTGCTTACTGTCTAAGACATTTTGGGAAAATCCCTAGAGCCTGGATCTTCAATCCTGGTAAGCCAGAGAGCCTGGAGACACACCCAAATTATGTCCCTCTTAGTTCAGGGAACATGTCCATTTTCGTCAGCATTAAAATTTTGGCACCAAATGTGCTAACTGCAATTCCACCATACAATGCGTAACTGGAAATGGAGGCAACATCTCATATCCTGAACAATTCATGCGAGAATCTAGGAGACACACGGCTTACTTTTGCCTTTTCCCACTGAAACAAGGGCCAGTATTAACAATGTTATGCTATCCTTGGTTTCACTCCCCACTTTTAAATCTCTCGGATGTTTACTTCTTGAGACAGGGCGTCACTGTCGTCACCCACGCTTTTCTACGGTGTAATTTTTGTTGTTCGCTTTTGTCAAATTTAGAAATTTTCATTCATCTCTATCAAATGTTGCTCCATTATCACATACGTATGAAAATATTATCACGCGTGCTGTGAGATACGTTGTTTTTATTTTCATCAATTCTTTTGTAAAACAAAGGTTATAGTTGGGATACCTTCTGATTTCTCAAGTTTTTTGTTTCATATTTTCTTAAACTGCCGTAGCACGTCCAAAACCACTCACTATACAATGTCTTGACCATCTCTCTTTTCTGGCAAATATAAATTTTCGGAATGTCATCAGTTAGTCTCTCGGTGATTCCATTATTTCCCCAAAGTCTTTTACAGTCTAGTTTGTGCACTGAGTATCTCTTCAAACTTCAGTGCATGTTTCTACGACTTAATGCTTTATTATTCAGCAATCTAGCTTCCACAAGAGCATTTAATGTAAAGACTTGTCTTTTTCTCCACTGGCAGGTAATTTCACTCGGATATAGAATCATTAGGCTGATTATGGAAAGGTTATCGCTGGGAGGTGTGATTGATTCCACGGATCTCTCCTTTTTTATTGAGGAAAAATATATGCTGTGCTAATTACTATACTTCATTGCCTATTCTCAGGTCAGAAAGCGCACTTCAGACTTCTCCTTCTATCGCTGAAAGGATGATGGTATCTGCCAAAAGCACATACTCGGAAGTACATCCCAGCACAAACACACACACACACACACTCACACAGAGAGAGACACACACACGGTTTCATAGATAAAGATTTCTTCCCTGACATTCTTTTACCTAAAATAAGGCAACTGTGTGGCCACTGTCCCAACCCGGTTACAATCATATTATATGTGCCTATCATCCTGAGGAGTAATTTGATGCAGGTGTTTTAGAAGTCATGATGTGGGCTGTGTCTGTTGAATTCCCAGCGATGCAAGGGGACACACCCTGTGACTCATTCCTTAATTGAGTGCTGATATTTGATTGGTTTATCGCGCACCTTATGTACGGGTGGCGTGTTCGCTCTTGGTGCGGATGAGCTATGTAAGGGCTGATTTGGCCAGAGAACTCGTTATTTGAAGACTCTCTCGGAAGAGATAGCGTCTTTCTGCAACCTGCGGTCCCAGCAGAAAAACCTTGTGATCCTTGTTCCAGGCGACATGGAGGACGACTCACTCTACTTGGGAGGTGAGTGGCAGTTCAACCACTTTTCAAAACTCACATCTTCTCGGCCAGATGCAGCTTTTGCTGAAATCCAGCGGACTTCTCTCCCTGAGAAGTCACCACTCTCATCGGAGACCCGTGTCGACCTCTGTGACGATTTGGCTCCTGTGACAAGACAGCTTGCTCCCAGGGAGAAGCTTCCTCCGAGTAGCAGGAGACCTGCTGCGGTGGGAGCTGGTCTCCAGAATATGGGAAATACCTGCTACTTGAAGGCTTCCCTGCAGTGCCTGACATACACACTGCCCCTTGCCAACTACATGCTGTCCTGGGAGCTCTCTCAAATGTGTCTTCGTCCCAAGTGCTGCATGCTCTGTATTATGGAAGCTCACAGCACACGGGCACCTCCACCGTCCTGGCCATGTCATCCAGCCCTCACAGGCATTGGCTGCTGACTTCCATAGAGGCAAGCAGGAAGATGCCCATGAATTTCTCATATTCACTGTGGATGCCATTAGAAAGGCATGCCTTCCCGGGCACAAGCAGCTAGATCATCACTGCAAGGACACCACCCTCATCCACCAAATATTTGGAGGGTACTAGAGATCTCAAATCAAGTGTCTCTACTTCCACGGCATTTCAGACACCTTCGACCCTTACCTGGATATCGCCCTGGATATCCAGGCAGCTCAGAGTGTCAAGCAAGCTTAGGAACAGTTGGTGAAGCCCGAAGAACTCAATGGAGAGAATGCCTATCATTGTGGTCTTTGTCTCCAGAAGGCGCCTGCCGCCAAGACGTTAACTTTACACACTTCTGCCAAGGTCCTCATCCTTGTCTTGAAGAGATTCTCCGATGTCACAGGCAACAGACTTGCCAAGAATGTGCAATATCCTGAGTGCGTTGACATGCAGCCATACATGTCTCAGCAGAACACAGGACCTCTTTTCTATGTCCTCTATGCTGTTCTCATCGTCACCGGGTGGAGTTGTCACAACGGACATTACTTCTCTTGTGTCAAAGCTCAAGAAGGCCAGTGGTATAAAATGGATGATGCCGAGGTCACTGCCTCTGGTATCACTTCTCCTTTGAGTCAACAGGCCTATGTCCTCTTTTACATCCAGAAGAATGAATTTGGAAGACCCAGTTACAGGGTGTCCGCAGGCAGGGAACCAAGAGCTCTTTGTGCTGAAGACAATTGAATTGTGTGTGAAATAATATGTCATGAATAAATCTTGCAGCAGAGTATTTATTTGTCTCACTTTGTAATCAGTGAATGAGCTTTAACGAATATCAATGCCTAGTGCCTACCCCCCAGAGATAAGAACTTTCAGTCTCTCATGTGTAATCATGGCATCTGGATTGCTCATGATTCTGAAGATAATTCTCCTGTCCCCCAAAGTTTCAGAATCACTTCAGGTGGTAGAAACAGATAACACATCAGTCCCTTTCTCTCTCTTTTCTCTTCACTCAGGAAAACTCTCACTGGACCAAGGAAAATCCTATGGTTTACTAGGGAGGAGTAGTTTTCTCAGCAGTGAAAATGGTGGCTCCTTCCTCCCTGTCAAGTCTCTTCCTCAGGATTGCCCCTTTATCTCTCCAGGACTCTGCTCATCAGGCCCGAGATGCCCCCTGGTTGCGCATACTTGGCCTGTGAAGAAATATGGGGAAGGAATGGTTCCAAAGACCATACTATGCTCACTCCACCATCGCCTCTGACACTATGCTGACTTCATGAGCCCTGGGTCAGAAGCTGTTTTCTTTACACCTCTAGGCCTTGCCTCATGGCCTAAAGATGTCCCCATTTCTTACATCTTATAAATTTTGACAAAACCCTCAGGGCCTAAATCTTCATTCCTCATAGGCCAAAGGGAGATACACCAGAATTCTGTCCCTCTGAGACTGCAGGACATATCAGCTTCCATCGACATGAAATTTTGCACCAAATGTAGTTACTGCAGTTCCACTTCACAATGAGTGACTGGAAGTTCAGACAACATCTCAGACTCTATACAGTTTCTATCCAAGCTCATTTGGTTTGACAATGCTTTTACTCTATAAATCAGCTGTGAGAACACTTAGGATTCATATTATTTAGTCTTTTAATCAGTCTGTTATTATTTTCAATGTATTTACTAGACTTTAGTTTAATATTTCTGATAAACTTTGATGCAAAAATTCTCGATATAATAGTGGCAAACAAAATCCAGCAACATATCAAAAAGCTTATCCACCAAGATCAAGTCAGCTTCATCCCTTTGGTGCAAGGCTGGTTCAACATACACAAATCAATAAATGTAATTCACCATGTAAACAGAACTAAAGACAAAAACCCCATGATTATTTCAGTAGACTCAGAATAGATCTTTGATAAAATTCAACATTCCTTTAAATTAAAAACCTCATGAAACTAGGTATTGATGGAACATATCTCAAAATAATAGGAGCCATTTATGACAAACCCAGAGCCAATATCATATTGAATAGGCAAAACCTGGAAGCATTCCGTTTGAAATTCGGCACAAGGCAAGGATGCCCTCTCTCACCACTCCTACTCCATATAGTACTGGAAGTTCTGGCCAAGGAAATCAGGCAAGAGAAAAAAATAAAGCATATTCAAATAGTAAAAGAAGAAGTTGAATTGTCTTTGTTTGCAGATGACATGATCCTATATCTATAAAATCCCATCATCTCAGCCCAAAAGATTCTTAAGCTTACAAGCAACTTCAGTGAAGTCTCAAGATACAAAATCAGTGTGCAAAAATCACAAGCATTCTTATACACCAATAGACAAGAAGAGAGCCAAATCACAAATGAGCTCCCATTTACAATTGCTGCAAAGAGTATAAAATACCTAGGAATACGGCAAACAAGGCAAGTGAAGGACCTCTTCAAGAAGAACTGCAAACCACTACTCAAAGAAATAAGAGAGGACACAAACAAATGGAAAAACATTCCATGCTCATGGGTAAGAAGAATCAATATCATGAAAATGCCATACTTCCCAAATTAATTCATAGATTCAATGCTATTCCCATAAACTACCATGGACATTCATTACAAAATTAGAAAAAACTACCTCAAAATTCATATGGAATGAAAAAAGAGCCCATATACCCAGGACAATCCTAAGCTAAAATAACAAAGTTAGAGGCATCATGCTACCTAACTTCAAACTATATTACAAGGCTACAGTAACCCAACAGCATGGTAGTGGTACAAAACAGACACATAGACCAATGGAATGGAATAGATATATCAGAAATAAGATTGCACATCTACAACCATTTTATTTTTGATGAAAACAAGCAATGGGGAAAGGATTCCCTATTTAATAATAAATGGTGTTTGAAAAACTGGCTAGACATATGCAGAAAACTGAAACTGTACCCCTTCCTTATACCTTATACAAAAATGAACTGAAAATGGATGAAAGACTTAAATGTAAAACCCAAAACTGTAAAAAACCCAACCCCATATAAAAGTGGGGAAAACCAGGGTACAGTGGCTCATGCCTGTAATCCCAGCAGTTTGGGAGGGTGAAGTGGGCAGATAACTTGAGGCCAGGAGTTCAAGATCAGCCTGGCCAAGCTGGTGAAACCACGTCTCTACTGAAAATACAATAAATTAGCCGGATGTAGTGGTGCGGGCCTGTAATCCCAACTACTCAGGAGCCTGAGAGAGAAGAATCACCTGAGTCTGGGAGGCAGAGGTTGCAGTGACCCGAAATTGTGTCACTGAACTCCACCCTGAGTGACAGAGCAAGACTCTGTCTTAAAAAATAAAAATTTAAAAATTTCAAAAGTGAGCAAAGGACATGAACAGACACTTCTCAAAAGAAGACATTTATGCAGCCAACAAACATGAAAAAAATGCCCAACATTACTGATCATTAGAGAAATACAAATCAAAACCACAGTGAGATACCGTCTCATGCCAGTCAGAATGGTGATTATTAAAAAGTCAAAAGACAACAGATGCTGGTGAGACTGTGGGGAAATAGGAACACTTTTACACTGTTGGTGCGAATGTAAGTTAGTTCAACCACTGTGGAAGACTGTGGTGATTTTTCAAAGACCTAGAATCAGAAATACCATTTGACCCAGCAATCCCATTACAGAGTATATGCCCAAAGGAATATAAATTCTTGTATTATAAAGATACATGCATGCGTATGTTCATTATAGCACTATTCACAATAGCAAAGACATAGAACCAACCCAAATGCCCATCAATGATAGACTGGATAAAGAAACTGTGATACATATACACCATGGAATACTATGCAGCCATAAAAAGGAATGAGATCATGTCCTTTGCAGGGACATGGATGAAGCTGGAAGTCATTATTCTCAGCAAACTAATGCAGGAACAGAAAACCAAATACACATGTTCTCACTTATAAGTGGGAGATGAACAATGAGAGAACACAGACACAGGGAGGGGAACAACACACACTGGAACCTGTCTGGGAGTGAGTGGGGAGGGAGTGCATCAGGATAAATAGCTAATGCATGTGGGCTTAATACCTAGGTGATGGGTTGATAGGTACAGCAAACCACCATGGCACACATTTACCTATGTAACAAACCTGCACATCCTGCACATGTAGCCCAGAACTTAAAATGAAATAAAATAAAGTTTTAAAAAACTTTATTCTAACCTTCCAAAATGCAGGGATTACAGGCGTGAGCCACCGTGCCTGGCCCTGTTTTAACATACCTGAACAAGATTTAAGACATCAGTTTGAAAAGAGCCCCTCTATGGCAGCAACATGAATTCTGTCAAACCTGAAGCAAGAACAAACATCAAATTTACGGTGAAGCTGGGGTACAAAAAATGGTGAAATAAATTATTCTTTATGAAAAGTCTATGGGAAAAATGACCTGAAGAATCAGTCATTTACAAATGGATACCTTATTCTAAGAAGAGATAATACAATGTTGAAGATGAAGTCAACAGAGGAGGGACATCCATACCAATTTTTGAGGAAAAAAAAAATCGTTTCTATGCCCTAATTGAGGAGGATTGACAATTAACAAGAGATATTACAGCCAACACCACAGACATCTCAATTGGTTCAGGTTACACAATACTGACTATAACGTGAAAGTTGAGAAACTTTACATTTGATGAGTCCCAAATACCCTTGTGCCTAGATGAGCAGTGGACAAAAGCAGAGCTATTAGTGACTATTTTGAGCAAGCGGAATCAAGATCCTGAAGCATTGTTTTGAAGAATTATAACAGGGAGTGAAACTGGCTTTATCAATAAGATCCTGAAGACAAAGCACAATTCAAGCAATGGCTACCAAGAGGTAGAAGTGGTCCAGTCAAAGCAAAAGCAAACTTCTCAAAAGCTAAAGCCATGGAGGTTTTGGGGATGCTCAAGGCATTTTGCTTGTTGACTTTCTGTAAGATCAAAGCACGATAACATCTGCTTACTAGGAGAGTTCTTAGAGAAAATTAGCAAATACTTTTGCAGAAAAGCGCCCTGTAAAGCTTCACTAGAGAGTCCCTCTGCACCACAACAACACTTCTGTTCCTTCCTCTCATCAAACATGGGTAATTTTGCAAGAGTTTTCATGGGAAATTATTAGGCATCAACATTACAGTCCTGATTTGTTTTCTTCTGACCTTTTTTTCCCTAATCTTAAAATAACTGTAAAGGGCACTCATTTTTCTTTAGTTAGTAAAAGAAGACTGCATTGACACGGTTAAATTCCCGTTACCCTCAGTTGTTTAGCAATGGACTGAATGGCTGGGATCATCCCTTAATGGAGTGTCTGGACCTCAATAGAGCTTATATTGAGAAATAAAGTTTATATTTATATTTTTATTGTTAATTCCATTTTTCACTGACATTTTTAAATCCCTTCACAATTCACCTTTGTCTCAAAGGTATTTAAATTTAGAAATCATATCAAGTGTGAAATAAAGAAAATTAAATAGAGAGAGGGAGAACAGAATCTATAAATATGCATGTTTGTGTACATACATCCATATACATACATATGTGTGTGCATGCAGTAATTTTATTCTCCTAAAGCAATGCCTCTGCCTTCCACCCTCACTGCACATGTCCTAGTCCTGTGATGTCCCTGGAACTGAGCACCTGATTTCCTTCTCTCCCTCCCACATGAACAGGGAATAGAAATGGAAACCACGCTCTGTGGTTGCTGTTGTGAAAATCCATGTTCCCCACAGGCTGAGTTTGGCATCTTACATTCTAGTTCCCATTGTAAAAAAGCAAGCAACAAACAAAAAATACAAAAGAAAAAATAAAATAGTTGAAAGTCTAGAGCCACAGAGTTTCCGGATCCACCCACCGCCCACGGTGACCTCCACAGCCCTCCAGGCCTGAGGACAGCTATGCCTGAACAGCCTGCCTCTTCACCATCCACGCAGGAAAGTGACTTTAAACTTCAATAGCTATTACTCTGTTCCACAAGGAACCAGGTCAACATTCAAATTCAGTGGTCTGACAACTCTAAGCTTTGGCCGGAAAGTATTGGAAACATTTAATGTGCAGTGGATGAAGCAGCCCGGCCCCACTGCACACAACACACTCACGGGGACTCAAAGGAAGAGACTCAGGATCTGCTGGGTGGAACTGAGGACAGACCCAGAAACACAGGGGGTGGGGAGGGGGTCAAACCAGGAGGGCTCAGGACCTGACCTCCTCCTAGGCCCTGCCCCTCTGGAACTCGCAGTTTTTTCTGACCCAGAAGCGGATTTCACTGATGGAAAAGAAGTTCAGTATTTCTGGTCCAGCCCAGTAAGCTGCTCCCATTGCCCAGCCTTCCACACCCCTGCAGACGTCACAATGCCTGCACCCACTAACCTGACAAGGGAGCTATGCATCACCTGGAGACAGTCTTAGGCCTGCACTCCTGTGATGGGGTCCAGGGTCTGTGTCCATTTCTGGTTAAAATTGCTGTGAGGCTGGTCGCTGTCTTGGCCTTCCCTGCTTCCTCTCTGTTCACTTCTCCCCTCCTCACTCCATGTGAAGTTTTTACTCAGGAGATGGATTCTCACCCCTCTTGGAACATCAAGGACAGTGCCCGGACACCGCACCATCCCCTTGACCCTGGGATTCTGTAGACCTCAGTCTTCTCCTGAGGTCCCCTCCCTCCCTACCTCATTTTTTCCATACTTCTGGGACCTGGGCCTGCTACACCTCAGGCTTCCTCTTCACAGTCACAGAGTGAGGGAGTCCCCTTCATCCTTGAGCTCTGGCCACAGCTCACCTGCTGCAAGACACTCAGCAGCTTTCAGTAGTTCATGCAGACATCTAGCTGGAAGTGGGATTTCCTGGAAGGAAAGCAGGAACCCAGAATTACACTGAATTCTAACACCAGGGCCCAGATTCCCCTTCTGCATGGGACACTAAGCTGCAAACACTACATAGGCACTTAATGCTCAGCTGTCCTTCTAACATCTGGTCCAATTGTGTCCCTCCTCCTTGGAATATCTCAGAAAATGTATCTACACCTAGAGTTGTTTGAAAGCATCATCCTATGTGATTGCAGACCATCAGGGGGTGCAATGGGTCCTCACCAATATTTCTACTCTTCTTGGAAGACTTAGAATATCCTGCGGCTGCTCAGAGGGTCAGATTCCCATCTCTGTGTTTCAGTAAAACTTCAGTCTTCCCCGGACAAGTGAGGAGACAGAAAATGTCTAGTCTCTGGCACATCTTTTGCAAGCAATGGCGGCTCCCAGGAATCAAAACTATCAACGAATATATTTTTGAGACTCTGGTCAAAAGAAGAGTCATCCTGCAATTTCAGGTAGGATGGAGTGGTTCTGTGGCTCCTGAGGTGATTTTGAAAAGATCTTGACTCTCAGAAGGACCAAGGAGGACATTTCTGGCATTTCCAGACCAGGAAGACTGACTGACGGACCTCCAGTATTACTTGGAAAACTTTTTGTTGGACAGCTTTGTAACAAGAGGATCTTGCTTTGGCTTTCAGGCCTTCACATAGGTTGTTTAGATAATGGAAGTGTTTCTACATTTCTGCATAGGCTTAGGATGCCTTCTCAAGTCGTCCCTGCAATTATGAGACAGTTGCTTTCTCCAGAGGTCACTTAGAATAATACAAGAGGCTTCACCCTCAAAGGGACACCAGACAATATAGCCACAGTTCAGCCAAGATTATCTGTATTTACATACCTGTGAAGTAACACTCCTAGTTATCTCCATTAACTTGGACATCTTTCATGAATAGGGAAACTCTAGTGATTGTTATATAACAGCTGCCACAAAAATTAACCAATAAAAAGAAATGATATACGAAAAATAATTAATAATCATGATAATGAACTCAATGACCTAAATAGTACGAATTTTAATACTGGAGACATTATAAACGTAAGGATACAAAAATTAATGTGGAGCTTCCCCTAAATATATGAAAACTTCACAGACTGTCCTCCTTGTGTAATTTGGAGTCAGAGTCAAAGAATTTCTCTATGAAATGTGTTCCATGATGGCAAACATCAAAAACAGGAGGTGAAAGAAAAGCAAGCCGCAGGAGACCATGGGCTAATATGAACATTTGTGTGCAAACCTCTCTCATCAAGAACTACCAGCCAGAGGTGAAGGGACTGTGATTTGTGTCCTGCCCACCACTGGGCACACAAAAGCTTTCAGTAGTGCAACCAGATGGTTGGTTTGGCCTGGCTCCCTGCAAGGAAGACACGTCTCTGATCCCCACCAGCCCATCAGTCCTGGAACTCAGAATCCTACATGCAGTAAACATGAAGCTCCAACTCCATAGCTGACTTTACCTCCTTACTGTCCTTCTGCCATCTGGTGTTTCAGGTGCTCTCCAGATCTGGACTTCTTGGCTACCCTACCTTTACCAAGTGAACTCAGGATGTATCATTCTCAGTCTTCTCCTGCCAGTCCAAAGTGAAACTCACCAATACAGACATACCCTGAATGGGCTTCCTTGGAATATTTAGAAAACAATGAACTTGCTCAGGGGTGGTGTGAGCTCTAGGAGTAGAGTTACAGTCTCCCATGGAAACCCGAGAGGACTTAGAATATTCCCAAAGGCCTAAGCAGTCCAATCTGTCCTGGAAACATCAGGAATGATATACTCGGTCTTCCTGAGGCTCCAAAATTTTTCTAAATAAACTCAGAGGTTACAGAACCATTTTTCTCTTGAGAACTGAAGTGGAGTTATTTGTCTTCTGCCAGCACTTCAATTTTTTTTTCTCTAAGTTAGATTTTGAGCCCAGAAGTAGATATTCCTTGTATTTGATTTACACAGGGAGCTTCCTAGAATGCCCGTGCCTCTGGATAGTTTCTGCATTCACTCAGGTATTGACAAAATGCTGCAGTTCTACTGAAAATCTCTGAGATGACCATTTGATCACCTGAGTAACTTTAGAATGTGTCTTCTATGGAAGCCCTGGAGCCTCCCTTCTGGTATTTCATACATTGCTGGTACCAAGTACCCAGGGTGAAACCCTCCATCAGACATTGTTGGCAATTCCAGTATGGAGATGACACTAACATGATGGGGCTCAAGAATCAGATGGTACAAGACCAGCTGGGAGGTGAAGTTTCAGTAGGCTAGGGGCTTAATGTTCCATGCACACCAGACTTCTGAGACTCAGTAGGTGGGTATGGATCTGTCTGCCCAGTGCCTCTCATCTACAGCCTGGACCAGCTATTTCTTGGGTTGCACTACTGAAGGCTTTTGTACGAGCTGTGTCAGGCAAGACTCTGGCCAGACCCTTTGCCATAGTCCATTTGTAATGTATTTCCACATGGCACAGGTATCTCCACTTTTGCCCATGCTCTCATGTGGCTCAGAATAATTCTCCGTACTGCCACTCTTCTTTGCCTTCACAGAATATATTTCAAGATGTAGCCCTAAGCTTCCCCATCTAATCAATAACATGAGGGCTCATATGGGAACATTGTCACAGGCTTACAGGAATATGTTCTTAAATATCTGCTTTTTATTACTCTCTTCATTAAATTGACATATCATCACCATTATGATTGTTATTAATGTTATTATATTGGTACAGTTCTTTATCATGGATATATTTGTGGTCATTTTTATGTAATGTTGAAAAATTTTTTTATGTTCCTGAAGACTGTTGAATTTGCTGAAGATGATTAAAAGACAACCTTAAAACATAAATACCACAGCAACCCCAGGACTCCTACTGTACTGCCTGGTGTCCTGTAGAAGAATGGGCTTCCTGAATTATTCTTTTATTTTTCAGGCAAGTACCTATTCATACCAGCATAAGAGACTGATGAAGTGCACCCTCATCTTGCCATGGGCTCAGAAAGAGTTCATACATCGGCTTTATCTGATAGCAACTCTGTGTGTAGGCCTGTGAGTCCTAGAATGCACTTTCTTTCACCAACTAGTCCACGTAACAGTTTTCTAAGTCAAATCCCCTCTCCATGCTTGGATAGGTCATGAATGGCTTTCTGTTACCCACCTAAGATGAAGGGATATTGCCAAATCAGGTTTGTGGCCAAGAAACTTTTACCTGGAGTGGCAGGAGAGGGCCTACCTGTTCACCAGAGTGTCTGTGAATTTTCTTTTTTCTTCCTTTTTATTTTATTTATTTATTTATTTATTTATTTATTTATTTATTTATTGAGATAAAATGTCTCTCCGTCGCTCAGGTTGGAGTCCAGTGTCGCCATCTTGGCTCGCTGCAACCTCCAACTCCCAGGTTCAAGCGATTCTCCTGCCTCAGCCTCCCGAGTAGCTGGGATTATAGGTGCGTGTCACCACGCCCGGCTAATTTTTGTAGTTTTAGTAGAGAGGGGTTTCACCATGTTAGTCAGACTGGTCTCAAACTCCTGACCTCATGATCCGCCTGCCTTGGCCTCCCGAAGTGCTGGGATTACAGGCATAAGCCACCGCACCTGGCCTCTGCAACATTTTCTAAGTCAGTATAGAAGCTCTTTGAACCATCTTTTCAGTCAAAGAACTCATGAAAAAGTCCTCCAAGAACTTGTGACCTTCTGGAAATTGTCAAAATCTCTACAGGTGTCCAGAGTCATCTAGATCTGTATTGCAAGCTACTGACTGGGTTCCACCACTATTAAAGCAAATGCAAAATATGCCATGCCCACCAAAAAAAATCCAGAAGCCGTGGTATTTAGCTGTTTCCATCTTTCTTGCCTCCTGCAGGTGGGAGAGTACTGAGTATCATGCCCTCCTGCAGCCTCTGGAGGACATGCCAGTGCCTAGAGGTACCAGTAGAGAGGGGCCATGAAAGAGCAGATGACAGCCAGGTGGCTGGGAATGACATTGTCCTGGGGCTTATTGCTTGTCATGAACTCTGCCACTGGGCAACATGTGCAGGTGTGGACCCGTGCCTTCTCTGGATCCCTGCCCCATCAGCCAGCTGTCTTATCTCCTGAAAGCTGATAGGTGTTGGTCAGCATGGTGTTCCAGGACCAGGGTTATATTAACATTCCCTCTTAGGCTGAAACACCAGAAGTTAACACAGGAGTCCCCAGGTGTGCACATACTAACCTCCAGATTGTTTTTCTTCTCGTTCTAGATGTTCATCCTTGCTTTTTGGGACTTGAAGTAACCCTACACAGCCAAATATTTATGCCTATTATCCACTTATGGAAAACTTATATGTCCCAAGTCCATAGGGTTAGTATTATTATCAGTATTAAAACCATTAGTACTAGTATCATGATGATCATTATTCCTGTTAATATCCATCAATATTTTTATTACTGCCATTGTTAATATGGATTTTTCATCATTGTACAGCAATGAATATAGTTTATCCATTCACAAATGGTGTTCAGTTACTAAAGATGACTGCAAGGCATGTGCTACAGACATATACACACACAGCTATCCTGGAGACCCAGCTTTGCCACCAATTGCTCTTTCGTAAGTTGAGATCCCCCAGTACCCACCAGTTTTTCAGGACTCAACCTGAGCTGGCTCAGCTAGACCCGGAAAAGTTTCCTATGCCCAAATGTACTTGGAAAAATTTTAAAGTCTCTTCAGGGCCCAGTAATAGCTTTTGGCAGCTTCTAAGATCAGGGAGGGTTTCTTGGCCATTCAGAGCCATTCAAATATTCTAAGTAAACTCAAGGATCCAGAAACCCCACTTGCAGTCATGAAATACCAGTGAATAGCCTCTGTGAGTCTCTTCAAGGTTTTCAAAGATGACTGCCTGGGAAGGCTGGCCAGGAAGTCACCCAAGCCCAACCTTCGGCAGGATGTTCTATATCAGCCAGGGACCCAGGGAATTGCCATTGAACAGAAGGGAGGAACAGAGACAGCACGCCTGAGCTTCTGGAAACATTCTAAGTGCCCTTGTTGGCCCAGAAAAGACTGGTGCTACCATATGAGGCACAGACTTGGCAACCTACCTACTCCAGGAACCACAGAAGGTTTAAAGGTTCCCAGGAAGTCCCAGGAAGGGCAGCCATGGCCCTTTAGAGCCATCAGATTTTATTCTAAGTCTACGTGGGAGACAGTGCTCTTAGCTTCATAAAAACACCAGTGGAGGTGCTAACACTTGCCCCAGTATCCAGTCTTTTCTACCTCATCTCAGAGCCAGGAAGCCACTATTTCCCAAAGCTGCTGTGCAATGAAAGGGGAATATTCTAGGTGCTCTCCTGTGCCCACGAAATTCTGTGGCTGCGCTGAAAGGCAGGAGATGTCCTCCGGAATGCTCTTCAGAAATCTGACAACACTGGTCAAGATTAAAGAAGCTCAATTCAACGTCATACAAAACCAATCCCAAATATATATATGTGCATAGTGAGGCAAAATGATGAACACACCTGCTAATAATCATAAATGACAATAATAACAACAATGATGATCTTAGTGATAATGCCACCAACACTGTTAATGGCAATAACAATAAACCTGAGGTAATGAGTGTTAGGGTCCCGATTCACCAATGTGAAGGATGGCGACAATTTCTGGCCTCACAGAAATAAAGGAAAAGTAAACACCTGGAGGAGGAGGAGGTGAACCTGGAGCTCCCGCCGGCCTCTGGGCGCTCCTTGGTGGAAGGAGAGGGACTTGGTCCTGAGCCTGCCCCGGATCCACCTACACCAGAATCCCAGAGTCCCAGTCCCTGGATGGGCTCAGTCCCGCCCAGGCCAGACGCCCCGGAGCCCCGCAGCCCGGGTCCTCCAGCCCTCGCTGCCGCCGCTTCTCGCGGAGCCGGGGCCGCCCCCGCGCCACCTCAGCCTCTGCGGGGCTCTGGGAGGGCAGCGCCGGAGGATGCTCCGGGCCCAGCGGGGGCATCCGGGCCCAGCGGGGGTATCCAGCCTCAGGCTGATACTGACGCCCTGAGGGCGCGGAATAGGGCGGCCTGCGCAGGGCCCGCCGTCTCGGGCCTTGCAAAAAGAGCGGCCTCTCCAACGCCCCTACCGGAACCTCCCCGGAGGCCCCAGCCCCAAAGCCAGGGCGATGGCGCCTCCCTGACAATGGGTGAAGAAAACTCAGGTCCTCCCTGGAGACCCGGCCCGCCGCGGGAGGCAGACCGCGCATGCGCCCTGCATGGCCGGAAAGGTGGGTTTCATTGCCCTCTGCCGGCCATGAGGTGGCAGCACAGGACGTTTGGTCTTAGCGGTGGACCTGAGTCTGAATCACTGAAATTCAGGTGTGGATTATTCAGTACTTTCTTTTGGAAGATCAAATGGAAATTGAGTACGATATCTTGTGCTTTAATTAAAGAAGATGGAAATAAAGAAGCAAATTCAAAAATCAGTATACAAAAGTCGATTGATTCCCTCTATGTGGAGGGAAGACGAGCTTGAATAAGAGAAGCATTCTGTGTTACGCTTTAATAATGGCTGGAGATCTGCCACCATGCATTTGTCAAATCCCATAGAATTTCACAGCACAAATAGTACATCTTAATGTGGCTCAGGAGTACATATAATGTCAGCCACAGTTTGTGGGTAAATTACATATTTAATTAAATAGATTAAACAATAAATAATGATATGAGCTCTGCCTGGACACAGTCCTTGCCTCTCCAACCAGTTTGCCAAGGGCTTGAATTTCTTGCTCATTATCCTCACACTTGACATAAACCCTGGCTGCAGAGTAAAATCAATCACTCGTGGAGATTTTTTAATATGATGATGTGTCAATTTCAACCATGGATAAGGCCATTTAGCCTTAGTAAGGCCGATCGTATTAAGATTCTGCCTGTTTGACAAAATTTCAAGTCATCCCACTTGATATTTAGGAAACATTTTCTCTTGAGTTTTAGGTTCAGTGGTGAGGCTCCTTCACGGACAATACATTTTCCAATTCTGAGGACAAGGCAGAGGAGGGCCCCTCTGTGAGAACTTTCATTTTGCTTCGGGAAAAGTACATTGAATCAAATATAGAAAAGGCTTGCAAGGTGGCTGACAGGTTCGGCTGTTTTATCATGCTGGTGTTTTATCTTCTGGACTGCAGTAAAAGGAGCACAGCTGTGTCTGTCTCTGTGTAATAACTCAGGACTCACCTGAATAAAATGTGGGGTGTCATGAGATGAACTGCTACTTCCAGTTAGAGAGGCTCCAGGGACAAAATTTCAAGAGCCTTCTGAGGGATAGAAGAGAAGAGCTGCCTTATTCTCTGATCCCAGGTAACTGCTCAGAGACAGAGGCAAGAGCTGGGGACACCCAAATGCATATACTAGGGGTCTTTGATACAGCCTCCATTTCCCTGCTAAATCTATGCAATGACAAACTGAGAAATCTAGCAAGTGGGGCTGAAGATCCCTGGTGTGTCAACTCGAGGGTTGGATGGAAACAAGTGGTTTTGGTGGACGTTGAAGTAAAGGGAGGTGAGCTGTGAGGAAAGAGCTGTTGAAGACTGGGGAGACTCAGAAGTTGGGGTAGAATCTCCACCAAGAATCTCACCCAAGGAGTTCAGATGCGAATCAGTTTGTTAGGGCTGCATAAATGAAACAAGGGCTTCACCAACATACTAAGTTTTTTCAACAACAGATTGTATTCTTTCAATATTTGTAAGTATTGCTCTTTTGGAAAAGTTTAATGAGATTTCTTATATAATTCTGCATTCAATTTATTCCTTGGTCACTTTGCTATTATGCATTTACATGCCACATTTTTATGAATAGATATTTTCTCAAATTTCTGAATTATTTTGCTAAAGTATGTGTTAAGAGTTTTTTCTAGAGGTCCACCTTCTTGACTCACTTTTCTGATGAGAAATCTATCAGGTTTCTCCACAGTGATTTTCAAGTTTGATAGCTCCTCAATGTGAGAAACTGAATGTCAACTAAGAAATGAATTACCACTAAAGAATTTTCTTCTTTCAAGATGCTAACCCTGTTTTGTCCAGTGTGAAATCTCACATGTGCCACATGTGTTGCTCTATGAAGAAAGGATTTCTCATGATTTTTCATTGCATAACTTCTCCAGTAAGAAGTATTTGGTATTCCAAGAGAATTCATTGCCCTTGGAAAGACTTTCCCTTGTTATTTAGCTTATGAAGGCTTTCCTCTCTTATTTTCCATTTTAGCAGCATTTTGTCACTCTTCTCTTGTGAACATCAAGCCTGGTGCTTGGCTGAATGTTCATTCACAGAAAAATACAAATAAAGGGTTCATCCAAGTAAAGTTTTCTCATGTTATTTGACAATAAATTGCAAATAAAAACATTTTCACACTGAATGCAGAGTTAGAGATTCTCTACCTGAAAGTCCCACATGTTTTAAGTTAAAGCTGTTGCTGAAGACTTTTAGTTGATTATGCTGACAGTTTCAGCTCTCTCATGTCATTTATGCTCAGATCACTAACAAGTCTTTGGTACATACATGTCATACAATTTCTCTTCCATATGAATTTATTGATGTGGGCTGAAGAATAAAGGCAACTGAAGTATCTTCCATGTTGATTACAGTAATTCTTCAAAATGTGAGTCCTTTGGCATGTTTAGATGCTACAACTACAGCTGAAGTCTCTTCCACATTCCTTACCTTCGTCATTCCTAACACTGTGTCATCTAAAGTCAGAATATGTTCTGAAGAAGTTTATAATTTTCTCTCCAGGGTGAATTTTCTGATGCTTTTTAAGATTAGTACATTGACTGAAGGCTTTCCCACATAAATGGCATTCATATGGCTTTTCTCCAGTGCGTGTTCTCTCATGTCATCTAAGGTCGGAGGACAGACTGAAGGCCTTCCCACATAGAAGACAAGCAGGTGGTTTCTCTCCAATGTGAATTATTTTGTTTCCTCTAAAGCCAGAGCTTTGACTAAAGGCTTTCCCACTTTTATCACATTCATAACACTTTTGTCCAAGGTGAGTTCTCTCATGTCTTCGAAGGTTAAAGGATTGAATAAAGGCTTTCCCACATTGATGACACTTATATGGTCTCTCTCCCGTGTGAGTTTTCTCATGTCTTCTAAGGTGAGAACACTGAGTGAAGGCTTTTCCACATAGATGACATGCATATGGCCTCTCTCCAGTGTGAGTCATCTTGTGCCGTCTAAGGTAAAAGCAATTAGTATAGGCCTTTTCACATAGATTACATTGATATGATTTACCTTTAGTATGAATTTGTTTACGTGGTTTAGGGGACAAAAGATTACGAAGGGATTTTCCACACTGTTTGCTGACACAGGGTTTCTTTCCACTGTGAGTTAACAAACACTGAGTTATTGTGGAACTGTGAGTGCAATCTTCTCCCGAATCATTATATTCAAAAGGATCCTCCAGAATGAGAGAGTTCTCCTTTGGGACAAAGATTAAAAGCTCTTAATGGTTTACCCACATATATCTATACATTCATTTCACTACCTTTGAATCCTAGACCAACCATTCAGTGGTAGACCCCAGTTGAAATCTTTCCAATGTTTCTTGTGTGAAAGGAAATTAAATTTGGGGACCCCAAACTCATTTAACCAAAGGGAAAAATCAAGCTGGGAACTGGGTCACACAAACCTGCCTCCCCCTTCTGGTTCCTAAATAATATGACTACAAGATGAAAAGCTACATGCCTCCCCCATATTTTGCCCACAAGGAAATTCCTCATGAGCTGTTAAAATTACACCATGGCAATGCAAACTGATAACTTGTCTTTACAGGTGCAGTCATCCCAAGTTCACCAGACACAAATGCATATCTGATTGTTTCCCTGCCCCCATTTTGCCTATGTTGTCTTATGTAAAATGCAGCTTTCCTGCATTATTCCTCTGCCTCATTTGTTTATGTCATGTTATGTAAAAAAATCCAGATTCACTGAGCCAGAAAAATGCATGAATGACTATTTTTTCTACCCACCTTTTACATGAAAATTGTGTACTTCTCAATATCCCAGCCTTTCCCCTTTGAATTTGGAGCCTTCAAAATCATCTTTGGAGAAAGGCATACACCTGTCCCCTGGGTGCATGTCCTTAACTTTGGCAAATAAATCTCCTAAAATGATTGAGACTTGTCTTGTCATTTTTCTCGATTGACATTTGCATACACATTATCTCCTGCAGACACAGGTATGTTCTCTTCTGTAAGATCTCAACTGCAGAGTTATTGCATAATTGTGATGATATCAATATCTTTCAATGTCTGGGCATGAGCAATGTATATGCACTTGCTCTATTTTAGAGATCTCATGTTATGATTTAGAACAGAGGTCAATGTATTCACTAAATTCAAAGTCTCCAGTTTTTTTCTTTGCTTAGAAAGCACTTAATGCCAGCCTAATTACACTCAGGTGATTGTGCTTCATTATTAACTTAACCCATTACCATATCTTTAACTTAGATGACTGGTGTACACAGCTATAAAACTTACCATTGTCATACTGGTGGATGTGTCTTTTCTGATGATAGGATGCATGGATATCATGTGTTTTTTCTTAAGGGCACTTTCCCTGTCTGAAATAATTGAAAAATAAATTGTTACATTGGTATTATGGTAATAAAATTGTTTGAAAAGCCCCAAGGCCCATTTACTTTTTTTCAAAAATTGACACTTAGATGTGGCAAGTGTGTCAAATGAAGAAACTACTTGAATAGAAGAAATAGATTGTACAGTGTCAGCAATTAGAAAAGATTTTTAAAATTAAAATGTGAAAAGAGTTAAAATGGAGATGAGATATCAGGCAAGTAAATAGAGGGATAGTCTTCACAGGGGTATCAGGGAAAGGGTCAGCATATGAAAGTTTAACCCCAGCCAAGTACATGAATTGTCTTTTTCCCAAAAGTAAAAGAAAAGAAAAACAAGAGGACACAAGAGTAACATCTGACACATGAACAAAACGATAATAACATCTAAGGAATTCTGCTCCAGTAGCCTAACCTACATTTTAGAAATTATCACTCATTTAATAAAACCACTAATTAATATTCAACTGATATTATTCATTGAGAAAGCACCTCCTCCTATTAGGACACAGGACCCTGTTGCTTACCTGGATTCTGGTCTTGAAGAAATACTCTTCCTTCCCACCACAGCTCTTTTCCTTGCTCCAGCTGCAAAATTATATAGGATTTGCTTATCTGGTACCCTGTTAGTGGAAAGAATACATGTGTTTTGAGTTCACTGTCAATAAATGTGCATTATCACCAAGTGTAAGGCAGGCTATCAAGGAAGAATAAAAACAGTGAAGGTCAGCTCAGGCCACAAGACCTAGAACACAGAAAACTCCCCAGGATTTTTCTGACCCAACTTGAGACTAGAAAATAAATCCAAACCAAAGGGCCATCAGGAAAAGGAAATTCAAAACAGTCAGGACCTATGAATGCTGAGTCCATGCCTAAGTTCCAAGACACAATGCATAATACACAATCTTTTCAGAAAGAGAGTAATTAAATCTCTGCACATTGTGTTTATTATTATTCTCACGCAGAACAAAAAAAAACATTCGATTTACAAAAATAATTGGTGTTCTATATGGAAAAGATATTGCTATTGTTTTCACTAATTGGTCTCAGCCTAAGCATAGACTAAAGCAGAAGAGTTATTTAGAGAGTATTTAATTTAATACATTGAAAATATTCATTATGTTCCCAGGTCTGTTATGAGTATTAGAGACTGAGTACCAAAGACACCATGAAATACTTGTCAAGATTACATTCTAATTGAGTGACAAACTAAATAAAATAAAATAAAAAGAAAGATATTTATTTAAGATAGATTTAGAGAGTTCAAACTTTTTTCAGATGAGATCTGTGAGAGAATCAGAGAAGAGATTAGAGTGAGATATGGGGAAGCTGTTCTAACACTTATTGAATGAATGAGCGAATGTGTGTCTACATATGTACGTGAATGTTGAGGGACTCACCGAGGGACACCAGGTGACTGATATTTTCCAGCATCACATCTCTGTACAGCTTTCTTTTGGATGTGTCCATCATGTCCCACTCTTCCTGGGTGAAGTCAATAGCTACATCTTCAAAAGTCACTTTCTCCTAAAACATCACAGACATTTTAGTTTAGACAGAGAAATCCCTTTCAATGTCCAGAAGAGGAAGGCTGAGATGATATAGCTAGGAGCTGGGTATGCAGAATACTCAGTGTTTTTGGTTCCAGCCAGTTCATTCTCAGTACTAAGCTGGTATCTGCCTTTCAGATTCACTCACAGAGATATACCCACTCTGAATCCATTAAACTTTACTATAAAGAAATATTGCATGAGGTGTGGCATAATATAACCCAGATATTTTTCAGTAATGTGTTAATCACCTCTACATAACTGCTTATAAAATTTTCACTTGAACATTCATAAATAAAATGAAATTTACCATGAATTTCAAGTAAATTACAGATTTGTCACAAGGCAAATAACCATGATTTACTACTTTTTAAACATGACTGCGATGAAATAAATTATTTCTCTAGATGAAAGACAGATTTCTCCCCAATCAAATGGTTAAAAGACCAATGATGTGTTTTGAATAATCTAATGAACTAATAGAAAATGTGTTTCCTACCTAGCAAATATTTATTAAATATAAGTCATTGGTCCCTTATTCATTCAAAAGTTAGAAAGTAATGAACCAGACTCCAGCATTCTTCAGAACTGAACGCTTTATGCAGAATATAGGATTCAATTCATACATATAGTCTCTCTAATGTTATATAATTCAGGTGTTCATGAAAAGGCTTGAAGACAGTCTAGCAGCACAAGACAAGACTGCTGAGGCTGCTATACTGAGGAAATCTTAGTCCGATGATTCCTGTGATATGAAGCCTCCTGTTCTCAACTTTCTCTCGGCAGTCCAAACATCAGTTATCATTGTTTCTCTTTTAAATTGACCTTCTCACTTCACTTGTTCAAAGATTAAGAAAGCCTCTTCATTGTTTTTTTTTTTGTAACCAGCCCTTATAAAGCATTTCCACAGAACCCTAAATTGTACTCTATCTACTATATTCCTTCTTCTGAGTGTGCAACCATAATTAAATAATTATATTTCCTATATGTTACTTTCACTTACCAGAAGGCAAAAAAGTTAATTACCAAAAGGTAAAATAAATGGGGATAAGAATAGTAATGACTTCTTTAGTTGTCCTTTCACAAAGTTTTTAAAAGCTCAAATATATTTTATAAAACTCTTCTTTTCCCTCAACACTGCACAGCTCTTGCCCAAGTCCTATCACACTGGATTTATTGAACTCAGCTGCTAGAACATCAGACTCATTGTTGGGCTGTGATGTTCTGCTCTTCACTCATCTCTGTCGTCTGCATTCATCACAATCCTAAGTCTATTTCAGCCAACAGTACAGTTAATGGGTCAATTATTTCCCTATGAGATTATAGGATGGATAGAAGAAAAAGAAATATATAAATGAAACCTCTCATATCTTTTTTTGTAAATAGTCTTAATAAGGGCTGGAATAAAGTAGTGTAATATTAGAAATTATATTGATAATTTAGGAGTCTTTGACACACGATACCCAACCTAGAGTCCTGAGAAAACTTAATTGGAGGCCAGATACCTGAAAGCCTCCTGACTGCATTTGGAACACCCAGGCTGGGTGGATTTTACATCATAAAAACAAACAAAAAAAGAATAAAAATGAAACACCCATGCAAATTGGAGAAAACTGCCCATTTGCCAGCAATATGGGTATAATTTCAGTAGAAAGAGGCATCCCCTACTCACTAGTGAATGCATTGTCAGGAACTCAGTTTCTCTCTGTCTTCCTCTGGATTTCCACTTGCAGACACTTTAGGCACTAAGAAAAGCTGAGGTTGGAGAAAGAACATGTGAGACACCAGTCTTGTGCACAATTTTCAGATCAACCTGTGATGAAAAGCCAGACTTTCACTGAAGTGTGACACCAGCTGCACCACAGCCTAACCAACAGACACAAACACGCAGAGGCCTCTCCTCTTTTCCCGTGGTCAAAATTAGGAAGCCTATGACTATGGTTGCTAATAAACAAGGAACACAGATATCTTGTGAATGAGAACATCAAAAGCACGGAGTTTTGTATGTTAATTGGCACAAGTCCAGATATTCAATTCCCTCACTGATTTTAAAACACAGGGATCCCTGACTCCATCCACATGTGGAATATGATTTCCACCTATAGATAAACACTGGGATTTCTCAGATTTTATTATCCTAGCTTTATGCCCTAGCAACGTTTCTCCAACACCCACCACAGCCTTCTGAAGCCTTACTCCACTTTTATTTTCACTCAACTCTGACTTTTGTATTTCCCCTTGGAACGTGGAAATAATCAAGTAAGAATCTGTTTTAGGGTCGAGTGCGGTGGCTCACGCCTGTAATCCCAGCACTTTGGGAGGCCAAGGCAGGTGGATCACCTGAGGTCAAGGGTTCGAGACTAGCCTGGCCAACATGGTGAAACCCCATCTTTACTAAAAATACAAAAATTAACTGGGTATGGTGGTGCTTGCCTGTAATCCCAGCTACTCAGGAAGCTGAAGCAGGAGAATCTCTTGAACCCAGGAGGCAGAGATTACAGTGAGCTGAGATCCCACCACTGCACTCCAGCGATGGCGACAGAGTGAGACTCTGTCTCAAAAAAAAAAAAAATCTGTTTTAGGATGGGGATAATGAATTGAGGGATTTATTTCACTTAGAGGGTCAACACTCCCATCCTGCTAATCTAGCCCTTAAAATCTCCTGCATCGGAAATTAGCAGGAGTACCCTGAGTCATGGTGTTTCTGTCCTGTGTATACAGTCACAATCGTCTAGGATGCTCAGAAAATACAAAATGACATAGGGGTGGGAGAAATTTAGCAGCTCAATCTGATGTTTCACTAACGTGGTATCTAAAATTCTTGCAATCATGGTTTATATTAGTCTTTGTTAGCTGCAATATCTGTGATTATCATGATACATATTTGCTGAGAAATACCCATGTCCATGTATATATTCGTACATAGATATGTAGGTATATAGGTGCATATGTTTATATGAGTGTATGTGTTTGAGACGGGGAAACATGCATGTATTATTTCCTTGCTAAAAATATAAAAATAATTAAATATATTTTATGTGCAAGTGATAATTATGTGTCATAAACAAAAAATTTACTGACCCATTTGTACATGAAGTCCAGGAAAAATAAAAAGGGTAACTTTGTATTAATTGTGACATTGTGCTTACAGATGTACATATATTTCCTTATTTAACCCTCATAATAATCCTGCTGATTATAATTTATTTACCAATTTAATAAATGATCAACAGGGTTTGAATAATATGACAAAATTACAAAATTAGAAAATGGCCCAGCAATACTTTTAATTATATTCTGCCTGTCACTGCCTCTTCTTGCTTTTTGACAAAATTACTCCCCTAACCAAGGTTCTCTATGATTCTGGGGACTCCAGCATTTAGACCCCAGTTCCCAAACATCATTGTGTCTATTTTTACTGCCACATTTAATGCACATTTACAGACTTCAACAAGCACTTTTCAATATCAACTTTTTTCTTATTCCTTGAACTATTTTCTACATCTGTTCATCAAGACTCCAGTAACATATGACTCCATCTGCCTGTCCCTTCCATGAATGTACCTGACAGTACATGTATTATGTAGCCTACAATTTAAGCAGAACAGATATTCCTTCAAAAAAAATAAGATATTAGAGAATGCCGACAAAGCTTCAGTGTAACCAGCTGTAACCCTTAATATTATTACCATGTAAACTCTTCCTCGAATATCAAAATAAGATTTGGGCTTTAGAGAATATTTGTGTGTAATTATAACCCAAACATGAACTAAAAGTAATTTAACTGGTCATATACAGACCGTGCCAGGGACAAAAAAGGACAAATATTATAAGAAAGTTAAAGCATACTTATTTCATAAAGGACTCTTGTGTGGAATCTATCAAAACGATTTCAAGATGTAGAGATTAAATATATTTTAAACCACATACATACACAAGCAATCTTTAGGAGAAACTTTTAAAAACTTATGTTATAGGTCTAAAATTTTCATTAATTCATGGAAAAAAAATGTATTGACAAACTTTTCACCAGAGCAGAAATAACAACTTATGTATTTGGTGACTTCAAGATGAGAGCCTGCACAGCTTAGTATCTCCCTCCAGTTGTCTCTCTCTCTCTCTTTTTTTTTTTTTTTTGGTAGAGTTTCACTCCTGTTGCCCAGGCTGGAGTGCAGTGGCGCGATGTCGGCTCACCGCAACCTCCACCTCCTGGGTTCAAGCAATTCTCCAGCCTCAGCCTCCTGAGTAGCTAGGATGACAAGCATGCGCCATCGTGCTCGGCTAATTTTGTATTTTTAGTCGAGACGGGGTTTCTCCATTTTGGTAGGGCTGGTCTAGAACTCCTGACCTCAGGTGATCCGCCAGTCTCCGCCTCTCAAAGTGTTGGGATTACAGGCGTAAGCCACCGTGCCCGGCCCAGATCTCTTAAAAAGTCATGAGGAATGAGCCATTCTGCATCCTCAATATTACCTTAATATTTTAAGGGCACCCGTAAAAATTAAGAGGCCAACTTGTGACTTCTTAGCCCTTTCACGGCTATTTAGACACACGTTAGTGAAGTATTAGGAATGCAGTATTAGGTCTCAAGTTCCTGGACAACAAAACCATGTTCTCCAACAGATCTTCAGTAAAAATAGCTGATGTCTATATTGTTTTGCCTGTCCTTTCCCTTCCTTTTAATTCAGAACTGCAGTCTCGAAAAGTGCTATTATTTAGTAGATTCTCTCAATTCTCAACACCAGTGCTATACAATGTTGAATGACATCTGAGGTGCTAGGGAAACAGCAGCTCACATTCTAGCAATGGAAAAATAGAAAAGCAAAGATCACCACAGAGTAAAAGAGAATAGATTTTTTTAAAGTATGAAACCAGAACGAATATATATCAGATTACACTATAAATGGAAAATCCTATTATCTTGACGGGATTGCAAGTCAGATTACACTATAAATGGAAAATCCTATTATCTTGACAGGATTGCAAGCCTCTCATGGCTTCCAACCTCCAATATATTCAAAGCAGTTCAGGAATGGTGAAAGTGGAATGGAATTTAAAATTATTCTAAGGTTTTATGTGTGAAAGCATCATGCCCTGAAACAAAATATTTATTTTTAAAGTGCATAATGAACACTGCATACAAAGTTTATGTAACAGGAGAGAGGAAATATCTCACATTTTAAAAAAAGGAATATGCAACATATTTACATACAATAAAATTAAATTAAATTAAAATACAGCAATGGAAGACAGAATCTAACATCTGAAAATCAAGGGAGAAATCTATTTTAAATAAACTTGTCACAATTTTAAAAGTAAGTTATGAAAAATAATAATACCTGAATATAGTACATAAAAGTACCAATACAATAAAGCTAAAACAATATCGATGGAAAAATTATTTGCTGTGCATTATTTTAAAAAAATAATCTAAGTACTTACCTCAATAAGGTAAAAGAATGAAATTTAAAAATTGCTTGAGAAAATCTGTGAAAGGAAATGAATATAGAGAAGCAGAATATAATTTAACTATAAACCACACAAATAGAATTTAAAAATAAGTGGTAGCCAACATGCCCAACACGATTTTCTGTGATGAAAGAAATTCTCTATATCTGCATTGTCCAATGCAGTAACTACCACACATATGTAGTTACAGAATTTCTAGTTTGGCCAAGACTTTGGCTATTACTACTAAGGATATGTCATTTAGTTATTTAATTATAATTAATTTACAGTTTATAGTCACATGTGACTAGTAGTTACTATATTGGCCAATGCAGATCTAGAATCTTGGAGGAGGCAGTTCAAATAATGAGATATGGTCAAAACAAAAGTGGAAAAGGCACACAAATAGTGAACACAGATTATGAGAATGTGAAGTAACAATTCACACAATAAAATGTAATAATGAGATGCTGCCTTGATGGGACAAATGTCTAATGATATACAAGGCTTGTCTTGTTACAGGTAGAAGAGCATGAGCAGGGCAGGAGAGGGCTCTTCCCCTACCCACTAGAAATGTCAGGTGATGGCCTGTCAATTATCACATTGCCTCTCTAAAAATGATAATTAGGCAGCACCAAAGAGAGGCCATTTCCTGATGGTCTACACCTGTTAACATCAAAAATGTTAGTTAAATGCAGACCTCAGGAAGAAGCAACTTCTTGGGCATGCATGTTAAGAGACAAAAATGGCAAAGCATAATCTTCCGGGGGCACACTCCACCGGAAAAGGAAAGAAAGCTTCAGATGGACATGCATATAACTCCCTAAACACACCGTGCATGCTCAATTTCAAAGGGTAAGGAAAACACTGTGCAAGCCGGAAACGCTCCCTAAAGTTAGAATCATGGGAAAGAAGAAAACCCATGGCAGGATCAAGGTTAAAGGCTCTTCTCTTTTCTTTCTTGGACATTCAGGCATCTGTTCGGGTCTCTTCCAAGAGAATTTTCCTCTCCTTCCTGTTCTAAAGCCTTTTTAAATAAACTTCCACTCCTGCTCTGAAACTTACCGCTCAGTCTCTTTTTCTGCTGTATGCCCTTCAGTCAAATTATTTCTTCTGAGGAGGCAAGGACTGAAGTTGCTTATGGACCCATGCAGATACGCTGCCAGAAACTGGAATCTCTTCTACTGGTAACAGTACCATTGTAAGGGAATGAGGTCAGTTCACATCTCAGTGCTTGGAGAACTCACCAGAAATAAAAAGTTGGAGGATGCAGTGAACTTATCTACCTTCCAAGGCAAGTCCCACAAGCAAGCAGCAAGACTCTCTTTCCCCAAGGTCGTATAGCAAAGACATGGAATCAACCTAGATGCCCATCAATGTTAGAGTGGATAGAGAAAATACAGTATATGTACACCATGGAATACTACACAACCATAAAAAAATTATGTCCTTTGCACCAACATGGATGCAGCTGGAGGCCATTATTCTAACATAATGCAGGAAGAGAAAACCAAATACCATATGTTCTTAGTTATAAGTGAGAACAAAGCGTTGGTTACACACGGATGTAAAGATCGGAACAACAGATACTGGGGACTACTAGAGGGGGAAGGGAAGGTGGGGACAAAGGCCTTAAAAACTGTCTATTGGGTGTTATGTTTTCTATCTGGGTTACAAGATCATCCATACTCCAAGCCTCAGCATCACACAATGTGCCAATGTAAAAACCTGCACATGCATCTCCTGAATCTAAAATAAAAGTTGAATTCTTTTTTTAAATGCTCAAAGATCTGGCTAACATGGTGAAACTCTGTCTCCACTAAAAAAAGAAAAAAAAAATTACAAAAAATTAGCTGGGCATGGTGGTGGGTGCCTGTAGTCCCAGCTACTTGGGAGGCTGAGGCACGAGAATGGTGTGAATCTGGGAGGCGGAGCTTGCAGTGAGCCGAGATCACGCCACTGCACTCCAGCCTGGGTGACAGAGCGAGACTCCATCTCAAAAAAATAATAATAATAATAAAAATGAGCAAAGATCTGAGTAGACATTTCCCAGAAGAACAGATACAAATGGCCAACAAATATGTGAAAATATTCTTACCATCTCTAATCATCAGGGGGATGCAGATAAAAACCACCATGAAATATCACCTGATACCTCTTAGAATAGCTATTATCAAAAAGATGTATAACAAGTATTAGCGAGGATGTGGAGAAAAGATAACCCTTGTATACTTGCGGTGGAAATACAAATTACTATGTCCATTTCAGATAACAGTATGAAGGTTTCTCAAAAATTTTTTAAATAAAACTACCTGCTGATGAGGCTGCTGAGATATAAGAACACTTTTACACTGTTGGTGGGAATGTAAATTAGTTCAACTATTGTGGAAGACAGTATGGTGATTCCTCAAAGACCTACAACCAGAAATACCGCTTGACCCAGCAATCCCATTACTGGGTATATACCCAAAGGAATATAAATCATTCTATTATAAAGATACATGCACACATATGTTCATTGCAGCACTATTCACAACAGCAAAGACATGGAATCAACCCAAATGTCCATCAGTGACAGACTGGATAAAGAAAATGTGGTACGTATACACCATGGAATACTATGCAGCCATAAAAAGGAATGAGATCATGTTCTTTGCAGGAACATGAATGGAGCTGGAAGCCATTATTCTCAGCAAACTAACCCACGAACAGAAAACCAAGCACTGCACGTTCTAACTTACAAGTGGGAGCAGAACGGTGAGAACACATGGATATTAGGAGGGGAACAACACACACTGGGGCCTGTTGGGAGGCAGGTGGAGGGAGAGTATCAGGATAAATGGCTAATACATATATGCAATGGAATATTGTTCAGTGTTCCATAATAACGAAACCCTGTCATTTGTGACAACATGGATGGACTTGGAGGGCATTAGGTTATATGAAATAGGCCAACCACAGAATGACAATTACTATATTATTTCACTTGTGTTTGAAATCTAAAATCGACAAACTCACAAAAGCAGAGAGTAGAATGGTGGTTGCCAGGGGCCCTGGTGCTGGGGAAATGGGTAGATGTGGTTAGAGCACAAAGTTTCAGATATACCACGTAAGTAAGTTCTGGAGGTCTCGTTTACAGCATAGTGCTTACAGCTAAGAATACTGTATTAAATACTTAAAATTTGCTAAAAGGGTAGATTTTGTATTCTTACCAATATTTCTTACCAAAAAAAAAAATAATAATAAAGGGGAGGGGACTTAGGGAGGTGAAGGATATGGTTATAATCTTGATGGTAGTGATGTGTTCATGGTGTATACTTATCCCCAAGCTCACTGAGATGTACACCTTAAATATGTACAGCTTTTTAAATGTAATCATCGCTCAACAAAGTCGGTTAAAATAAAACAAGAGGGGGTTGGTTAAAAAACTTAAAAGGAGGGGTAGATGTTCCCTTGTTTTTTTCTCTTGGCTTTTTTCCTACCTGCTGCCTGGAATTCAAAAATGATAGGTGGGGATTTAGCAGCCAAACTAGAGCCTCTTTTACACTATAGCAGAACAGAGTGCTGGAAGGGGCCTGCATCCCTAATGAATTTGGCAGGTATCTGTACTAGCCATGGTAGGTAGAACTATAGATTTAAGTGAGGGAGAAACAAACTTCTGCCTTGTTTAAGCTACTTTGTTCAGACATTAATTTTATATACATATAGAGAACATATGCTCCTTTATGAGTAGGAAAAATGTTTATGCCATATGGTCCATGATGGGTGTTCAACAATGTAGGATGAGGCTGATTATGATGACAATGGTGACAAATAGCATGAAATAATAAGCAATGAAAATAAGGTGGCCTCATAGTTGTGTATGGTTACTTTATTTAAAGATTCTGCTGCTAATATCATTCAATGTATTTGTATGCTGGTGGGAGTTTTGTTAGATGTAGACTAAGAAAGTTTACATTATTTAATGAAAAATACTTGACCAATTTAAAAAAAAATAAAAATATCATGAGATGGAACTAAGCATCTGTATTGCAAAGTAACTCTCCCAGTTGATTTTCTGCATAGTCATGATTGAGAATCCCCTGATCTAGATCCAATAGATCTCGACCTTTATAGGTGCTATCAAGGAAGCACCTAAGGAAGACAATTTTCCTGACTATATCCATACCTCCAGTTAGTAATAGATCTAGAGATCTAGAACCCAAATCCAAACCTCCTGCCTCCACGTGCGGTGGTCTTTCGCTGTTGTTTTGTTCCACTTGGTGAAGAGGATTTGAGAATAAATAGCCACATGATTCAACTCCCTCCTCAGTTCTGAGGAATATAGCCTTGTCCTAGCAAGCAAGAAGTTCATACAGTAGTGGATGAGGCAAATATACATTCACTAATCTAACATACAAGGCAGTAAGTACTGTAACATAAACAAAGCACTTTGGAGTTTCAGACCAGGAGCAAGTGGGGTGATTAATTCTTAGCAGGGCTAGTAAAGTCTGGGAAGTGTTCACTAACAAAATGTCTGGTCATTAATGAAACCAACTGGTTTCTCAACACAGTCTAATTTATTGTAACAATATAAATGGTTGTTTGTTCATAAACTTTCATCTTTTGCCAAAATGTAGCTTATGTCCCCATTTAACAAGGTTTTCTGGCCAAAACTGTGCACCCACATCATTCTAATGAACTGGCTGTCCAATAAAAAAAAAGGATTCTCAGTCTTCCCATAAAAGCAATTTTGCGTGCATAGAACACCTCTATCTATGAATATCCCTAAGGAGGTACAGAAAGACTCTTATTATCCAAACAGAGACATTCCACTGCTGCTAGAGAGCCACAGACGGAAGTTTTCTCTGCCTCCTGGAAATGAAGCCAAACTTTTTTCTTTCTTCAGCCATGAGGATTGCTGTCCTCTTCTTCACCATTTTCTTCTTTATGAGCCAAGTTCTACCAGGTAACAAAATAAACTTGGTAAGAGTAGAGTGCCTAACACCTTACAGGGATTCAATACTCAAAGAGAAATCACCATCACCTATGACCAGAAAAGGGGGTCTCATAGGAAACCTGGAAGACTCATTGGCTGAGAGGCCTGCAGCCATCTAATTCGTTAATTCTCCATAGCAACCCAGTTAAATGAAGTCAATGGTGTTTCAAGTCTTTGAAACCCTCTTATTCCATCTCCAAATTAGGCAAGTTTACTAGCAGTTACTAGACCTCAAAAATTAAAAATCAGGCATTATTCTACTAAATTTTTGTCTCCAAAGCTCCTCTTTCGGCAAAAGTCAGTTATCCTAAGAACTGGCATAAGAGCTATGCCAAAGCTGTGGTAGGCTCAGACAGAAGGGATTGGTGGAAGAAGTCTCTTTGAAAATATTACTATAATCTAAGAAATCTTTAACCTATTGCTCCCCGATACTGTTGGTCCCTGGAGCTTGACTTTTCCCCTTAAGGCTCCATCTCCATCCCTGGCTGTCCCTCTTCCTTCTCAGCATCTAGTCTTGTAATGTAGAATTTAAACACAGGAACCAGGGATGATCCCACACCAGAGCATAGCCTACTGCATTCAGCATGCGAACATTAATCACAGGTATAAGGCCCCTTGCACAGACATGCTTTGGAGAAGTGTGTATAGGACTTCTTGGATTGGCCCAAGGTGGTTACCAGACACCCAAAGTAGATTCAAAAATTTTCTGGAACTCCTGAACATGTGTATTCAAGGACGAATAAGCAACTTATTGCCTCTATTTTTGCTGTTTTATAGAGAAAAAAATTAAGGCCCTGGAAACTGAACTGTTTTTCCCAACAGTGGGGTAAATGTCAGAGTCAACACTTTGTTTTAATATCCTGGCTTTCCCTATACATCCCACCCTAGAGTTCTGTTGTGCTGTTCCTTTGTATTACTTTCTAAAGCCTGAAAAAAGGTGATACCATATCCAATCATATTAACTCGGTAGCACACAACATCGGGGACTGACATAAGATTATTATCCTTGTGGCATTACTGAATTCCTGTCTCACTAGTACTTGTTAAATAGTCACCCTGGCTAAATACATGGGTTTGATTTTTTTTAATCAGTTAAAAATATTTTAAAATATGTGTCTTACATATATAACCCCAGAAAATCAATGCTTTTAATCAAGGTTTAAAAATTCCAAATTTGGATAAACACATTTTGTTTTGTTTTGTTTTCACTGTTACTCAATCAAAATAGAAGCAACTAATTGGATAGAACAGCACAGGCAGAAGCATGACTCACAGTCAAAAATGGGATGCAACAAGCCTGGAGAAGAAAACACAGGATGGTGCTAAAGAATGCACCCTAATGAAAGGTGGCATCTCCTCTGGATGTCCTTAGGTAGACATTGAAGCAGAACTGCCAACTTTTTGTAGAAGGCTAGAGAGGAGAGGAGGACACAGAGAGAGGGCAAGAGTGGAAAATAGAATGAGGCTCAGAATACCAAGCCTTAGTGCTGTCCCTATCATCTGCTTCACTCGATCACTGGGTAATCTTGGGCAAGTTTCTTCCTTTCCATCAGCTTATTTCCTCAACTTTAAGGTAGGTGACTAGACAAGACAGCCTATGTTCATTGTAACTCTATCTTTTGTTCCTAAAGCAAATGGCCGGAAAAGACATAGTGTCCACAATATGCAATACACAAGGTTTACAAGCAAAGAACAAATGAAAACGAAAGATTTTTAAAATCCCTAATGTTACTTGAATTCTTACAAATGAACAATGGTACATCATAATTTTAAAAAGTCTTTTGTAATTTCAATTTTTAAAAATAACTTCAACCTTTATTTTAGATTCAGGGAGTGCATGTGCAGATTTGTTACATGGATATATTGTGTGATATTGAGGTTTGGGGTATGAATAACTCTGTCACACAGGTAGGGTGTACCCAAAGAGTAGCTTTTCAGACTTTACTCCCTCTCCCTCCCCTCCTGGTAAGACCCAATCTCTCTTGTTCCCATTTTTATGTCCATGTGCACTCATTGCTCGGCTCCCCCTTATAACTGAGAATATGTGGTATTTGTCTTCCTGTTCTTGAGCTAATTTGCTTAGAATAAAGTCCTCCAGCTGCATCCATGTTGCTGAAAAGGACACAATTTTGTTCTTTTTATGGATGCATAGTATTCCGTGACATATATGTACTACATTTTCTTTATTCAATCCACTGTTGATGAACACCTAGTTTGATTCCATACCTTTGCTACTGTGAATACCACTGTGATGAACATACAGATTTAGGTCTTTTTACAAGACTGATTTATTTTCCTTTGGATATACACCCAGTAGTGAGATTACTGGGTCAAATGGTAGTTCTGTATTAAGTTTCTCGAAAAGTGGTTTGAAAATATAATGCTCAATAGAATCAGGTATAGTAAAATAGTACACATGATTCAAAGACCTCTGAACCGAGAGTAACAACAAATTTCCGCACAAACATATTGCAAGTTAGAAAATAGCTGTATTTTAATCAATTATTCCACAATCATTTACTGAATAGCTATTATAAGCCAAGACTTTAATCAGATTCTGGAATATACATACAGAGGAGAATAAGATACTATTCCTGCCCTCAAGAAATTCATTATCAAGAATTGAGGTCAGATGGGAAAACACCACCCATAGTAGAATGCAAGAAGTACTACCACAGAGGGATGTTCAAGAGTGATTTATCACATATCACAAGACAGGTCAGTGGTTCATCCTCTACACTATACTAATCTCTTATGACTCTTCCAGCTGCAAAGGGCCAATTTTAGCACAAGGCCAGTGGGCTTGGGTACTACTATACGTAATAGCTGACTACTTACAGATAAAAGGAAGAGATGGAAAGCTCAGGGATCAAAAAACTCAGATTTCAGCTTGTTTCTACCAAGTGGTCAACATTTACAATTACCATTGTCTTCAGAAAAGCATGACCTTTATTTCCCAATTTGCATTACAGATATAAATATGATGTTGCATATATTTGGTCTTCACATCAATCCACTAACTGCTTTGTGACCATTGAAAAGTTAAATGGAATCTAATACATTTGGATTTCAGGTCAATTAAATAGGCATTTATTGAATGTTTATTAAAATTGCTGTACTGATTGAAAGCTATTCTAGAATTGGCTTTTGTGTTCCAGAATAGAAAAAAAAAAGTGCTGGTTTTTATACCTCTCTTACTGCCAAGAAGTTATCATGGAAAAGGTGCTCTGTGTTACATACAAAGACTGCTCAGAATTAAAACACTTTTCAAACTCAGTACCTCAGAGTGTGTGGCCTATCCCCAGAGCAGTGATATCTTAGGACATAAATGAAATACTATTCAATATTTTCAACAAGTATAGTTTTTGAGCCTTTAAGAAGACCTTGAATGTTTCACTCTTAATATATGCAATGGTTTCTAGAGAAAAATTGCAACCTCAAAGACCAGTTCCAGAGATATGAGTAGTGAGTGAAGTCTCAGGGTGTAACAAGTAATGGCACAGATATATTTATGTATTAAACACATAGGAATATTGTTCCCTTCCACAGGAAAAATATCCTCTCTAACAATTGAAGTATATTATCTTTTAGGTCTATATTTCAGTTCTATTTTTGAAAGATACATCTATTATAATCTATCATATAGAGAGAGTGTGTGTGTGTGTGTAGGAATAAAAACAGCTGATCCAAAAGAGATTTTCTTCTCTTTCACTCCAGGAAAATCCATAGTACAGGACATTATATTTTCTTAAAAGGCTGACATCTCCCATCAGTGTTAGAAGACAATAAGGAAGAAATAAACTGAAACTTGTATGCTCTAGAACTTGTAAAGGGAAGCAGGCTACTCACCTCCAGCCTTTTGTCATGTAGGTGCACCCAATATTCTCAGATTTTTCAAGAACACCAAAAAATCCAAATTTTTGTGTGGCAGCAGATTTTTAAGTGTTTAAGAAATCAAATAACACACACACACACACACACACACACACAGACACACACACAAATCCACACAAGATTATTTTCAGGCACTGCCCCCTACGTCCATGTAATTCAATACAAAGTAAAGAAAGACTGATGAATGGTTACAATAACCCCTTCTGCATGTAGCCAAGGGCAAATTCAAGGAGATCTGTGAACGTCCAAATGGCTCCTGTCGGGACTTTTGCCTCGAAACAGAAATCCATGTAGGGAGATGTTTAAATAGCCGACCCTGCTGCCTGCCTCTGGGGCATCAACCAAGAATTGAGAGCACTACACCCAAAAAGGACTGAAGCCTGTTGTTTTCTGGAGGTTTTAGGTTCTCTTTTTTCTCTCTCCCTCTCCCTGTCTCCCTGTCTCCCTTTCCCTCTCTCCATTTTTCTCACAGGGATTTTTATTGAATCCTCAAAAAAGAATAAACCAAAACCAACCAGCACAAAACCTCTTTTAAAAGTTTATATTACTGGCTGGGTGCGGTGACTCATGCCTGTAATCCTAGCACTTTGGGAGGCCAAGGTGGGTGGATCATGAGGTCAGGAGATCAAGACCATTCTGGCCAACATGGTGAAACCCTGTCTCTTTTAAAAATACAAAAATTTAGCCAGGCATGGTGGCGGGCACCTGTAATCCCAGCTACGCAGGAGGCTGAAGCAGGAGAATCGTTTGAACCCATGAGGTGGAGGCTGCAGTGAGCCGAGATCCCGACACTGCACTCCAGCCTGGGTGACAGAGTAAGACACTGTCTCAAAAAAAAAAAAAAAAAAAAAAAAAAAAAGTTTATATTACATGTTATGACTTGATTACTGTTTGGTTTCCAGTATCCTTCTATCCCATCTAGATGAGCTCTTAGTTGAAAATGACATACAGCAGGGTGGGGGAAATTTCAATCATACCCATTGCTTTTGTCTAGCACTGTAACCCTTCACCCTGCATGTGGGAAGACCACTCCCCTTTTTTACTAGGAAAATGCGCCATCCTATTCCATGCAGCCTTGCGGGGGTCTGTCTCTCCCTGATAAAGGTGCAGCACATGGGAAAATTGCACAATCACGTCAACCAGACTTCACCAGAAATCTAAATTATAAAAAGAGTTGCACTCAGATTAAAGGCAATTTTTTCAGCACCCTTTTCGGAGGCAATTCCCTGGGTCTGTACATGTATGCCTGGCCAAGATTCAGGGAATTCCTTTGCTTCCCAGCTTTCACTGGGCATAATCATTCAGCATTTTCTTCCATCTTTTAAAATACTGTATTGGCTTCCTACGGCTCCTATAACAAATTACAACAAACTTAGTGGCTTAAAGCAACACAAATGCATTATCTGACAGTTCTATAGGCTGCAGGTTTCAGATGGATCTCAGTGGGCCAACATCAAGGTGTCAGCAGGGCTGAGCTTTCTTCTGGAAGCTCTGCAGTTTTCTTCCTGCACCTTTATCCCAGCAATGGCAGGTTACTCCTGGGCACCATAGCTTCCTTCATACATTTTCAAAGCCAGCAACGGAGCGTTGAGTCCTCACATTCCATCATTCTGAATTCATCTTCTCCCCACTCTTCCATTTTTTAGGACTCATGATTACATTGGGCCCACCTGGATAATCTAAGATAATCTCCCTATTTTAAGGTCAGCTGATTAACAGCCTTAATTTCACAGGAAACCTCAATTCCCCTTTGCTTACAAGGTGGCACATTCACAGGACCCAGGAGTTAGGATGTGGATAGCTTTGGCGGGAGACAGAGGGGACATTATTCTGCCTACAACAGCCACTGAGTGCTTTTACCACCTGTCACAATTTTCCTCCATTTAGACACAACTTTAGTGGCTTTGTGTGAAGAGATTCTCATTCATAGAGTTTTCTTTTTTGTGTAAAGTACTGGGGGGCCTCCCCTTGGTCATTGAAAGAGTATAGAATCAAGATATTTAAAAGTATGTTAGCTGGATTTTATTTTTCACTATGCCTGATTTGGCCAAGAAACAATGTTAAGTTATGTCACATGGACTACTCGAAATCTCAAAAAGTTCAAAACATTGGGTTCAAAATCTCAGAGACTGAGATATATTCCAACCAACTCAACCCTATGGAAGTGCCAAGTTTTCCTCAGTGCATTTTTGAAACTGCATCACCAACTGACCCTTTAATATATTTTTGCACTATATAACATTTACTTCTTAGAGTAAGTGCTTCCCTAGAAAAGAAGCAGTTTGGACACATATATTAAAGCCATCACATAGAATATTATCCTCTCATTGCTAGGAGGTGGCCTTCAAGATGGCTGACTAGAGGTACCAGGCACTGTGTCCTCCCAAAGAAAGACCAAGACAGCAAGTAGATAATCATACCTTGAAGAGGGCACGAAAGAGGGCACTAGAATTCAGCAGCAAATTGACGAGGAATCTCTGAGGCATGGAAGGAAAGGAAAATGAAGCAGCAGCCCAGCCAGAATCAGCTTAAAGCCAGGACAGGCTCTCCAGTGTGGTGAAAAGGTAAAAAAGAGAGCCCCAGTGGTCCATATTCCCACTGTGGACACTGCAATCCTAGCCAAGGGACAGTCTCTCAGCCCTTGCAGGCCCTGAGACTACTATAGGGAGCTGCCTGGAGTCTATGTGATGGTCATTGTCCCAGAGAAGGAGTTGGCACTGGATCGTCTGCACGTGCCCCCAGACACAGGCAGCTGTGGCACAATGCCAATTTGAGAGCCCAGCCCCCAAAAGACTACATCCTGCCCTGGGGCCCAACAGCCCCTGAATCTCCACATCTCTGGACCCTCAGTGACATTCCCTCATGTCCATCCAGAGGCCTGCAGAGTCACAATACCAGCTGAACTCACCAGTGTAGCTTGGTCCCCATCACTCTAGCCTACACAGTGTCCTACACTCCAGGGAACTGGCAGTGCCATTCACTAGGGAGGCTGCCCCCAGAACAAAGGGAGCTGAAGCAGGCACTCTTCTCAAGTGGAGAGTCACCTTCCCAGGACCACTGACACTGACAGCAATCCTGACCCCCAGGAGCAGGGCCACTGCACACCTGCAGGCATCCTCAGGGGACCTGGGGACTCACCTGCCTGGGCACTATTCCAGGGCCAGAGCACAGGCCCATCCCACCCATTGCTGTCACTACCACTACCCAAGGTCGTTGTCCAGGACGCTGGGGATCAACCCACACTGCTGTCTGTCATTGGCACCTGTGCATGCCTTCTTGTGACCTGAGTATGAGCCCACCCAGCCTGGTGGTGCCTGTGCACATTGTCTGGGAGCTGGGGGATTAATCCACCATACCTATCACCATCAAGTACCTGTGTGTCTCCTGAGAGCCTAAGGATAGGACTTCCCATCCTGCCATCACGGCTGTCACCAGTGCCCACATATTTGCACCAGGTGAAAGCCTGAGGACTACTCTGTCCATCATGTTGCCATGACTGTTGGTGTCTGCACATGCCATCTGGGGTCACGAGAGTTGACCTGCTATGACTACTGCAATTGCTGATGCTACACATGCCTCCCAGGGTCTTGAGGGCATGCCTATCTACCGAGCTCACCACTGTCACTGCTGGCACTTGAGAAAGCCACCTGACTCACACCTGTAATCCTAGCACTTTGGAAGGCTGAGGGGGGCAGATCACCCGAGGTCGGGAGTTCAAGACCAGCCTGACCAACATGGAGAAACTCCATCTCTACTAAAGACAAAATTAGCTGGGCATGGAGGCGCATGCCTGTAATCCCAGCTACTCTGGAGGCTGAGGCAGGAGAATTGCTTGAGCCCAGGAGGCAGAGCTGCAGTGAGTTGAAATTGTGCCACTGCACTGCAGCCTGGCCTACAGAGCTAGACTCTGTCTCAAAACAACAACAACAACAAAAAAAAAAACAAAAAAAATAACACAACACATCTTTGCCGTGATGTCTGGTAAACAGAAAGTGGTCAGCATTATTTGTTATTAGTATTAGTGTTGTCGTTGCCATTGCTTTGATTCACATGGAAATGGTTTGTAAGCTGTGATGCCTACTATTAATGTTATCTATCACAATTGTTAGTTATGTCTGGTATCTATTGCAACAACTAGATGAATGTAATCTTGGGAAAAAATTTTAAATTTCTTTAAGCTTCTCTCTCCTGATTTGTAAAATGAAATTTGTTGTACATGCTGTGTTTTTCTCAGCTATGCAGCTGTTCAGTTATTCCATATTTCAGTGCTTCCTTGGCTGATCAATCAATTTGGCCTACGTCAGCTCCAAGGGCATCCACTTCATCATCCTCCAGGTGGACTTGTAGCTTACCTGAGGCTGTTTGTATCAGACATCCAAGAAGGAGAAAGAGAAGGAACAGCAGTGTCATGATGGGAAATGAGTGGTCAGGATTATACGATGACCTTACAGCCTGAAGGTGGCTCTTTCTTCAGTGTACATCAATTGAGGAGGACAAGTGATCTGGGAATGAGTTTGAATTCAGCTGGGAAACTAACACAGGAATAGAAAACCAAATATTGCACATTCTCACTTATAAATAAGAGGTAAGCATTGAGCAGACATGGACATAAACATGGGAATTATAGACACTGTGAACTACTAGAGGGTGGAGGGAGGAGTTGGGTTAAAAAACTACCTATCTGGTACTATGTTCAGTACCAGGGTAATGAGATCCATACTCCAAACCACCACATAATACCATATTCCCATGTAACAAATCTGCGCATGTACCTACTGTATCTAAAATAAGTTGAAATTTTAAAAAAATGAACATACATAGAGTAAATGGATATTTTTTGAAATAATTTTGGGTAACTAATACTTAAATCCAGAAGCAGCAGTTTATTGCACTTTTATTTTAGCCAATTTCTACATGTATGTGGCTAAGCACACAAGGGCGTGATACAAAAGTGGCAAAACAGATCTGCTGAGCTACCTGCAAATGCCTTTCAGAAATAAAATAAAGCATCCTTTAGTGGTGATGCTTCTTCTCAAGAGCAAATGACTCCACTCAAAGTAAATCACTGCAAAATTTAAAAAGAAGAAGAACAACAACAACGACAACAATTCAGCTAGAGAGAAAAAGCTTGCATTCCTGATTCAAATGTTCAAATTATGGCATGGGTGTAACCTGAGAATGTTCCATCTATGGACTCATGATTACAGATCCAAGTCTCCTCCTATTCAAATAGAAAGTCTTCACAATAATTTTGCATTTTCTGGTGGATTTTCATTTCTGCTTATGGCTCTGAGGTTTGGTGCCTTTTTTTCCCCAGAATAAATTATTATAAAATAGTGATATTGAGGATTCATCCACTTATTCATTTATCCTCATTCATTTCATGTCTCTGCATCTATCAACTTTCCTTTTGGAAATATAAAGAAAACCACCCTTTAAACATTTTTTATTTCTTCCATTCTATAAAAAAGTTTATTTTTAATGCCAGACCATGTAAGGGCAGCTATTTTAAAATTGCATTTTGATTAAAATTGCATTTTGAATTCATGCAAGATTACTTTCTGTCAACTGCCTCTTTCCACACATCTATGGATTAAATTAACCAATATTTAATACGACTGACATTACCTTATTTCAAGATATGAAAGTGCTACATGAATCATTAAGGAGAGGTTAAATTCTCTCTCTTCTTTTCAAATTTCAGTAGTTTTTGGGGTACACATAGTTTTTTGTTACATGGATGAATTATATAGCGGTGAATTCTGAGATTTTAGTACACCTGTCACCTGAGTAGAGTACATTGTACCTAATAGGTAGTTTTGTATTCCTAGCCCTGCGGCCTTCTGAGTCTCTAAAATCCATCATATCACTCTGTATTCCTTTTTGTACTCATACCCTAGCTCCCACTTATAAATGAGAGCACTTGGTTTTTTGGAAAACCACCCATTTTAGAAGCTAAAAAAGGAGAAGAAATTCTGTAAATGGAAATTACATTTTTTCCTTGGTTGAGTTCAATGTTTGATTTTTTTTTTTTTTTTTGCTACCTGGTTAAAAGCGATAATTCTAGGCAGGCTCTTACCATGTCAAACTTCTGCATAGATTACAACTAGGTGACGCATTAGGGGCCAAAGAGTTTCTTAATCATGTAGTGCAACGCATTTTTATGGTAAAGGAATTAAACAGCAGAAAGTATACACGGTAAAACACTGAAATTCCTCCTTCTCTCTTTCCCCTCCACATCTGTGTTGCTTTATATTGTTTCTACATCTCTCTCCTTCTCTACACTGTGAGCTTCTAAAGTAACAAGCACTGTCTGGTTACCTTACTTCCTCAGCCCCTGAGAAGTACCTAGCAGAGACGAGGTACTCACGTATTTGTTTAAACAAATGACACTTGAATGAAAGAATCAATACATGAATGAATAAATTGACGGAGGGAGGAAGGAGGTAAGGAAGTGCTGTGGCCCGAATGTTTGAATATTTCTGTCTCCCCATTCATCTGTTGAAATGCCAACCCCCAAGGTGGTGACGATATTACAAGGTGCGGGCTTTGAGGAGGTGATTAAGTCGTGGAGCTGAAGTCCTTGTGATGGGATTGCTGCCCTTATAAAAGAGGCCTGAAGGAGCTCGTTTGTACCTTTCACCACATAACATCACAGAGAAGGGAACGAGCTCTCTCCAGACACCTATGCCGGTGTCTTGATCTTGGACTTCCAACCTCGAGAACTGTGAGAAGTAAACTTCTGCTCTTTATAAGCCACCCTGTTTATATTACTTTTTAATAGCATCCCAAATGGACTAAGGCAGGAAGGAAGGAAGAAAAGAAGGAAGGAAGGCAGGGAGGAAACTCAGGGATGCATACCTTTCGACCTCTCTAACAGTGGTCACCCTACATTAATAATCAGTATGTGTTGAGAAGCCAAAAGGTAGATTGTTGATGAGATGTAGACATCAGAGAAATCAGCCAAGCTCTGATGTAAGCTGTGGTCTTTGCAAAAATAGAGACAATTTTTTTTTGTACCTAAGAATAAAAGAGCTCTAAAGTCAGATAACCCTGGTTTCAAAACTTTTGCTCTGCCATTCATCAACTGAGTGATCTTGTGCAAATAATTCAACCTTTCAAAGCTCCAGTGTCTCCTGTTTATTTGGTGATGGCTATAGTGTCAACCTCCTACTGTTTGTCTCAGGAAAAAAAAAAAAATCTTAGGAAGAGTCAATTGCTACCCAATACCTATCCACGCAGAGTTGTGTTTTAACTAGGATCACCACAAGAGTTTCAACCCCATCAAAAAGTGGGCAAAGGATGTGAACAGACATTTCTCAAAAAAAGACATTTATGCAGCCAACAAACATGAAAAAAAGCTCATCATCATTGGTCATTAGAGAAATGCAAATGAACCTAACCTGTAAGAGGAACTTTTAAGTCAACTTCTGGATACCTGAAATCACACAAGATACTACTTTCCTCCATAAGGCCTGGAATGTCTCAAAAAAATCCCTAAAATTTAAAACTTAATAAGGACAACTTTGCCTTTTAGGGCCCATGGAATTAGAGGCTGGTAGGGAAACTTTGGCCATTTTGGGTGTGGGAGAAAGATGGTCGTAGATAAGGCCTAAAATTGTAGGAACACACTGAATTTCACTTATTAAATGTTAGCATAACTTAAGTTTACATAATTTAATAAAATAATATAGAAACTCCTCTGTCACTCCAGTAAGAATGAACATTCTTGAACACCTATCACGTACCACGAGTCTTGAAAGTGGTATCTTAGTTGACATAACTTTTATATGAGATAGATATTTTCTCTGAGCAAGTCAATGCAGGTTATACAACTAGTGATTGAGCTGGGATTTGAACTATCCACAATCAAAACTTTTGCTTATTTTACAGTCTTTCTTGCTAAAAAAGAAAGATAATATTTTTTGAATAAAGGAACACATCTCTAGTGAGATAAACTAGTTCTGTGTGTTTGACAGCAATAGAGCTTGAGGTTTAGAGAATGAACAGGGTCGTGCATAAAAGGTTGTCTGAATTGCACTTCCCTAACAAAGGGGGAAAGTCTGCATCAGGTGGGTCATGGTGGGCCAAGTGGGTAAAGGTCAGTGTTCCTTAATCACTTCCCAAATGTTCCGCTTCTTAACACTATTGCATTGGGGATTAGATTTCAGCATGAATTTTGGGGGAGAGACACAAACACTCATACCACAGCAAATAATGATGGTGATAATACTACTGATAATAATAATAATAATAATACCACTAGAAAGTAAAGTGGAGGCTGAAATCTGTTGTCTACATTCCTGTCTCCTACACTTACACCCTGAAAGCAAGCCTCTTTATTGCCTCCCACCCCTTCTTTAGCCCCAGTTGGCCCTACTGGAAACCCACCTTGCAGTTGGTTCCTCCACCCTCCACAGGCTGTGTGCTGTATGTCCCTTGGGACAAGGACACCTGAAAGCAGCTCCAGTGACCACATAATTAGGGGTCATATCAATGGGCAGAGGCAGAGCTTAGTGAGGTCATGCAGAAGGCATTGTGACCCTATTGACAGAAGTCAGGTTTGAGTGGCAGTGAGGGAAAGAAGGGTGGTAGGATGTGGGGACTGTGTAGCACCCCTTTCATAGGGTTTCCCTGAAAAGCTGGGCAAATGCAAAAGACGAGAGCTCTTGTGTGTCCAATAAGTGTTTTTCTTTTAGTTGGTATAGATGCAGTAGAGGGGAATAAGAGATAGATTAGGTGAGAGAAAGAATTGCTGGAGTCCTGATGCGATTTGGCTCTGTGTCTCCACCCAAATCTCATCTCTAATTGTAATCCCCACATGTCAAGGGAGGGATCTGGTGGGAGGTGATTAGATCGAGGAGGCAGTTTCTCCCATGCTGTTCTTGTAATAGTGAGTGAGTTCTCATGAAATCTGATGGTTTAAAAATGGTGCTTCCCTCTTCTCTCTCTCTCCTGCTGCCATGTAAGATGTGCCTACTTCCTCTTTGCCTTCTGCCATGATTGTAAGTTTCCTCAGGCCTCCCCAACCCTGCGGAACTGTGAGTCAATTAAACCTATCTTTTTTTTTTTTTTAATAAATTACTCAGTTCTTTATAGCGGTGTGAAATGGGCTAATACGAGTCCTGTCTATGAGTAAGCAAGGAAATGCGATCTACGACCCTTTCTCTCTTCTTCCCTCTTTACCCTTCCCACCTTTGTTCCCTCCTTTCCTCTCTCCTTCCTTCCCTCCCTTTTCTTTATTCCTCCCTCCCTGCTTTCCTCCCTCTCCTTTCCCCCTCCCTTTCCTTCTTCCTTTTTCCATCCCTTCTGTCTTTTCTTACCATTCTTTCTCTCTCTCTCTCTTTCAGTGCCCTGTCTTTTTTTTTTTTTAACTTCTCTTTCAATACATGCCGGGACAAAATAAAGGAATAGCGAAGCTAAAGTCATCTGAAAGCCAAAGTTGTGATGGAGAACAGTGAAGAGACCACATGGGGCACTTATGGCAAGGGTTCACTGTATAAAGTGCCCCAGGCATATATTATGAGCTTCTCTAGGTGCCCCAAAACTCTTCCATTTAATTATAAAAGGATATACTCGTAAAGAGATAGCCAGAATTTCTATCCTTGAAATAAAATTAATCATTTTACTTCCATTTAAAATGGCACTTATCCCTTAAATATAGGCACCCCAGTCTTGCCAAGAAAAAGCGATGGGATCATCACAGGTAATTTCAGTCTGTTAGGTTGGGCCATGAAAACGTAAAACTCTGAAACCTCCTCTAAAGCTATATGTACCTTCAATGTTAAAGGGAAGGTGCTTAGTTTTCACAAACTGTTCAAATAGTCTATCTGGTCTAGAGAAAGAATTAGTAATAAACTACAATCTAACCTCAATTTATGTCAACCCTCTTGTTTCTCAGCTCCCTCTTATCTGGAGCAGGCAACAAGGACAAAAATGGCAAAGTGAAGAGCAGGTAACTGACATTCATAGCTGGTGGCTGACCAGCCAAGTGACAAGCCAAGATTGCTACCTTCTTAAGAGTCTGACACTTTCTACACAAATGCAGATTCTAAGAACGTACATTTTTGACCTCAGGTTTTTATGGATTATGATCTTTCACTTCTGGAACTCAGATGAGGATTGAAGGCATTAAAGGCAGCCTGATGTTTTGCAAGGCAGCAATTTGCTGTTTTTTGGGTTTTTTTGTTTGTTTGTTTGTTTGTTTTTTAAGAATAGCACTTTGGAGGTGTGTGATTGATTAATAAAGAATTAGATCTTGAACCATAAGAATAAATCTCTGACAGTACATATTTACTCTTTGCAAATTCTATGGAGGAAGTGCTTTTGGTGTAGGAATATCCTGGAGATATGAAATCAGGGAATGGAGACATATGTCTTCCACCCTCACCTAAGACTGAATCTGTTCACAATAAATTCCAAGCTACAGATCTGAAATAAATGGGCTATTCATGTAATACTGAGCTCAGAGTGCCTTCTGAGGGAGGAAGAGTTATCATGTGAGCCTTGCTCATTTCTAGGAAAAAAACATAGAAAGTTCAGTAACTTGTTGTGAGTTTTTCATCATTTTTTCTCCATTAAACAAATGTAGGCTTAGGTCTTTTGTGTTACTAATTTTATGCTCAATTCATGATTTGAAACTAGGATATAGTCGACCCTCTGTGTTGATCTGAAAATACTCAGGAAAAAAAAAATGTGTCTGGTCTGAACATATACAGGCTTTTTTTGGTCATTATTCCCTAAACAATATAAGTTAACACCCATTTACTTAGCATTTACATCGATTTAGGATTTACAGGTAATCTAGAGATGATGTAAAGTACATAGGAGGAAATGCAAAGGTTATATGACAATACCCATGCCATTTTACATCAAGGACTTCAGCATCTGAGGAATTTTATATCCACAGAGGACCTGAAACCAATCCCCCCCGGATACCAAGGAGCAACTATATTTGTTAATTACTGCTGAAGTAGTAAATTGTCATTAACCTTAGTGACTTTAAACAATGCTAATTAATTATCTTACAGTTCGGGGGAATAAAATATCCAAAATCAAGGTGTCAGCAAGACTGTGTTCCTTCCTAGAGTCTCTAAGTGAGAATCTTTGTTTGCTTTTTTGTTTTGTTTTGCATTTTCAAGCTTTAGAAGCTGCCCAACTTCCTTGGCCTGTAGCTTCTTCATCTCAAAGCCAGCAATGCCTGTCAAGTCATTCTAACATCACATCACGAAGACACTGACTGTTCTGTCTCTTTCCAAATTTAATGATCCTTTTGATTACATTGGTCTCGTTCACCTAATCTAAGATAACCTCCCTATTTGAAAGTCAGCTGATTAGCAACTTTAATTCTGTCTGCTGACATTAATTCTTATCTGCTATGTAAAGAAGCATAATCATAGGTTCTAGGAATTGGGACATGGACATCTTTGGGAGGCCATTATTATGCCTACTACACCTAGTAAAATAAAACTCAGTGTAGCAAATAAATACTTTGGCCACAAAAATTGTCTTTAAGGAGAAAAATGTCTGTGAATAACTTTTTAGTATATGGACATTGCAAATATCATGGGATATATAATGTAAACTCTACCTAAACTTCCAGGCACCAGGAGAGCAACAAATTCATTCAAACTAATAATGTCACATATTATAAAAATTAAATGGTTAAATAAATAAGACTATCGGACAGGCCTGGGACCAAGGTGAGGTGGGTAAGTTTGAGTTGCACAATAGCAGGATTAGATTCTGTCCTTATTTAAAACTTGAATATTTTGTAGATCATGTGTTACTTTTGAATCAATTTTTTTTTTTTTACAAAAAAAAAAAAACACATACATTATAAGATCACTTATCTTGAGTGCAGAATTTTTTGATCCCCAAATTCTGCACCTGCATCCAGTGCCTCCCTCACCTCTTGGCCTGGTTAAAGGATCTACAAAAAATCTCTAGGTCTGATTTTTTTTTTTCCAATCTTGATACTCTAGGAAATCCAATGGATTATTTTAGACAAAAATGCCTTTAGCTAGAGGTTGATGGTATGCACATTAAGAGAAAAGTTAATATCAAGAAGCAGAGAGCTTCATAGACATGTAGGGTATACCTGCAGAGTTCACGATTTAACTATCAAACGAGTTAAACTGCCCAATGAGAGAGGGCAGGGCTAGGCAGGCATCTTGATGCTTCCCCTCAGAGTCTATACTGTCTTTCTTCTTGAGGTTTGCTCTCCTCTCATTGTGTTCTGTGCTATATTGCCCTCATTTAACTGTACCTTCAAAAAGGACCTGTTTTTAAGAGCTTTTACATGAATCAAAATTATGTCTAGATGTGAGGAAATGCTTTGTGCAACTCAACTTTGCCATTAAATGTATAATAATTTATGAAGTAACACCTCTTCCTCAATGACCACTACATACATGAATAAGAGAAAGTCCATACCTGTAGAGAGCTCATAGACTATTGGAGAAGTAAAAAATTATCCACATGAGCAGGAAGCACAATTGCATAAGCAGGCCAAACCAGAAGGAGGGAGTGCTTGTGAAGAACAAGAGGATAGGACGTTCCCTCCTTAGTGGATCACCCTGATTCCAGGAGGAAAGAGGCCTTTGAGTTGGGACATTAATGAGGCACAGTCTTCCAGGAAGATGTGGGGTAGGTGAGGGCACGCAAAGAGAGGAAGTAGGAGGAGCAAAGCACAGTTATAGGAAAACAATGGGAATAATTGGGGAAGGTCAAGGGACCTAAAGGGAACAGATGTCACTAAGCCTCCCCCAAATCACAGCAGTGCCAGTCTCCTTGTCAGAAACTTATGACTCATAATTATTCACTCACATCTCATGATGATGGAAAAGCTCAGGTTTGGAAAAGAAACTCACCGTGGATTTATTCAAGATGATACTGACACAGACTTTGTGTCTTTCTGACATGGGGTTTTGAATTCTAATATCCCGTTGCTCCTGTTGGTTTTGGGTTACTGGAGGAGCAACCCAAAAAACTCCTCCTGTGCCATCCCTGACCCCTGGTCTGGAGAGCTGGGAAGGACATTCCAAAGATGTCAGAGATTCGCTAGTCCGAAACCAACGTTACACAATCACAATTACAATTACTAGGATAAAGATTCCATGTCTTCGAACACCGTAGCTTAATTTGGTTTAAATGTGGCACGTCTCTGCTGAGTGAGCCCTTTCTGAATCCACATTAGTCACAGAAACTTCTTGGACTCCTCGTTACTTTTTGCAGCATTTTATTCTGTCATGGCCATAGGTGCCAATCTGTTTCAAGCTTGTAGAGCAAACATTCAGAACACACACACACCTTTATTCCTGTGTCAGCTAGCAGGATTTCTTATATCTTTAGAAAAACCTAAAGAAAGGAAAAGAAAAAAAAGAAAAAAAACCCAGAAGCAATAAACAATAAGCAAATCAAAGGACAATAGGAGTGATAGGGTGTTAGAATTCAAAACCCCATGTCAGAAAAGCACAAAGCCTGTGTCGGTGTTGACTTGAATAAATCTCTGGTGAGTTTCTTTTCCAAGCCTGGGATTTTGATCATGATCATGAGACATGAGTGAATGATGACGTGAACCTAAGTTTCTTAAAAGGAGGCTGGCCCTGACGTGGTTTGGGAATGTTTAGTTCCTGGAACCAGAATGTGAAAGACCGATCTCTGCTAAGTGACTGGGGCCTCCAGATGGGCTCAGGTAGCAGCTCAACTAGGATTTCTTGAGAATTCAGCTCCACCACACAAAAATAACCTCAAAGCTACCCTACCTCCATTTACACACACAGGCCAGTAACCTCTGCTTTCCAAATCATGAAGTCCGTTAAGTTTTTAAAATGAGATGCAAGAAAAAGATGTGGCTCAAATGGCAGAAATTGTTTAATGTGAATTTAATATGAAAGTAACTTAGGGCCGGGCCCAGTGGCTCACGCCTCTAATCCCAGTACTTTGGGAGGCCTAGGTGGGTGGATCACCTGAGGTCAGCAGTTTGAGACCAGCCTGGCCAACCTGGTGAAACCCTGTCTCTACTAAAAATACAAAAATTAACTGGGCATGGTGGTGGGTACCTGTAATCCCAGCTACTCAGGAGGCTGAGGCAGGAGAATCACTTGAACCCGGGAGGCGGAGGTTGCAGTGAGCCGAGATCATGCCATTGCACTCCAGCCTGGGTGACAGAGCAAGCCTCTGTCTCAGAAAAAAAAAGAAAAAAAAAAAAAAAGAAGGAGGGGCAAGGAGGGGCAGGGGGAGGGGAGCTGGGAATGAAAAAAGACAAATAAAAGAAAGTAGATTACAATTAAAAACAATAATTAACAGTAGAAGTAAACCTTTGTAATGAATTGTTTCTAATCTCTAAATTCTGTTCTCAATCTCACTCTTCCATTTGTCCTCCCTCCTTCCTTTCCTCCTTTCCTCCCTTTTGTCTCTTCCTTCATACTCTCCTAAGTGGTGGAATATCGCCCAGTGTCTGTGCCTCCAGGAGCCCTGCTGCTCCTCTGTAACCCAAAACCCATAAACAATATGGATAAAATGAGGCTTTTTCTATGTAATTTCTATCAGATTAGATATCTCAGGTCTTAGTCTCAAATTATCTTTCTCTCTCCCTTCCTCCCTTCCACTCTCCTTTTCTTCCTTCACCCTTTTATTTTATTCTTATAATATCAAGGAGAAAATAAAATTAGGCATTCCATTTTAAAAGTGGCTTTCAATAAGCATTTTTGTCCTGTGAACCTAGAGCAGCCACAGAGGGCAAGTGTTCTCCAGGGCCTTCCATCTGAAAAGACGAAGGGCCAGTGTCCCAAACACAACTTCCCAAAGTACAGGCTGCGCCTTATCACTACCTGAAATTCTCTAGGTCACTCAAATCTACACTTTAAATATAAAAATTTAGAAAATGACATTCTGTACTTACTTCTTTGGATAAAATCAAAATTTCTCACTTTTATTGAAAAATAAAAGTCGCCTGACAGTTTTCAACCATAGTCTTAGCAGTCATAGAGTGAAGATCAGGGAGGAGATGAGATTTACAGGCTACTGGGCCCCTCTGGCTTAGAAGAGGGAGTGAGGCAGCCATGAAGCTCTTAAACTCCTTTCATATTGAAGGAAATGGAGTTTGGTTCAACAAAGTAAGGCATGCAATCTACTCAGTCTAGAAGTGATAGTAGAAGAAAGAGAGAAAGGGACAAAAGGAGTCAAGCTGTAGGGGAGACAGGGAGAGAGGGAGTGTCCTGACACTGAGAGAAATACAAGAGGCAGAGAAAGGAGACAAAGGAGAGATATAGACATGAGAGACAGAGAAAAAGAGAGAGAGTGTCTACGGCCATAGCACCTTGAACATGTTTGATCTCCTCTGATCTTGTAAGCTAAGCAGGAGTGGGCCTAACTAGTACTTGGATGAGAGAGAAAGAGGTGAGAGAGAGGCAAGAGAGAGCCTCTACCCCATTTTTCCACTTTTCCAAGCCTCTTATTTCCCTGACTCATCTCATGTGGAAGAGGCATCAGGAATATGAAGCGGAATGAGAAGAGAAGATAAGGACCCTTATGGGTGATGGCTGGGAGCTTCACCATGAGCTGAGGCTGGGGAGGACACCGAGCCTTCCATCTAAACAGGTCTTGGCCCCTGGTCACTGGGCAGAATTTGGAACAGGTATTGCCTACCACATCAGTAATTACAGTGATTGAAACTGACCACCTTACTGGGGGCATCAGACAAATGGCCCTCTGAGAGAAAAGTATACCCAGGAGCTCTTATGCAAATTTGGACACAAGAAACCCCAGAACATCCCCTCGTTCTGCTCATATGACCAGGGCTTCTTTCTGTCTTGTACCATTTGGGACCTGGGATGTGAATGGAGTGAGGGGCAAGGTCTTTCTTACAGGGGAACAGACTCAGGGTCTGTGAACTGGAGATCACCTGCCCGCTCTGTGGGATGTCCTGTTTTTCCTGAATGTCTAGGGACAGTCTCAGGCCAAACTGGGAGCCGGTTCCATCTAGTTCTATCCATTGCTGGGACATTCAGCTCCTGGGGATGATACAGGGCTGGCTCAAACCCAGGGACCTGGGAGGGGCTCACGGCTTCTGGCAGCTCCAGGAGCATGGTGGGCCCCGTCCTCACAGATCTGAGCTGGTGAAATTCATGTGAAAGGTGCCCTGAAATTCTCCGTCATCACCATGGGACAGAGATGAGGCAGATGGGTGCCCACTTCCTTCCTCTGAGAAGGAGAATGGGAGGGTGGGATTGTGACTACATGTGTCCCCTCAGAGTCCACCCAGGCCCAGGCCAGGAGGTGGCCTACCACTAACACTTGAGTTCCCTCCGTTCACACCGTCACTCAGGGAATGTCAGCTCCACAGGACTTCAGGGCTTTGGGAGCCAGGGCTTTCCCTGCTTTCCACAGACGTCAGTGCTAAGTGAGCTCAATACCGTTGGGATTTGGTAGAGAAGCACGGAGTGGGGGTGCAAGGCCTCCACGTGGTGTCTTTCACGTGCATCCGTGTGAAGAGACCACCAAACAGGCTTTATGTGAGCAATAAAGCTTTTTAATCACCTGGGTGCAGGTGGGCTGAGTCAGCGTAGGGAGATAGGGGTGGGGCCGTTTTACAGGATTTGAGTAGGTAATGGAAAATTACAGTCAAAGGGGGTTGTTCTCTGGCTGGCAGGGGTGGAGGTCACAAGTTGCTCAGTGAGGGAGCTTTTGAGCCAGGATGAGCCAGGCCAAGGAATTTCACAAGGTAATGTCATCAGTTAAGGCATGAACAGTCCATTTTCACTTCTTTTGTGATTCTTCAGTTACTTCAGGCCATCTGGATGTATACGTGCAGGTCACAGGGGATATGATGGCTTAGCTTGGGCTCAGAGGTCTGACAGTCTCCCTATTGGTGATGGGACCCACTTCTGCAGAAGCCCTGTGTTTTCAGAGCTGTGCAAGGTCTCTGGGGACTCTCAGGACCCTGTCCTTCCTCCATAACCCAGAGTAGCAATCGGTGGCCACAGGCAATGGACAGAGCCCCTGGTGTCAGATGCTCAGGGGTGGGGCTTTTCAAGGGAAAATAAGTGGCATTCATCCTGGTTCCTCCCTCTTTGGATCCAAGGGAAGTTTGAGAGACAAGCAGGCCCCAGTGTCAGGTGTAGCGATGACACCAAGGTGTAGCGGTGACAGCCATGGGGACAATGAGCCTTGAGCCATGGTCTACATCTTAAATGTCACACTTTAAGAATTCACAGTTTGAGGCAGGCCAGGGGTGTTTTTAAAGAAAGCTGCAATGGATTCTATGAACAAGATCTTTAATGTCTTTCTTATCATGAAAGGAAGTTTCCGATGGGGTAGGCAAAGAGAGGGCTGGGTTGGGTGCCCTCAGAACTGCTAAAGGAATCTGAATCCAGGGCTGCAGCTGACTCAGCAGGGAGTCACTCCCTTTGTCAGAACTTTGTTTTCCTCTGTGCTGAGCAGGCTGGAATTGAGGGGCAGACTCATTCATTTCCTGACACTAAAACTATTCCTGGCCAAGGAAGCCAAATAGAAAAACTGAATGAAAAAAAAAAAGCACATATGTGCTCTGTCTAAATTAATAAATAATTTAAAATATATACTTTCTATGTCGCTGTCACCTTTTGAAAGTAGCAGGAAAATGTCATGACACTTCACCCTAATTATCTCAGCATGGATCTCTTATAAATAAGAAAAAAATTCCCGCATCAATCACACTACCATTTATGCACATTAACAAGAAAATTTCCCTGGCCTGAACACTGGGACAGCAGCTGTAGGTGCTCAGGAAGCAAAGTGTCAGTAAATTATTGCAAAACAGAAGTCAGTGCATAGACATTGAAATTGTTCCAAGAATAGCTTTGTGGCTGTTGAGTTTTCTGGGTACATGTTCAATCCAGATTCACACATCGAATTAGGTTGTCACGCCTCTTTCCTTGTTGAGTAAACATTCTTAAGGAAATGCCATGGTATGTGGCAAGGGGCCTTACTGGAGTTATTACATAACTCTTATATGTAAATAAGAGTTTGAGTTAAGAGAGTGGTTCCCATCTTTTTCATGTGTGGCATCACTCCTGATTGATACGTCCTTAATGACTGCTGTACTTAACATGATTATTATAAAAGTAATACACTTGCATTTAAAAACTCACCCATAGGCCGGGCGCGGTGGCTCACGCCTGTAATCCCAGCACTTTGGGAGGCCGAGGCGGGCGGATCACGAGGTCAGGAGATCGAGACCATCCCGGCTAAAACGGTGAAACCCCGTCTCTACTAAAAATACAAAAAAATTAGCCGGGCGTAGTGGCGGGCGCCTGTAGTCCCAGCTACTTGGGAGGCTGAGGCAGGAGAATGGCGTGAACCCGGGAGGCGGAGCTTGCAGTGAGCCGAGATTGCGCCACTGCACTCCAGCCTGGGCGACAGAGCGAGACTCCGTCTCAAAAAAAAAAAAAAAAAAAAAAAACTCACCCATAGAAGAGTGTGAATTTCTCCTATAATCCCGTTGCAATCCCAGGAACCACTGACAGCACTGTGGTTTTACACTTGTTGTCCTCTCTAGCTCTCAGTACATTTGTGAGGCCTTGTTAGAGAAGGAGGTGAAATTGCTCTGAAATAGGAAAGTCACTGTGAAATGCAGCACCTGTGTCCCTGGGGAAGAAGCCACCAAGGCTTAGGGAACATGGGCCTGGTTGCTCAAGGACAGCTGGGCTGACTGTTCCCATGAAGATTCCTATGGTTGCAGCTATTCTTTTTTCCTGGCACAGCCCGATGTGACTCCTTCAGAGCAGTGTTCATCCTGGTGATACAGTGTGTTTGATAAAGATCAAGGGAGGAGCACTTTTGTCTTAAAGGTAGGGTTATTATCTTGCTTCAGCAAGGAAGACTATCCACCAGAACAGATATGGGTTTTTTCCCAAACCACAGGCTGTTTTCTGTGGCAAAGTGGCTCAGTTCCCCAGGCAAGAGTGGGCATTCCTTTAGATAGGCTCCCAGAAAGCAAAGTCTCTCATATCTATAATTTTAGAAAGCAAAGTTTCTCTGCACTGTGTCCTCAATGATAAATAACAGAAGCAGTTTTACTGGCTCTCAATTCTGGAGCCAGGACCAGCTTCATGGGCTTGAGGGCTGGGCAGTGACAAAGGGACCTGCCCTCAGAAGGGCCAGTGCCTGGTAGCAGGCTCTGCCGACACCCTCTTGACCTTAGTTTTTTTTCTTTGAACTTCATTTTGTAAGTGAAGCCCACTGAGACAATGGAGCAGGCACATGAGCAGAGTGGCTATGAGGGGGGACAAGGTGGGCAGGCTCAGGCCCAGGGACATGAAGGCCACATGCTGGAGCTTGCTGCCCTGAGCACGGGTGCCTTGGAGCGGCCCAGGCACATCTCGACTGGGAAGGAAGATGGCAACGGACCAGGATGGGAGGTGGCAGCAGCAGCAGCAGGTGTCCTCAGCCCTGGGGTGAAAGGAGGGTCTCTGTGTGGACGCAGCACTGACACCTCTGTGCCTGTGCATTCTCAGAGTCATCCTTGGAGCTTCTGCACGAATATTTACCCCCTGACCTGAGCGCCGGGACAGGAATCATAGGGCTCAGATAGCAAATTGGGAGGAGAGAAGCACAAAACAAAAGTGTGCCCATGGACACTGTGAAATAGTATGCCAGGGAGTTCTTGGAATTCCTCAGAGAGTTTAGAGTTCTTCAAGGAGTTATCCAAGGCTCAGAAATATAAATTAAATATATAATGATAGTCACAAAACTTCTGATGGGACAGGCATGGTGGGTCACACCTGTTATCCCAGCACATTGTGAAGCTCTGGTTAGAGGACTGTTTGAAGCCAGTTGTTGGAGACCACCATAGGCAGTATAGTGGGCAGTATAGTTAGACCCCAACATTAAAAAAAAAAAAAAAGATTAGCTGAGCACAGTGGCACATGCCCGTAGTCTTAGCTACTTGGGAGGCTGAGGTAGGAGGATCATACGAGTTCAGGAGTCTGAGGCTGCAGTGAGCCATGATCATGTCAACAGATGGAGACCCTACCTCAAAAGAAAAGAAAAGAAAAGAAAAGAACATTTCTGATCAATCAATTATTAACAAGTAGAGCAATTTTAAAAATTCAGTTCTTCTTGTTAAAGATACAACAATAGAATTCAAAAACAGGAGTTTTGAGTAAGTTACAAATCATGACGCCACATTTGGTCTGCTGTGGGCCTCTGCAACTTACAGAACATGTCAGAAGATGCATCAAAATTCCATTGGAGAAATTTACACTTAAAATTAAATTCAAACTTCCATAAAACTGATTTGCTTAAACAGTTAAATCCTTTGAAAAAAATAGCTCCACAAGAACCACCAGCTACAGATATACTAAAATTTGTGTCAAAATAGTTTATCCCAATATTGTCAGAGTTTAGATAATATTCCAGAAACAGTTGCTTCAGCAGATTCTTTTCAGAAGAAAAAATGAAGTTGCTCAAGGTATAAAGTTTGATGACCTAATAAATTAATTGCAGAAAAGTTGGCCAGAAAAATTGTTTCATTCATCTAGATCCAATTAATAAAGTATTATTATTTATTCTATTAAAACTGTGACACTGGTTTCTGGTGGGGATTTATATGATTCTGTTCTTACTCTTCTAGAAGTATTATCCCTATTACACTTTTCAAATGATGAAACATACTGGCTTGAGAAAGCTGAATACCCTCCTGCCTTTCACGACACTTTCTTCTGCTGCTCTTTGAACAAGGCGCCCTGCATTTCCACTTTGCACTGAGCCTTGGGAATTTTGCAGCCGGCCCTGCCGTGGCCATTTTTATACAAGTTATCTCATTTAATCCTCAGAAGCAAACATGCCAGGGGGTTATTACCCAAGTTTACAGAGGCAGGTCCTGGGGCCTAGAAAGGTTAGAGGACATGTTCAAGGTCATCTGACTACTAAGTGGCAGAGATGGAATTTGAAATAAAATCCCTCTCTCTTCAAAGCCCATGTTCCTAACCAGCACCACACAATCACCATGGTGTCCTGATAACCTCCCCTCTTCATCCTCCTACAACCCCAAAGCTACAGTAACGCTCTGCCTAAGGCCAGAGTCCACGCGGCTACTGTCACCCTCTCCCATCTCCTGAGCTGAGCAGTGAGTCCACAGCCTGGCCCGGCCTTGCAGGAGGTGAGGGAATGAGCGCGCAGTTACTGCCACCTCGTGGCGGCTTGACTACATGACCCTGAAACGCAGACCTAATCTGTTTCCTGCCTGCCTGAAGCCTGGGTGTGCACCTGAGACTTCTAGTAATTTCCTTTTTCCCCTTAAGGAACCTATCGAGAGTTCTCACAATTTTATGCATTCTCTCAAGCAAGTAGCTTTCATTTATTTATTTTTAATGTTCTCTTTTGTGTCCACATTCTTTTTTATTCACTCGTTTTCCTATTTACTTTCAGCTTAATTAGTTCTTTTTTCCCCAGGTTTTTTACAATGGAATATTAGATTGTCTATTTCTGAGCTTTCGACTTCCCATTATAATAGCAGTTAATGTTATCAATTTCCCTCCAAGCACTGCTTTAGTTGTATTGCCACAAATTTTGGTATGTTATGCTTCCATTTGCTGTCATGTGAAAATATTTTTAAATTTCTCCTTTGACTCATTAGAAATATGTTGAGTAATGTCCAAATATGTGAGGAATTTTCCAGCTATTTTCCTTTAGTCACAGCTTCATACATTCCACTGTGGATAGACATTATGCTTCACATGATTTTAAATTGTTTTGATTTTTTTGTTTCTTAGTCCAATATGAGCTCTCTTAGATAATATTTTAATGCATTTTACTGTTATTGGGAGGAGTGTCCTGTAAAGCTTATATAGGTCATAATGGATGATACTGTTGTTCAAGTTCTCTCTATCTTTATTTATACTTTGCTGCTAAAAAAAACTATTTCAGAGAAAAAAGTGTTGAAATATTCAATGGTAATTCTTAATTTTTCAATTTCTTCTCTTAGTTCTATCAATTTCTTTTTAAAATTTTTGAGACTCTCTTATTAGGTGCATACTAATTTAATAATAATGATATGTGTTCTTGGTGATTTAACAACTTTATCACCGGAAAACATAGGCTCTTTATCAGTAATAATACACCTTGCTGTAAAATCTACTTTGATTTATAGTCAGTTAGCCGATACAGCTAATTCTGTTTTCATTAGATTAATGTTTCCATACTATAACTCTTTCTGTCCCTTTACTATCAACCTATCTTTGTCCTTATATTTGATAAAGACATTGGGTTTTTATAGACAGCGTGTATTTGGGTCTTGTTTTATACTACAAGTTTGCTAGTGAGGAATTCTCTTAGTTTTTGTTATTGTCATTAGAAAATGCCTTTACGCGGTGGGTCACGCCTGTAATCCCAGCACTTTGGGAGGCCAAGGTGGGCGGATCTCGAGGTCAGGAGATCCAGACCATCCTGGCTAATACGGTGAAATCCTATCTCTACTACAAATACAAAAAAATTAACCGGGCATGGTGGCGGGCGCCTGTAGTCCCAGCTACTGGGGAGGCTGAGGCAGGAGAATGGCGTGAACCCGGGAGGCGGAGCTTGCAGTGAGCCGAGATCGCACCATCGCACTCCAGTCTGCGTGACAGCGAGACTCCGTCTCAAAAAAAAAAAAAAAAAAAGGAAAAGAAAATGCCTTTACTTATTACTGGAATATGTGTTTAGCATTAATCTAGAAATGTATTTTTGCTTGTCAGGGTCCTATGTTGACTTATTTTTCTTCTTTTGGTACTTAAATATGTCACTTTATTTTTTCTACTTCTGTAAGCAGTGTCTTCTCTCAGCATGCTTTTAAGATTTTCTCATTATTTTTGATTCAAAACAATTTGATTATTGATATGGTTTGGCTCTGTGTCCCTACTCAAATCTCATCTGGAATTATAATCCCATAATCCCCAGTGTTGGGGGGCAGGACCTGGTGGGAGGTGATTGGATCATGGGGAGGTGAATTCTGCCTTGCTGTTCTCATGATAGTGAGTGAATTCTCAAGAGATGTGATGGTTTTATAAATGGCAGTTTCCTTCTGTGCTTACTCTTGTGCTCTGTCTCTCTTCCTCTCTCTCTCTCCCTCTCTCTTTCGTCTGACACTGTGGAAGACTTGCTTGCTTCTGCTTCACCTTCCATCACGATTGTGAGATTCCTGAGGCCTCCTAGCCATGCTTTCTGTTAATCCAGCATAACTGGGAGTCAAAGAAACCTCTTTTATTTATAATTATCCAGTCTCAGGTAGTTCTTTATAGCAGTGTGAAAATGAACTTGTATAATTATGATATTCTTGTTCTTTTTTTTTTAAATAATTATTCTTCTTGGATGTCTTTCAATACCAAATTTGTATGTTTCCAGTCTCACCAAATTTATAAAAATAGGCTATTATTTCACTAACTTTATGCTTTCTCCTGGAATTTCTTTCTGCCTTCAAACACACATAGGTGCTAGATTGCTTGATATTTCTGTGAAGTGCACTGTTTATTTTTCATCCAGAGTTTTTTTCTCCCTTTGCTTCATTTTCTCATTTGTTTGTGTTAATGTAGACTCAGGCTTACTGATCCTTTCTTCTATACTGTCATGTGTCATTAATCCAATTCAGAAATTTTTTTGTTCTCATCATTTTGTTTTACTGCTGGAAGGCCCATTTGGTTCTTTTTATGTGTTCCTCCTCATCAAAAAGGTTTTCTCTTCAGCCTTTGACATATTTATAACTTTTATAATAGCTCCTTTACATTCCCTTTTCTGATCCTAGTACCTTTGTCATTATTGGGTCTGTTTTTACTGAATGACTTTTCTCCTAGTTATGGGCTATATTTTCCTACTTCTTTTCATGCTTGGAAATTTTTTATTGGATTCAGTATATTATAAAGCCTTTTTTTTTTTAATTTGGAAACAGGGTCTTGCTCTGTTGCCCAGGCTGGAATGCAGTGGTGCAATCTCAGATCACTGCAACCTCTGCCTCCCTGGTTTAAGCAATTCTCTTGCCTCAGCCTCCTGAGTACCTGGGACTACAGGCCTGTGCCACCACGCCCAGATAATTTTTCTATTTTTAGTAGGCATAGGTTGGCCTGGCTGGTCTCGAGCTCATGCCCTCAAGTGATTCACCTGTCTTGGCTTCCGAAAGTGCTGAGATTACAGTCATGAACCGCCAGGCCTGGACAGCTTGAATTGTTGAGTAACAGTTTTGGTTGTTTTCCCCAAAGAATGCTAGACATCATCTGGTTCATTTTGGGGGTTCTATACATTCATTTGGTTTTTTCAAGAATGGCTTGAAAATTTCTTGAAGCAGTTGCAGAGCAGTTTAATCTAGAGCTAACTAGCACCACTACTTGCTGATGGCTTTCTGAGGTTCTGAGTTCTCTCCACTTTGCTGTGGGGATACAAAGTTTTCAAGACTTGTCTGTCCTCCTGAAAATGCCGTTCACTCCCTTATGGAGTTTTTACTTTTTTCTGGCCTGGGGAAGTCTTAGCCCAAGTGTGCACACATCATAACATAGCCTAAGAGTGAAGGCATTCTTCTCTTCTCCAACACTCAAGATCAATGCTTCCTTTCAGTAGCCCACTCTCTGATATGTGCACTGGAAATTGGGGTCTGATACAGGTTGGATGTTTGTACTCTCCAAATACTATGTTGAAATGTAATTCCCAGTCTTGGAGGTGGGACCTGGCAGGAGGTGTTGGGGTCATTGGGGTGGATCCCTCATGAATGGCTTGGTGCTGTCCTGGAGATAATCTGTGAGCTCCTTCTTTGAGTCATGGGAGATCTGGTTGTTTCACACAGTGTGGCACCTCCCCAACTCTGGCTCCTTCTCCTGGCTTGTGATACTCCTGCTCCCCCTTCCCCTTCCTACACAAAAGGAAGTCTTCTGAGGCCTCAAAAGGAGCAGATGATGTCACCATGCTACTCATACAGCCTACAGAATAGGGAGCCAAAATAAACTTCTTTTCCTTATGAATTACCCAGCATTAGGTATTCCTTTATAGGAGTAAAAACAAACTGACACAGAAAATTGATACTGTGCAGGGGGCATTGCTGTAAAGACAGCTGAAAATATGGAAGTGGCTTTGTCACTGGGTACTGGCAGAGGTTGAAAGAGTTTGTAGGGCCCAGCAAAAGATAGGAAGATGAGGGAAAGTTTGGAACTCTTTAGAAACTTGTTAAATGTACGTGACCAAAATGCTCACAGAGATATGGACAGTGGAGTCCACACTATCAAGTTGTTAGATGGAAAAGTGGAAGTTACTGGGAATTAGAGCAAGGGTCCCCATTGTTACACCCCAGTCAAGAGCTTGGCTGCATTGTGTTCACGTCCTAGGGATTTGTGGAAAGTTGAACTTTAGAGTGATTAGCTAGAGCATCTGGTCTAAGTAATTTCCAAGGAGCAAAGTATTCAAGATATGTAGCTGCTTCTACAAGCTTGCAATCAGATACAGGAGCAAAGAAATGCTTTCAATTTGGAACTTAAAGGAGAAGCTGTCAGGCGTCTCAGCCCAAGCCAAGCCATCGCATCCCCTGTGACTTGCATGTATACGCCCAGATGGCCTGAAGTAACTGAAGAATCACAAAAGAAGTGAATATGCCCTGCCCCACCTTAACAGATGACATTCCACCACAAAAGAAGTGTAAATGGCCGGTCCTTGCCTTAAGTGACGACATTACCTTGTGAAAGTCCTTTTCCTGGCTCATCCTGTCTCAAAAAACACCCCCACTGAGCACCTTGCAACCCCTACTCCTGCCCGCCAGAGAACAAACCCCTTTTGACTGTATTTTTCCTTTACCTACCCAAATCCTATAAAACAGCCCCACACTTTTCTCCCTTCACTGACTCCCTTTTTGGATTCAGCCCACCTGCACTCAGGTGAAATAAACAGCCATGTTGCTCACACAAAGCCTGTTTGGTGGTCTCTTCACACGGACGCACATGAAATTTGGTGCCGTGACTTGGATCGGGGGACCTCCCTTGGGAGATCAATCCCCTGTACTCCTGTTTTTTGCTCCGTGAGAAGATCCACCTATGACCTCAGGTCATCAGACCGACCAGCCCAAGGAACATCTCACCAATTTTAAATCAGGTAAGCGGCCTCTTCTTACTCTCTTCTGCAACCTCTCTCACTGTCCCTCAACCACTTTCTCCTTTCCACTCTTCAATCTCTCCCTTCTCTTAATTTCAATTCCTTTCATTTTCTGGAAGAGACAAAGGAGACACGTTTTTTCCATGGACCCAAAACTCCGGCACTGGTCACGGACTGGGAAGGCAGCCTTCCCTTGGTGTTTAATCATTGCAGGGATGCCTCTCTGATTATACACCCACGTTTCAAGGGTGTCTGACCATGCAGGAACACCTGCCTTGGTCATTCACCCTTAGCGGCAATTCCCGCTTTTCTGGGGAAGGGGCAAGTACCTCAACTCCTTCTCGCCTTGTCTCTACCCCTTCTCTGCTTTTCTGGGAGAGGGGCAAGTACCCTTCAACCCCTTCTCCTTCACCCTTAGCGGCAAGTCCCGCTTTTCTATGGGGCAAGAACACCCAATCCCTTATTTCCACGCCCCAGCCTCTTATCTCTGCACCCCAATCCCTTATTTCCATGCCCCAACCTCTTATCTCTACACCCCAATCCCTTATTTCCATGCCCCAACCTCTTATCTCTACACCCCAATCCCTTATTTCTGCACTCCAACCTCTTATCTCTGTGCCCCAATCCCTTATTTCAGTGCCTCAACCTCATATCTCTGCACCCCAATCCCTTATTTCCATGCCCTGACCTCTTATCTCTGTGCCCCAACCCCTTTTCCCACTTTTCTGGAAGGTAAGAACCCCCAAACCCCTTCCTTCCATTTCTCTACTCTCTCTTTTCTCTAGGCTTGCTTCCTTCACTATGGGCAACCTTCCATGCTCCATTCTTCCTTCTACTCCCTTGGCCTGTGTTCTCAAAAACTTAAAACCTCTTCAAGTCACACCTGACATAAAACCTAAATGCCTTATGTTCTTCTGCAATGCCACTTGACCCCAATACAAACTCGACAGTAGTTCCAAATAGCCAGAAAATGGCACTTTGAATTTTTCCATCCTACAAGATCTAAATAATTCTTGTTGTAAAACAGGCAAATGGTCTCAGGTGCCTGACGTCCAGGCATTCTTTTACACATCAGTCCCTTCCTAGTCTCTGTGCCCAGTGCAACTCATCCCAAATCTTCCTTCTTTCCCTCCCGCCTGTCCCCTCAGTACCAACCCCAAGTGTCGCTGAGTCTTTCTAATCTTCCTTTTCTACAGACCAATCTGACATCTCCCTTCCTCCCCAGGCTGCTCCTCACCAGGCCAAGCTACGTCCCAATTCTTCCTCAGCCTCTGCTCCTCTACCCTATAATCTTTTTATCACCTCCCCTCCTCACACCTGGTCCGGCTTACAGTTTCCTTCCGTGACTAGCCCTCCTCCACCTGCCCAGCAATTTACTCTTAAAAAGGTGGCTGGAGCCAAAGATATAGTCAAGGTTAATGCTCCTTTTTCTTTATCCCAAATCAGAAGTGTTTAGGCTCTTTTTCATCAAATATAAAAACCCAGCCCAGTTCATGGCTCATTTGGCAGCAACCCTGAGACACTTTACAGCCCTAGACCCTAAAAGGTCAAAAGGCCGTCTTATTCTCAATATACATTTTATTACCCAATCTGCTCCCAACATTAAATAAAACTCCAAAAATTGGAATCTGGCCCTCAAACCCCACAACAGGACTTAATTAACCTCACCTTCAAGGCGTACAATAACAGAAAAAAGTTGCAATTCTTTGCCTCCACTGTGAGACAAACCCCAGCCACATCTCCAGCACACAAGAACTTCCAAATGCCTGAACCACAGCAGCCAGGCAGTCCTCCAGAACCTCCTCCCCCAGGAGCTAGCTACATATGCAAAATCTGGCCACTGGGCCAAGGAATGCCCACAGCCTGGGATTCCTCCTAAGCCGCGTCTCATCTGTGTGGGACCCCACTGAAAACCGGACTGTTCAACTCACCTGGCAGCCATTCCCACAGCCCCTGGAACTCTGGCCCAAGGCTCTCTGACTGACTCCTTCAGAGATCTTCTCCGCTTAGTGGCTGAAGACTGACACTGCCCGATCGCCTCAGAAGCCCCCTAGACCATCACGGACGCTGAACTTCGAGTAACTCTCACAGTGGCGGGTAATTCCGTCCCCTTCTTAATCATTACGGTGGCTACCCACTCCACATTACCTTCTTTTCAAGGGCCTGTTTCCCTTGATTCCATAACTGTTGTGGGTATTGATGGCCAGGCTTCTAAACCTCTTAAAACTCCCCAACCCTGCTGCCAATTTAGACAATACTCTTTTAAGCACTCCTTTTTAGTTATCCCCACCTGCCCAGTTCCCTTATTAGGCCGAGACAATTTAACTAAATTATCTGCTTCCCTGACTATTCCTGGACTACAGCTATATCTCATTGCCACCCTTCTTCCCAATCCAAAGTCTCCTTTGCGTCCTCTTGTATCCCCCGACCTTAACCCATAAGTATAAGATACCTCTACTCCCTCCTTGGTGACCGATCATGCACCCCTTACCATCTCATTAAAACCTAATCACCCTTACCCCACTCAACACCAATATCCCATCCCACAGCATGCTTTAAAAAGATTAAAGCCTGTTATCACTCGTCTGCTACAGCATGGCCTTTTAAATCCTATAAACTCTCCTTACAATTCCCCCATTTTACCTGTCCTAAAACCAGACAAGCCTTACAAGTTAGTTCATGATCTGCACCTTATCAACCAAATTGTTTTGCCTATCCCCCCTGTGGTGTCCAACCCGTACACTCTTTTGTCCTCAATACCTTCCTCCACAACTCACTATTCTGTGCTTGATCTTAAAGATGCTTTTTCACTATTCCCCTGCACCCCTTGTCCCAGCCTCTCTTTGCTTCCACTTAGACTGACCCTGACACCCATCAGGCTCAGCAAATTACCTAGGCTGTACTGCCGCAAGGCTTCATAGACAGCCCCTATTACTTCAGTCAAGCCCAAATGTCATCCTCATCTGTTACCTATCTCAGCATAGTTCTCATGAAAACATATGTGCTTTCCCTTGCTGATCATGTCCGATTAATCTCCCAAACCACAATCCCTTACAAAACAACTCCTTTCCTTCCTAGGCATAGTTAGTGCAGTCAGAATTCTTACACAAGAGCCAGGACAGCACCCTGTAGCCTTTCTGTGCAAACAACTTGACCTTACTGTTTTAGCCTAGCCCTCATGTCTGCGTGCAGTGGCTGCCGCTGCTTTAATACTTTTAGAGGCCCTCAAAATCACAAACTATGCTCAACTCCCTCTCTACAGTTCTCATAACTTCCAAAATCTATTTTCTTCCTCATACTTGACTTATATACTTTCTGCTCCCCGGCTCCTTCAGCTGTACTCACTCTTTAAGTCCCACAATTACCATTGTTCCTGGCCCGGACTTCAATCTGGCCTCCCACATTATTCCTGATACCACACCTGACCCCCATGACTGTATCTCTCTGATCCACCTGATATTCACCCCATTTCCCCATATTTGCTTCTTTCCTGTTCCTCACCCTGATCACGCTTGATTTATTGATGGCAGTTCCACCAGGCCTAATTGCCACACACCAGCAAAAGCAGGTTATACTATAGTACAAGCCACTAGCCCGCCTCTTAGAACCTCTTATTTCCTTTCCATCGTGGAAATCTATCCTCAAGGAAGGAAATAACTTCTCAGTGTTCCATCTGCTATTCTACTACTCCTCAGGGATTATTCAGGCCCCCTCCCTTCCCTACACATCAAGTCAAGGATTTGCCCCACCCAGGACTGGCAAGTTAGCTTTACTCAACATGCCCTGAGTCAGATAACTAAAATACCTCTTAGTCTAGGTAGATACTTTCACTGGATAGGTAGAGGCCTTTCCTACAGGGTCTGAGAAGGCCACCGCAGTCATTTCTTTGGTTCTGTCAGACATAATTTCTCAGTTTAGCCTTCCCACCTCCATACAGTCTGATAACACATGAGCCTTTATTAGTCAAATCAGCCAAGCAGTTTTTCAGGCTCTTAGTATTCAGTGAAACCTTTATATTCCTTACAGTCCTCCATCTTCAAGAAAAGGAGAATGGACTAAAGGTCTTTTAAAAACACACCTCACCAAGCTCAGCCACCAAAAAGGACTGGACAATACTTTTAGCACTCTCCCATCTCAGAATTCAGGCCTGTCCTCGGAATGCTACAGGGTACAGCCCATTTAAGCTCCTGTATAGACGCTCCTTTTTATTAGGCCCCAGTCTCATTCCAGACACCAGACCAACTTAAACTGTGCCCCAAAAAACTTGTCATCCCTACTATCTTCTGTCTAGTCATACTCCTATTCACTGTTCTCAACTACTCATACATGCCCTGCTCTTGTTTACACGGCCGTTTTACACAGTTTTTCCAAGCCATCACAGCTGATATCTCCTGGTGCTATCCCCAAACTGCCGCTCTTAACTCTTGAAGTACATAAATAATCTTTGCTGGCAGGACTATGATGAGTCTCCTTAGGCACTCTCTAATCAGATATCCTGAGTCGTCCCAATTCTTAGACCTTTTATACCTGTTTTTCTCCTTCTGTTATTCCATTTAGTTTCTCAATTCATCCAAAAGCGTATCCAGGCCATCACCAATCATTCTATATGACAAATGTTTCTTCTAACATCCCCACAATATCACCCCTTACCACAAGACTTCCCTTCAGCTTAATCTCTCCCACTCTAGATTCCCACGCCACCCCTAATCCCGCTTGAAGCAGCCCTGAGAAACATCGCCCATTCTCTCTCCATACCACCCCCCAAAAATTTTCACCACCCCAACACTTCAACACTATTTTGTTTTATTTTTCTTATTAATATAAGAAGGCAGGAATATCAGGCCTCTTAGCCCAAGCCAAGCCATCGCATCCCCTGTGACTTCCACGTATATACGCCCAGATGGCCTGAAGTAACTGAAGAATCACAAAAGAAGTGAATATGCCCTGCCCCAATTTAACAGATGACATTCCACCACAAAAGAAGTGTGAATGGCCGGTCTTTGCCTTAAGTGATGACATTACCTTGTGAAAGTCCTTTTCCTGGCTCATCCTGGCTCAAAAAGCAACCCCACTGAGCACCTTGCGACCCCCACTCCTGCCCCCCAGAGAACAAAACCCCTTTGACTGTAATTTTCCTTTACCTACCCAAATCCTATAAAACGGCCCCATCCTTATCTCCCTTTGCTGACTCTCTTTTCAGACTCAGCCCGCCTGCACCCAGGTGAAATAAACAGCCATGTTGCTCACACAAAGCCTGTTTGGTGGTCTCTTCACACGGACGCGCATGAAAGAAGCAAAGCATAAAAATTTGGAAAATTTGCAGCCTAGAAATTTAGTAGAGAAAGAAAAAGCATTTTCAGAAGAGGACTGTAAGGGGCTGTGGAGAAACCACTTGCTAGAGAGATGTGCATGACTGAGAAGGAGCCAAGTGCTAATAGCCAAGACAATGGGGAAAAAGCTTACAAGGCATTTTTGAAAACTTTGAGGCATTCCCTCCCACCACAGCCCACAGGCCTAGGAGGAAAGAATGGTTTCAGTGGCCAGACCCAGGCACAGCTGCCCTGCTCAGCCTCAAGACACATCCTGGCTGCCCAGCCTCCAGCCTCAGCTCAAAGGGCCTAATGTACAGATTGGCCACTGCTTCAGTGGGTGAAAGCCAGAACGTCTTGGCAGCGTTCATGTGGTGCTAAGCCTGCAAGTCTGCAGAGTGCAAAAAGGAAGGAGGCTTGGCAGCTTCCACCGAGATTTCAGAGGATGTGTGGCAAAGTCTGGTTCTCCAGGCAGAAAACTGCTGCCGAGGGAGAGTACCAAGAGAAAAACTCTACCAGGGCAGTGCTAAGGGGAAACGTGGGGTTGGATTCCCCACACAGTGTCCCCAGTGGGGCATTGCCTAGTGGAGCTGAGGGAAGGGGAACACTGCCCTCCAGACCTGAGAATAGTAACACTGTTGACAGCTTGTACCCTCAGCATGGAAGAGCCACGGGCATCAGATTCTGACCTGTGACAGGAGCCATGTGGGCTGCACCCTGTAAAGCCACAGGGGCAGAGCAGCCCAAGGTCTTCAGAGCCCACCCTCACAGCAGAATAAAGGACATGGAATCAAGAATTATTTTCAAACTTTGAGGTTTAATAGCTGCCCTGCTGAGTTTCTGACATGTGTGGGGCCTGTAATCCCTTTTATTGGCCAATTTCTGCCTTTTAGAATGGTAGTGTCTAGCCAATGCCTGTGCCATCATTGTAACATGAAAGTACATAACTTGTTTTTGATAGTACAGGCTAAAAGGCGGAAGGAATTTGAGTCTCAGGGGATGAGATTTTGAACTTTGGACTTTTGATTAAGTTAATGCTGGAAGTAGTTAAAACTTTGGGGAGTGATTGGGAAGGGATGATTGCATTTTGCAATGTGAGAAGGACATGAGATTTGAGGGGCCAGAGGAAGAATAATATTTTTCAGATGTTTGTCCCCTCGAAACCTCCTGCTGAAATCTAATCCTCAGTGTTGGAAGTGGAATCTGGTGGGAAGTGTTTGGGTTGTGGGGGTGAATCCCTAATGAATGACTAACTGCTTTCATCACAAAAATGAGTGAGTTCTTGCTCCGAGTTCATACAACATGTAGTTGTTTAAAAGAGTCTGGGACCTCCTTGCACCCTCTCGCTCCACTCTTACCACGTGATATTCCTGCTCCCACTTGACTTTCCACTATGACTGAAGGCTTATGGAGTCCTAACAAGGAGCGGATGCAGGCACCATGCTTCTCACACAGCCAAAAATAGTGAGCCAAATAACTTCCTTTCCTGAAGTATTATCCCACCTCAGGTATTCCTTTAGAGCAACACACACAGACTGACACAGGGCGTATCGTGCTGTGTGAGCTTTGACCTTGGTCTCCTCAATGCTACAGGGTGCTGGTCTTCATGTAAGTCTTCCTCCCTGTGCTGTGGCCTGTAACCTGGCCCTATAGAGAGCTAGGGGCAAAAGGACATCCTAGTTTATTTGTTTGTTGCACTGCTTATTATCCAATATATGAACACAGCTGTCTCACACCTGCTGACTAGTTCCATCTTGTCTACTGTAGGAGGGCAATTCCCATAGCAGTGAGTCCGTTTGGATGGAAACTGAGGAACAGGCTCAACTTTTTCAGTTTTTGTCCCTTCTTCCTGAGAGCCTCATTGTCTTTTCATATAAGCCTTCAGAATTTGAGAAAGATATACATAAAATTCCGTAAAATGTTGGTAGGTTTTCATCTTTGTTCTCCATTACAGAAATGTAGCCTTAGCTTTTTTGTGTTACTAATTTTATGCTCAGTTTATAATTTGAAACCAGTAGGCCCTTCCTATTCGTGTGTTCCACATCAGGAAACGTTCTACAAAAACATTGTGTCTGAATTGAGCATGCACAGGCCTTTTTCTCTTGCCATTATTTTCTAGGAAATACAGCATAACTCCTACTTACTTAGCATTTACATTGTGTTCAGTGTTACAAGAAATCTAGGAATGATTTAAAGTATATGCAAGGAGTGTGAAGATTATATGAAATTACTACTCTTTTATATCAGGGACTTGAGCATCTGAGGCATTTGGTATACACAGGGGGTCCTGGAACCAATCCCCCATGGATACTGAGGAGCAATTGTATTTGTGTTCTGTTTCTAAGCAAATTGTCATAAGCTTAGTGACCTAAACCAACACAAATTATCTTGCTGTTTTGGGGATCAAACATGAAAAATCAAAGTGTCCTTAGGACCTTTTTCCTTTCCAGAGGTTCTAAGAAGCTGAGTTTGCTTTCCTTTTTTTTTTTTTTTTCTTCTTTGCCTTTTCAAATCTGAGAGGCTGCCCATGTTCCTTGGTTTGTGGATCCTTCCTTCATCTTCAAATCCAGCAATGGCTGTTGAGTCGTTCCCACATCGCATCACCCAGACACTGACTGTTCTGCCTTTCTTTTCCACATTTAAGGATTCTTGGATTACGTTGGTCTCATTCACATGATCTAAGTTAATCTCCCGGTTTTAAAGTCAGCATATTAGCCAACTATTCTATCTGCTGTCTTAGTTCTTATTTGCCGTAAAGTGTAACATAATCCCAGGTTCTAGGGATAAGGACATGGACATCTTTGGGATGCCGTTATTACACCTACTACACCTAGTAAAATAAAATTCAGTGACGTAATAAATACTTTCACCAAGAAAAATATCTTTAAAGAAAAAATGTTTTCAGTGATTCATAGTGTTATTAGATGAATATAGGAGGCCAAGTTCAATTTGGCTTTCAGAAAAACCATGAAGAACTTTTTAGTGTATTTAATCCCAAATAGTATGAGATAGATAATGCCACAATAAACTGGATGTTGTTTATCTAAAACTCACATTTAACTGAGTGTCCTATACTTTTATTTGCTAAATCTGTCAACCCTAGTCATGTAGGATTAATACAAACAAATACATGTTTCTTCTAAATACATGTTTCTTCTAAGTTGCTCACATATGAGAGCAAAACAAAGAAAAGTACATTTAAGGTTCTATCACAGGTCTCTGAGAAAAAGTTTCCTGGATGTGTTATCATCCCCCAGATACCCTACAATTAGATCTTTTTGATGTTTCTTTAGTGTTTTTTTAATTATCTCTCTTTGATCAAGACCTTCACTGAAATGTATTCTTTTAAAAGCAAACACTCCTTCATTTTGGATTCATTAAGAGACAGATGTTAGCATGAAAAAGCCCATATCCCAAGAAGGCTGGGGCATCTGAAACATGTCTGACCCTTTTCATTTTTGAATAGACTCTCCTGTCTTATGTAAAAATATTAAATAATTGAATTCTAGTACTTGATACAATATGTTAAGTCAATATCACAATAGATGGGATTAATAGCAAAGTGACCAGAGCAGAGTAGAGGATCCAAGAATTAAAACACAGGTCAGTGGGCTGGGCACGGTGGCTCATGCCTGTAATCCCAACACTTTGAGAGGCCAAGGCAGGCGAATCACTTGAGACCAGGAGTTCAAGACCAGGCTGGCCAACATGGTGATATTCTATCTCTACCAAAAATACAAAAAAAAAAAAAAAAAAAATTTAACTGAATGTGGTAGAGGGCACCTGTAATCTCAGCTACTCAGAAGGCTGAGGCAGGAGAATTGCTTGAACCTGGGAAGCAGAGGTTGCAGTTGAGTCGAGATCACACCACTGTACTCCAGCCTGGGTGACAGAGCAAGGCTCTGTTTCAAAAAAAAAAAAAAAAAGTAAGAATACAAGTCAGTGGAAAATTTTCAGGTTGAAGTGCAGAGATATAAAATAATGAAAAATACAAAAAATTGCATAAATATATATGTGAAGACACAGTAAAAGGATGCTTTGTATATGTGTATCTGTGTGTTTGCATTGAGTATATATGCAATACACACATATTGCATATGTGTTTGTGTACATACGTATGGTTGGTGCAAAAGTAATTGCAGTTTTTGCCATTACCTTTAAAGGCAAAAACCGCAATTACTTTTGGACCAATTCTCTATCTATCTAGACAATTCTATTTCCAGGAAGAGAAATGAGCGAGGGACAGCAGCAATAACTGAAGAACTAATGGCTGAAAATCTGCTCAAAGCAATGATATTATTCCACATATTCAAAAAGCTCTGAAAACACCAAGAGGATGTGTCAAAAGTAAACTCTACCTAGACTAGTCTCAGACAAACCCTGTTCTTTGGAGAGTTTCTTCATCTGCTTTAAATATAGTTGGAACAAGATCAGTTGCTAATTTTGTAGCCAGGTGAATTCAATAAAATGATGAATGAGCTTCAGTGTTTAAAATTAATACCTTTTTTTTTTTCTTATGAGTCTTCAGGCACGATGAAATGGGAACAATTTTATTCTGTTATGTCATGAGTTCACAGGTTCAGAGACTTAGAGTATGACTTGCAAGCTCACTTGGTTGGAATGGATTCTGTGAATTCTGTAAACTCCCGGAGTTATCCTATTTTTGACCATCCAAATTAAACAGCTCCAGCTCCCATTCCTCATTAGTGTAGACAGCCAAATGTTTCTCAGAACTCCCTACAGGTGCTTATGCTCCTAATATCTTGTGCAAATTCTTATTTCTGTCTTCTGTGTGACATTCTCTGGCCACCTCCACCTCACTCCTGCAACCAACTACCCATTTTCTTTGTAGCTTTGCATTAAGAATTACTGAGGCTTTCCCCCTTTTCCAAGAATTTTCAAATACACAGCAATTGATTGAGACACAGTTTTGCAAAAACATAAGGATAATGACGGGTGGTTAATGCACAGAACTGTTAAAAATAAGAATAGAAATCAGAGTGCATTCTAGCTAAAGAGTTCAGCCACTCTTGGCAATAACCTCTACAGGCTACTTTGTGCCCTGATGTTACAGGTATACCTGCTCCTTTTGGAACCCAGAACTCCTTTCATTGTTAATCTCTGAGGGCCAAGAAACCTTTAACATTTTATTTTTAGAATTGTAGAATGATTTAGCGCTTATGGATTGTATCTCTATTTCACAGATGCAGTCAGGTGTCCTATCTTCCAAGACCTAAACAGCCATTAAAGGGTCTTCTTAAATAAAAGGAGAGTTTCTTCCTAAGAGAGTTGTGCTGTTTCCCCTAGAACATAGGAATGAATGTCATTGTCATGGTGACTTTTACTTTTTTTGTGTGTGTGAAGCTTCACTTCTTTTATACAGTCAAATGATATATGCTTCCAGGAATCAAGAAATCCACTAATTTATTCAAAATAACAACGTATATACGATGAATATTAAATGACTAAATAAAGGCAGGGTCTGACTATCCTGGCATCAAGGTAGGTGAGTGCGACTGAGTTGGACAATCACAGGATTAGACCCTGTCTTGGTTTAAATTTTGGAGAGTTTGTTAATTATGGTGATTTTTTCATGAATATTATTTTTTAAAAATCTATCGCATTATAAGATCATCTATCTTAAGTACAGGATATCTTAGTGCTTACATTTTATACCTGAGGCCAGAGCCTCCCTCGCTTCGCCCTAGTCCTGGCTCTGTCATCACGTCTGGATAAAATCTATATCCAGATAAAAATGCTTTTACTCTAACAAGGTCTGGTTACTTTTTTCAATCTTGAGATTAGGAAAGACAATGGATTATTTTGGAACTAAGGTGCATTTTCCCAGACGTAGATGATATGCACATTCAGTGCAGAGCTAATGTGAAGAAATAGAGAGCTTCTTATGCGTCTAGGATACACCCACAGAGTTCATGATTTAAGGACCAAACCCTCCCAAGGAGAGAGAGCAGGGCCAGGGAGCTATCTTGATGCTCCCCCTTAGAGTCGATGAGTCTTTCTTCTTGAGGTTTGCTCCCCTCTGCTTGTGTCCCATGCCATATTGTCCTCATTTAATTGTGCCCTCAAAGAGACTTGTTTTTAACAGCATTTACTTGGATCCTATTATGTTTGTATGTAAGGAAACCCTTGTACAACTGCATTTTGCCATCCAATTAATGAAATAGTTTATGAATGGCCAGCACATAAATGAATAAGACAAAGTCCACACTAGTAGAAATCTCATAGCTAAATGGAGAATTAAAAATTCACGCACCTCTGTAGGAGGCATAATTGCATAAGAAACCTTAGCCAGAAGAAGGGAGTCCTTGTGAAGAACAGAGGACTGGGCATCCCCTCCCTTGGCAGATCCACTATGATTCCATGAGGGAACTGGTCTTTGAGTTGGGCTTGCTTTTTTTAGGGAAGATGTGGGATAGGTGAGGGCATGCAAGGGGAGGATGCAGGAGGAGCAAAGCACACGTTTTAGGAAAATGCCGGGAATAAATGGGGAAGGTCAAGGAATCCAAAGAATACAGATGCCTGTGACCCTGGAAAGCACTCCAAGCCCCGCTGTGGCAGCCCTGACCCCTTCCTGGAGAGCAGAAAAAGGTGTTTCAAGGATATTAGAGATGGCCTGCCCAAACCAACATCATCCAATGACCACAATTACTAGGATAAAGATTGCGTATCTTTGGACACCATAGTTTAATTTGGTTTACATGTCGCACGTCTCTGATGAGGGAGCCCTTTCTGAATCCGCATCAGCCACAGCAGCTTCTTGGCCTCCTCATGGCTTTTTGCAGCATTTTGTTCCAGGGAGACCACAGGTGCCAATTTGTTTATACCTTCTAGGGCAAAAGACTGGATGACATATGGCTCCACTCTTAAGGCAGGTAACAGGATCGCCTATACCACCAAAAACACCTAACAGGGAAAAAACACACAAAAAGAGCAAACAGCGTGTAAGAACTCAAAACTCATGTTGGAAAAACACAAACCCTGTGTCAGTATCGCCTTGAGTAAATCCGCAGCGGGCTTCTTTCTCAAGCCTGGGCTTTTCCATCATGATAATGAGACGCGAGTCAGTCATTTGGATCTAAGTTTCTGACATGGAAACTGGCACTGCTGTGGTTTGGGGGATGTTTATTTTTGTAGAACCTGATTGTGAAAGACCCTGATCTCTCCTGAGTGACTGGGGCCTCCAGGTGGGGTCTGGCAGGAGCTCAGCAACGATCTCTTGTGAATTCAGCTCCACCACAAGAAGATAATATCAAAGCCACCATACCTCCATTTTAACACACACAAGCCAGTAAACTTTTGCTTTTTCAAATCATTTAGTCTGTTAAGTATTTGATCTGAGATGGGATAAAAAAGATGCAACTTACTGAAATTGTTTAATAGGAAATTAACACCAAGTAACTTACAGTTGAAAACCACAATTAACCATAGAAATAAATTTTGTAATGGCTTGTTTCTAATATCTAAGTCCTGGTTTCAACCTCATTCTTCTTTTTGTTTCCCTCCCTCCCTCCCTCCTTCCCTCCTTCCCTCCCTCCCTCCCTCCTTCCCTCCTTCCCTCCCTCCCTCCCTCCCCCTCCCACCAGCCTGCCTCCCTGCCTCCCTGCCTCCCCGCCTTCCTTCATTATACTGTTCTAGGTTTTGGAAAATATGAGGTCTCTGGTGCCTCTCAGAACCCCATTGTTCTCACAAAACCCAGGACTCATAAATAAGATTGGTAAAATGAGGATTTCACAAGATGATATCTATTAGATTAATTGTTTTAGGATTTACTCTCAAATTTTCTTTTTCCCTTTCTCCATCCTTCCCTTCCACTCTCCCTCTTTTATCCTTTCATGGTTTTTATTTTATTTTCATAATATCAAGGAGAAAATGAAGGTTAGGCATCCAGGTTTAAAAGTTGGTTTCAATGGGCTGTCCCTGTCCTGTGAACCTGCAGTGGCCTAGTGGCAGGGACTGTTCTCAGGGCCTCTGATCAGAAAAGTCCTGGGGGCAGAGTGTCTGCTGCAGTAGTTCTCACAGTATAGGCTGGGCCTTAAGATTATCTGGAATTCTCTAGGTTGCAGTATCTACTCTTTAAATATAAAAATTTAGAAAATGACATTCTATACTACTTTCTTTAGATAAAATCAAAATTTCTGCCTTTTATTTAAAAAGTCACCTAACAGGTTTCAACCATAGTCTCAGCAGTTGTAGCATGGAAAGCAGTGAAGAGATGATATTTACAAACTACTGGGCTCCTTCATATTGGCTTAGAAGAACGAGTGAGTTGTCCATTGGGTTCTCAAACTCCTTTTCTATTGAAGGAAGCAATGCTTGGTTCAATTAAATAGGGCATTCAGTCTACTCAGTCTAAAAGTGTGGGTAGAAGAAAGGAAAGAGAAAGAAAGAAAGACATGCTCTAGGGAGAGAGGAAAAAGAAAGACAGAAAAAAAGAGAGAGAGGGAAGAAGAGAGAGAAGCAGGAGAAAAGGATGGAGGGGACACACAGAGAGAGGAAGGAGAGAGAGGGATGAGGGAGAGATAGGTGGAGGGGAATGAGAGGAGACAGAGAACTTCTACGCCATTCTTCCATTTGGCCAACCCTCCTATTTCCCTGGCCCATCTCACCTGGAAGAGGCATCAGGAATATGAAGAGGAACGAGAAGAGGAGATACAAGACCCTCATGGCTGATGGCTGGGAGCTTCACCAGGAGCTGAGTCTGGGGAGGACATCAAGCCTTCCACCTTATAAAGGTCCTGGTCCCTGGTCACCAGGTAGAGTTCAGAACTGGTATTGGGTGCAATGCTCATTACAGAGGTTAGAATTCAGCCACTTACCTGGTGAGTCAGAGAATGGTCCTCAAAGAACAATGCACACTCAGGAGATCTTATGCAAATCTGGACTCAGGAAACCCCAGAAAATCCCTTCCTCCTGCTCTTGGGACCAGAAAATTCCTCCTATCTTGCACCATTTAAAACCCAGTGTGTGAATGGAGTGAGGGGCTGGGTCTGTCTCACGTGAGAACAAACTCAAACTCAGGACCTATAACCTGCCACTCACCTGCTGCCCACTCTGTGCGACGTCCTGTTTTTCCTGAGTATCTGGGGACAGTCTCAGGCCAAATTGAGAGCTCTTTCCATCTAATTCTATCCATTGCTCGGACATTCAGCTCCTGGGGATGATACAGGGCTGGCTCAAACCCAGGGACCCTGGAGGGGCTCAGGGCCTCTGGCAGCACCGGGAGCATGGTGGGCCCCATCCTCACAGGAGATCTGAGCTGGTGAAATTTATGTGAAAGTTCCCCTGAAACTCCCCATCTTCCCCACGGGAGAGAGATGAGGCAGATGGATGCCCACTTCCTTCCTCTGAGAAGGAGAATGGGAGGATGGGATTGTGACTACATGTGTCCCCTCAGAGTTCACCCAGGCCTGGGCCAGGAGGTGGCCTACCACCCGCACTTGAGTTCCTTCCATTCACACCGTCACTCAGGGAATGTCAGCTCCACAGGACTTCAGGGCTTTGGGAGCCAGGGCTTTCTCTGCTTTCCACAGACGTCAGCGTCACTGCCCTTGGGATTTGGTGGAGAAGCACCGAGTAGGGCTGCAAGGCCTCCACGTGGTCTCCCTGTTGGTGATGGGAAACACTTATGAAGGAGCCCCATGTTTTCAGGGCTGTGTGAGGTCTCTGGTGTCTCTCAGGACCCTGTCCTTCTTCCGTAACCCAGAGTAGCAATTGGCGGCCCCAGGCAATGGACAGAGCCCCATCCCGGGCACTCAGGAGAGGGCCTTTCTTGGGAAAATGAGTGGCATTCATCCTGGTTCCTCCCTCTTTCGATCTAAGGGCAGTTTGAGAAACAAGCAGGCCCCAGTGTCCATGTCTGTGATGTCTCAGGGGTGCAGCAGTGACAGAGACATGGGGACAATGAGGCTTTCCTCATGACCTGCCTGACCTCTTCATTTAAAATGTCAGGTTCTGAAGAACCCTGATTCCTGGCAGGCCAGAGGTGGATTTAAAGGAAGCTGGTAACGATATTGTGCAGCCAAGATCCTTAATGACATTTTTATAAAAGGAAATTTCTGAGCCTAGCATGGTGGCTTACACCTGTCATCCCAGCACTTTGGGAGGCTGAGGCAGGTGGATCACATGAGGTCAGGAGTGTGAGACCAATTTGACCAACATGGCAAAACCCCATCTCCATGAAAAATACAAAAATTAGCCAGGCATGATGGCTTACGCCTATAATTCCAGGTATTTGGGAGGCTGAGGCACGGGAATCGCTTCCGACAGAGCAAGACTCAGTCTCAAAGAAAAAAAAAAAAAAAGAAGGTTCTGGTGGGGTATGCAAAGAGAGGGCTGGGTCAGATGCTGTCAGAACTGCTAAACAAATATGCATCCAGGACTGGAGCTTAGTCACCAGGGAGTCACTCTGATTGTCAGGGCTTTGTTTCCTTGTGTGCTGAGCAGGCTGGAATTGAGGGGCAGACTCATTCATTCCTGACACTAAAACTATTTCTTCCTGGTGAAGAAAGCATACAGAGAAATGGAATATGAAATAAAGCCTTTATGTGCTCTGCCTAAATTAATATTTTATTTTTTTTTTGTATACTTGCTATGTCACCTTTAGAAAGTAAGAGGCAGCTCTCACTTGCTGCTGATGACCTGCCTCACCATGCACATGTCCTGCCACCACCCCACAGAAATGCTTCCATTACCCACAGTCTTTCACCAGATGAGACCAGTGTCCAGGCTACTGGCTCCTCACCTCACTTGAAGTGATGGTAAAGATGTAAAATTTGGTGCTGATGTCTGAGCCTTAATGCTTCAAAGTGTAGACTTTTTGTCGATGCTGTAGCCATTACAATGGGGCCAAAGGGAAGAACAGTAATTATTGAACATAGCTGGGGAAGTCCCAAAGTAACAAAAGATGGTGTGACTGATGCAAAGTCAATTGACTTAAAGGATAAATATAAAAGCATTGGAGCTAAACTTGTCCAAGATGTTGCCAATAACACAAATGGAGAGACTGGGGGATGGCACTATCACTGCTGCTGTACTGGTATGCTCTATTTCCAAATAAGCCTTCCAGAAGGTTAGCAAAGGTGCTAATCCAGTGGAAATCAAGAGAGGTGTGATGTTAGCTGTTGATGCTGTAATTGCTGAACTTAAAAAGCAGTCTAAACCTGTGACCAAACCTGAAGAAATTGCACAGGTTGCTACAATTTCTGCAAATGGAGACAAAGAAATTGGTAACATCATCTCTGATGCAATGAAAAAGTTTGGAAGAAAGGGCATCATCACAGTAAAGGATGGAAAAACACTGACTGATGAATTAGAAATTATTGAAGGCATGAAAATTTGATAGAGGATATATTTCTCCATACTTTCTTAATACATCAAAAGGTGAGAAATGTGAATTCCAGGATGCCTATGTTCTGTTGCATGAAAAGAAAATTTCTAGTGTCCAGTCCATTGTACCTGCTCTTGAAATTGCCAATGCTTACTGTAAGCCTTTGGTCATAATTGCTGAAGACATTGATGGAGAAGCTCTAACTACACTCATCCTGAATAGGCTAAAGGTTGGTCTTCAGGTTGTGGCAGTCAAAGCTCCAGGGTTTGGTGACAATAGAAAGAACCAGCTTAAAGATACGGTTATTGCTACTGGTGGTACAGTGTTTGGAGAAGAGGGCTGACACTAAATCTTGAAGACGTTCAGCCTCGTGATGTAGGAGAAGTTGGAGAGGTCACTGTGATCAAAGATGATGCCATGCTCTTAAAAGGAAAAGGTAACAAGTCTCAAATTGAAAAATGTGTTCAAGAAATCATTGACCAGTCAGATGTCACAACTAGTGAATACGAAAAGGAAAAACTGAATGGAGAAACTTTCAGATGGAGTAGCTGTGCTGAAGGTTGGTGGGACAAGTGATGTTGAAGTGAATGAAGAGAAAGACAGAGTTATAGGTGCACTTAATGCTACAAGAGCTGCTGTTGAAGAAGGCATTGTTTAGGGAGGGGGTTGTGCCCTGCTTCGATGCATTCCAGCCTTGGACTCATTCACTCCAGCTAATGAAGATAAAATAATTGGCATAGAAATTATTAAAAGAACACTCAAAATTCCAGCAATGACTATTGCTAAGAATGCAGGTGTTGATGGATTTTTGATAGTTGAGAAAATTATGCAAAGTTCCTCAGAAGTTGGTTATGATACTATGTTAGGAGATGTCGTGAATATGGTGGAAAAAGACATTATTGACCCAACAAAGGTTGTGAGAACTGCTTTATTGGATGCTGCTGGCATGGCCTCTCTATTAACTACAGCAGCTGTTGTAGTCACAAAAATTCCTAAAGAAGGGAACAGCCCTGGAATGGGTGCAATGTGTGGAATGGGAGGTGGCCTGTTCTAATTCCTAGAATAGTGCTTTACCTTTATTAATGAATTGTGATAGGAAGCCCAAGGCAGTGTTCCTCACCAATAACTTCAGAGAAGTCAGTTGGAGAAAATGAAGAAAAGGCTGGCTGATGTTTAAGAAACCACTATAACCATCAGTTACTGGTTTCAACTGACAAAATATATAATGGTTTACAGCTGTCATCCATGCCTACAGATAATTTAGTTTGTATTTTTGAATAGAAAGATCTTGTACATTCCTGACACTGGGTACAAGAGCCATGTACTGATGTACTGTTTTCAACTTAAATCACTGAGGCATTTTTTAGTAAAAATGAATAGTAGTCTATTCTGTTAAAATCAGGATTTTAGTGCTTGCAACCACCAAATGAGAAGTTAAGCAGCCTTTCTGTGCAGAGTGAGAATAATTGTGTACAAAGTAGAGAAACTTCCAATTATGTGACAACCTTTGTGTACTAAAAATTTGTTTAAAGTTAAAAAAGAAAGACGCAAACATCATGACACTTCACTGTAATTATCTCAGCAGAATCTCTTACATATGAGGGGACATTCCCACATCAAACACAATACAATTTACACACATTAAGAAAACTAGTTCCTCAATGTTATTTATTATCTTGTCAATATTTCACATTTCTCCAATTGTTCCAACCATGGCTTCATGGCTGTTGATGTTTCTGGATACATGTTTAATCTAGATTTGCACATCAAATCAGGTTGTCATGTCTCTTAATTTGTTGAGTAAATATTCTTAAGGAAATGTCATGGTACTATGAGAAGAACCTTATTGGGGCTTAGAGTTTGAATTAAGGGACTGGTTGCCATCTTTTTCATGTGAGACTTCATTCCTGATCGATACATTCTTAATGACTACTATGCTTAACATTATTATTATAAAAGTAATACACTCACATTTAAAAACTCACCCATAAAAGAGAGTGAATTTTTCCTACACACCTGTTCCAATCCCAGGAACCACCGATAGCACTGTGGTTTTTCACTTGTTGTCCTCTCTAGCTCTCAGTACATTTGTGAGGCCTTGTTAGAGAAGGAGGTGAAATTACTCTGAAATAGGAAAGTCACTGTGAAATGCAGCACCTGTGTCCCTGGGGAAGAAGCCACCAAGGCTTAGGGAATATGTGCCTGGTTGCTCAAGGACAGCTGGGCTGACTGTTCCCATGAAGATTCCTACGGTTGCAGCTGCTTCTTTTCTCCTGGCACAGCCCAGTGTGACTCCTTCACAGCTGTGTTCATCCTAGTGATGAAGTGTGTTTGATAAGGACCAATAGAGGGGCATCTTTGCTTTAAAGGTAGGGTTATGATCTTGCTTCAGCAAGGAAGACCATCCACTGGCAGAACCATGGGGCTCTTCACTAAAACCAGAGATGCAGCAATTCTAGGATTTGGGGACATGTCAAGATTTGGTAAAATATACATGACTTTTCTTTTTCTTAATGAGCTAAAAGCAAAGCCAGGTTGTGTGTAAAATGGGAACCATCAAGTCTAACTGACAAATAGACTCACTATGCTGTCTTTTAATGAAACATGACCTGTGCTGTGTCCCCAAACCTCTCTCTATAACTGGGGAGAGAATTTCAGGCTGTTTCTTTGTGGCAAAATGGTTCAGTTCCCCAGGCAAGAGTGGGAAGCCTCATTCTTATAGATAGGCTCCCAGAAAGCAAACTCTCTCATCTCTATGATTTAGAAAACAAAGTTTCTCTGCATTATGTCCTCAATGTTAAGTAACAGAAGCAGTTTTACTGGTTCTCAATTCTGGAGGCAGAGCCAGCTTCATGGGCTTGAAGGCAGGGCAGTGACACAGGAATCTGCTCTGAGAAGGGCCGGTACCTGGTGTCAGGCTCTGCTGATAGCTCCCTGACTTTCTTAGTTTTTTCTTTGAACTTGTGTTTTTTAAGTGAAGCTTACTGAGGACAATGGAGCAGGCACATGGGCAGAGTGGCTATGAGGGGAGACAAGGTGGGCAGGCTCAGGCCCAGGGACGTTCTAGAGCTTTGCTGCCCTGAGCATAGGCATTCTTGGAGCAGCCCAGGCACATCTGGACTGGGATGGGAGGTGGCAGCAGCAGCAGCAGCAGCAGGTGTCCTCAGCCCTGGGGTGAATGGAGGGTCTCTGTGTGGAGGCAGCACTGACAGCTCTGTGCCTGTGCATTCTCAGAGTCATCCTTGGAGCTTCTGCACAAAGATTTACCCCCTGACCTGAGCACCAGGACAGGAACCATAGGTGCTCAGATAGCAAACTGGGAGGAGAGAAGCACAAAACAAAAGTGTGCCCATGGACATTGCAATAAAGTATACCAGGAAGTTCTTGGAATTCTTCAGAGAGTTTAGAATTCTTTAAGGCATTATCCAAGGCTCAGAAATGGAAATTAAACATGTAATAGTAGTCACATTCAACAGAGAAGGATGCTATATTTGTATAAAACTTCTGATGGGCCAGGCATGGTGGTTCACGCCTGTTATCCCAGCACGTTGTGAGGTTCAGGTCAGAGGATTCCTTGAGGCCAGGTGTTGGATACTAGCTAGGGCAGTATAACTAGACACCATCTCTACAAATAATGATAATAAAGATAATAAAGATTAGCTGGCCATAGTGTCACATGATCGTAGCCTTAGCTTCTTGGGAGGCTGAGGTATGAGGATTACATGAGTCCAGGAGTTTGAGGCTGTAGTGAGCAATGATCGTAGCACTGCACTCCAGCCTGAAAAATACAGACCTTGTCAAAAAACAAAAAACAAACAAACAAAAACCTTCTGATTAATCAATTATGAACAAGGAGGGCAATTTTAAAAATTAAGTTTTTCTTGTTAATAAATACATAGCAATAGAATTCATAAACAGGGGTTTTGAATAAGTTACAAATCATGATGCCATATTGGTCTGCTGTGGGCCTCTGCAACTTACAGAACATGTCAGAAGATGCATCAAAATTCCGCTGGAGAAATTGACACTTAAAATTAGATTCAAATTTACATGAAACTGATTTGTTTAAAGAGTTAAATCTTTTGAGTCAAATTGTTTCACAAGAATCACCAGCTCCAGATATACTAAAATCTGTTTCAAAATAATTTATCCTCATGTTGTCACAGCTTGGAATATATTCCAGAAACAGTTGCTTCAGCAGATTCTTCCCAAAAGATAAAATGAAGTTGCTCAAGGTATAAAGTTTGTTGTCCTAATATATTATTTGACAGAAAAGTGGGCCAGAAAAATTGTATGATTCATCTAAATCCAATTAATAGAGTAGTATTTTTATTCTATTAAAACTATGAAATTAATTTCTGGTGGAGATTTGTAAGATTCTGTCATTACTCCTGTATAACTATTACATTTTTCAAACAATGAAAAATATTTGTTTGAAAAAGCTTAATATCCTACTGCCTTTCATTACACTTTCTTTTTCTGCTCTTTAAACCATGGTACCCTGCATTTCCATTTCGCACTGAAACTTAGGAATTTTGCGGCTAGCCCTGCTATGGCCATTTTTATATTAATTATCTTATTAAATCCTCAGAAACAAGCCTGCCAGGTAGGTATTACGCAAGCTTACAGAGGCAGGTCCTGGGGCATGGAAATGTTGGAGGACACGTTCAAGGTCACCTGGCTACTAAGTGGCAAAGATGCAATTTGAAATAAAATCCCCCTCTCTTCAAAGCCCATGTTCCTAACCAGCGCCACACAATCATCATGGTGTCCTGATAACCTCCCCTCTTCATCCTCCTACAACCCCAAAGCTACAGTAACGCTCTGCCTAAAGCCAAAGTCCATGGAGCTACTGTCACCCTCTTCCATCTTCTGAGCTGAGTGGTGAGTCCAGAGCCTGGGCTGGCCTGGTCTTGCAGGAGGTGAGGGAATGAGCGCGCAGTTACTGCCACCTCGTGGCGGCTCGTCTATATGACCCTAAAACGCAGATGTAATCTGTTTCCTGCCTGCCTGAAGCCTGGGTGTGCACCTGAGACTTACAGTAATTTCTTTACCCCTTAATGAACCTATTGAGAGTTCTCACAATTGTATGGATCCTCTCAAGGAATCAGCTTTTATTTACTAATTTTTAATGTTTTTTGTGTCCAGTTTCTTTTTATTCACTTTTTCTTTTTCTCTTTTTTTTTCTTTTTCTTATTTACTTTGGGTTTAGTTTGTTCCCTTTTCCCTTACCGTTTCTTACAGTGGAAACTTAAATTGTCTATTTGTGAGCTTTTCTGCTTTCTATCATAATAGCATTTAATTATAAATTTGTCTCCAAGAGCCACTTTAGTGGCACTTCCACAAATTTTGATATGTTATGGTTTCATTTTCTATCAGTTGAACATATTTTCTAAAGTATCTTGTGATTTCTCCTCTGGACCATTTAGATACATGTTCATTGATGTCCCAATATATGGAGATTTTTCCAGATGACTCTCTGTATTGATAGTTTTGTAAATTCCACTGTAGATAGACACTGTCTTTTGTATAACTTTAAACTATGTTGATTTTTTGAGACGTTTCATAGGTTAGTATGAGCTCTATTGGGTAATATTTTAATGCATTCTGCTGTTATTTGGTAGAGTGTTCTATAAATCTCAAATAGGTTGTGCTGGACGGTAGCGTTGCTCAAGACTTCTCTACCTTTACTAATATTTTGTCTGCTTTAAAAAATCTCTTACAGGAAGAGAAGTGTTGAATTGTCTAATTGCAATTGCTAATTTGTCTATTTCTTTAATGTCTATTGATTTTTCTTTAAGAATTTCAAAATTCTGTTATTAGGGGCACACACTGATTTAATATTAATATCTGTTCTTGGTGATGTAACCACTTTATCATTAGGAAAAATATCTCTCCCTATTACTGATAATACCCCTTGCTCTAAAATCTACCCTAATTTATGTCAATGAGCCAGTATAGCCAATCCTATTTTCTTTATACTAATGTTTTCATATTATATCTCTTTCCATCCTTTTATTTTTACTCTAAGTTTGTTCTTAAAGTTTATATATAAAGTGGGTTTTTATAGACAGTATGTAGTTGGGTCTTGCTTTTTACTGAACTGACAATCTCTCTCTTTAAGGAGCTTCTAGAATGTTCACAGCATGCTCTTTTCATCATATGGAATCAAATTTCTACCTAGCATCTTCCCTTTCTGCCAAAAAACTTATCTTTGCATTTTATAGTACAGACTGGCTGGTGAGGAATTCTCTTAGCTTTTATTGTTGTTACTGGAAAATGCCTTTACTTATTATTTGATTATGTGTTTACCCTTTTTTTAGAAATATACTTTTGCTGGGGTGGATTTCTAAGAGAACATTTTTTTTCTTTCGGCATTTGAAGATAACACTTAACGTTTTGTTCTTCTGTAAGTAATATGTCTCCTTTCAGACTGCTTTTTAGTTTTATTTTTGTTTTTGAGACGCAGTCTCTCTCTGTTGCTCAGGCTGGAGTGCAGTAGGGTGATCTCGGCTCACTGCCATCTCCGCCTCCTGGGTTCAAGAGATTCTCCTGCCTCAGCTTCTTGAGTAACCTAGGATTATAGGTGCGTGCCACCATGCCTGGCTAATTTTTGTATTTTTTTTTTAGTAGAGACAGGGTTTTACCATGTTGGCCAGGCTGGTCTCAAACTGCTGACCTCAGGTGATCCGCTCACCTTGGCCTCCCAAAGTGCTGGGATTACAGGCATGAGCCGCTGTGCCCGCCCTCAGGCTGCTTTTAAAATTTTCTTTTTATTACTGATTTAAAATAATTTGATTATGATATGTTTCATGTGGTTTTCTTCATGTTTCATATTTCAACTTGGATGTCTTCATGTGGTAAATTTGTGTGTTTATAGTCTCACCAAATTTGGAAAACAATAGGCCATTCCTTCCTTAGCTCTATCCTCTCTCTCAAAACTTTTCTTCTTTTATTCGAGATGGAGTCTTGCTCTGTCGCCCAGGCTGGAGTGCAGTGGCGTGATCTCGGCTTACTTGCAACCTCTGCCTCCCAGGTTTAAGCGATTCTCCTGCCTCAGCCTCCAGAGTAGCTGGGATTACAGGTGCACGCCACCACACCCAGCTAATTTTTGTATTTTTAGTAGAGATGGGGTTTCACCATATTGGCCAGGCTGGTCTTGAACTCCTGACCTTGTGATCCACCCTCCTCAGCCTCTCAAAGTGTTGGGATTACAGGTGTGAGCCACCACGCCTGGCTGTCTAAACACACATAGTTGCTAGATTGCTTGATGTTTCTGCACAGGTCACTGCTTATTATTTTCCAGCCCTTTTCTCCTCTCTTTGTACTATTTCTTCATTCATTTGTAGTAATATAAACTCAGGTTTACTGATCTTTATTTTGGAATATATGCCACAATCCAACTCATAGTATCTTTTACTCAGATGTTTATTTTTAATCTCTGGAAATTCCATTTGTCTCTTTATATCTCTCACTCATCATGAACAGTTTTTCTCTTCAAACTCGGACATATTTATAACATTTATAATAGCTCATTTAAATCTTTTTTTGCTGATCCTAGTATCCTTGTCATTTCTGGATCTGTTTTTACTGAATGATTTTTCTCTTGATTATGACCATATTTTCCTGCATAGCAGCTAATTTTTTATTAGATTCAGTGTGCTATAAAGCACAAACTGTTGAGTGATGGATTTAGTTGTTTTTCTTTGAAGAACGTTAGGCTTTATTCTGTCCCACATTTAAGTTTCTCATAGATCAGTCTGGTCCTTTCAAGAATGGTTTAGAAAAAAATTTGTTAGAGTGGTTGCAGAACAATTTAATCTAGAGCCAAATAGCACTACTACTAATGTGTTAGTTGCCCAAGGACTCTGCAGTCTCTCCACTTTGCTAGTGGGAATGAAAATTTTTCCAGCCTTTAGTGCTCCTAAAATTGTTATCCAATCCCTTTTGGGTGTTTTTCTTTGCCTCTAGCCTTGTGAAGTCTTACCCCAAGCGTGCTCACATGAAAACACAGCCCAGGACTGAAGATTTACCATGTGTCCCTGCCCCCACCACCAACACTTCGGGGCCTTGCTTCCTTCTAGGCAACCTCTCTCTGCTATTCTGCCCTGGAAGTGGGGGTGTCTTGTGCTTTGGGAAGTTTGATTTCAGTCTCTTCAATGCTTCAGGATTGCTGGACTTCGTTTGAGTCTTCCTCTGTGTGCTGTGGTCTGGACCCTGCTGCTGTAGTGAGCTGGGGGCAATCGAAAGTCTCACTTCATTGGTCTGTTGCACTGCTTATTATCCAATGTCTGAACACAGCTGTCACACATCTTGACAGGTTCCCTTTTGTCTGCTGTCAGAGGGAGATTCCCATAGCAGTGAGTCCATTTTGGATGGAAAGTGAGGAGCAGTCTCATCTTTTTGAGCCCTTGAGCCTTTCTTCCTAAGAGCCTTGTTGTATTGTCTTTTCTCCATACGTGGAGCCATGACTGGGGTCTGGTGTCAGGTATGAAAAACCACACACTCCATTTGCTGGAATCCTACTGCATCAACGTTGAGAGAGCACTAGATAGTTAAACTGCAGTACCTCCAAATCATTTGAATGATTAAAGATAATTCAATCAATAAATCGTTTGAATGTACTTCAATTCATAAATACTTGTTGAGCAGCCTTCATGCTCAGGGCACTTTACAAGCAGTACAGGAAGAATTAAGACAAACTCCTTGCTTTTAAGGCTCACAAAGTCTAATATGGAGATTGGCAATATGTCACTGTACGCAATGTAAAAACCAAGCAAGGGTTGTAGATGGAGGACTCAAGTCAGAACCCTGTGGTGAACCAGAGGAAAGACTGTAAGCATTTGGGAAATCACCTGTGTTTTTAAGGTGGAGATAAAATGTGAGACGGTCCCTGAAGGACAGGTTAAAGTTTAGAGATGAAGTTGGAGGAGTGAGGCAGACATGAGGTCAACCAGAGCAGAGGCATGGGTGAGAGAAAGCAAAGTGAATATCTGAGGAAGAGCCAGTTTCCTTATTTCTCTGAAGACAAAGTTTTTGGAAGGAATTGGGATAGCCCCTGAGGGATGCATGAAAACCTTAGAGATAGATTTGGTGGACAGATGCCATTTGGGGTAGAGGGACTGAAAAGGCCCAAGGCTTGGATGACATGAAAGCAAAGGGCATATTCCAAGAGAGTGAAGAGTCCAACTTCACTGGGGCATAACGTTCACAAAGTAGGAATAGAACCTGATAACCCTTGGATAATAAGGTTGGGCTCCCTTATAGATTTCTCCAGAGATTCTACTTTCTTTGAACGAAAGGTGAGTCCTTAAGATTTTCTGAGTTGTCTGTTTGGAAACAAGTACCAAAATAATCAGATTTAAAAAAAAAAATCAAGCTCCTAATTTTTTTTGAAAAAAAAATGTAATTTGATTTTACTTTTATAAACTTTAAGAAGGCATTTCCACACTTTACAACACTCTCGTCATGTTTCAGGGTTTTTATTTCTTTCTTCGGCAGCATTTTCGGCCACGCGTCGAGCACTTGCCGATCTGTTCCTCCTTTGGAAGGCAGCTGAGCACAGCACACCGGCCGCCTCTGACTCTGCAATAATATTTCTGTAATGTGTTTATGATTCCTCCATGACCTGCAATGACAAAACAGCACACACGGAAAGGTTTTAGGAAGGCTTTTGGTACACGTACAAGGCTTGTGGAATTCCTCAAATAACTCATCCCTTGCTTTTCTTGTATTCTTTTGTTTCTTTTTCCTTTTTCTATAAAATCAGGAGGAAGATGAAGGTATGACTACACAACCCATAGACAATGTTTCTAAGGCTGCAGCTCAGCTGTGGACCCACAGTGGCACCGGGGAAGTGGCGTGACCCTGTGACTGCCGCAGGAACAGTGGGGGTGCTGAGGCTGTGGTGTCCTCAGAGGTAGCCCCAACACTCCACCTCCAACCATTGCACTTAGTAGAACAGGAGCCTGTGCTTCTATTCTCAGAGTAAATCAATCTTTCCTGCTACATTAAACTTTTATGTCTGATTCATGTCTCATCAGCTGGTATAATAATCTTCCCTTGAAGAGTTGGGGAAAGAGATAGCTTTGGGGAGCTATTTAGTTTCTTAATGATTCTTTTCTTTTTTTTTTTTTTTGAGGTGTACTCTCACCCTGTCACCCAGTCTGGAGGACAGTGGCGTGATCTCGGCTTACTGCAACCTCCGCCTGCCAGGTTTAAGCAATTCTCTGCCTCAGCCTCCCGAGTAGCTGGGATTACAGGTGCCCGCCACTGTGCCCAGATAATTTTTGTATTTTTAGTAGAGATGGGGTTTCACCATCTTGGCCAGGCTGGTCTTGAACTCCTGACCTCGTGATCCGCCCACCTCGGCCTCCCAAAGTGTTGAGATTACAGGCATGAGCCACCGCACCTGGCCTCTTAATGATTCTTGTCTGAAAAAAAAGTGGTGATGCCTAGTTCCCATACAACAAACCTGCTTGGTCCAAAGCACTCTGAAGGATGGAGAAATACTGACTCTGAATTATATATTCTCAATTAGATCAATCCTTAGATTTCCCAGCCCATCTTACCTGGAACAGGCACCAAAAACAGGAAGAGCAAAGCAAACAGAAGATAATGGATCCTCATAGCTGCTAGGCTTCACCCCACGCTGAGACTGGATGAAAAGGTGTGCTTGGTCACTTTATAAAGGTTCCAGCCACAGCTGCAATTCTTGTCATATTACAGTGATGACATTATGACATGTTTTCTGATGCATCATTCCAATGCCTCTCACCATGCAGAACACACCCACTCACTCAGTTAATTAGGAACCCAATGGTAAGGCAGAGCTCCCTATGGATTTGTGGCTGTCCGGGTGCTCTCTGGACTCCAGGGGCTTGTCTGGGTGTGGGTCAGATTGGGTTGTGGGTACAGATAGGGCTGGCATGAGCAAGTATGCCCCCTTTGGGGAATAGTCTCAGGGCATGTGGCTGGGGGCTGACTTGTCCGTACTTTGCTGCTTTGGAGCTTTTTTTCTCTTCCTAAAATGCTGGGAGAGTCTAAGACCCTCCTGGGGACCAAATAAATCCAGCCCTGGACATATTCAATATCTGGCAATAGGACTGGCTTTTTGGTAGTGAGGTAAGGGAGGAAAATGGGCTACATTCAAGGTTAGCTGACCACCTGGCCCTTGGCCTATGATGGGGTGCTATAATTTGAGTGAAACATGTCTCATTCTTTCATTTTTTTTTTTTTTTTTTGAGAGACAGAGTCTCACTTTTTTGTGCAGGCTGGAGTGCAGTGGCATGATTACAGCTCACAACAGCTTGAGCTGTCAGGCTCAAGAGGTCCTCCCACTTCAGCCCCCTGAGTAGCTGGGACCACAAACGCATGCCTCCACACATGGCTAAATTTTAAATTTTCTGTAGAAAATAAAATGGGGTCTCACTATGCTGCCCAGACTGGTTTCGAGCCCAGATGTGAACTCCTGGGCTCAAGCAATCCTCCTGCTTCAGCCTCCTAAATTGCTGGGATTACTGGTATGAGCCACTGTGTGCGGCCCATGTCCGATTCTTCATCATTGTCTAAAACCTACCAAATTTATGAGTAAAGAAGGTGTTTAATTTTACTTCATCAGAGAAAGAGGATGCTGGGATGATAGATTTAATAGACTGGCATCTCCTCCTAGTCAATGACTGTCCCTGTGCAAAAGAGGGGCTTCAGAATAGACATTTAAGACCTCAAGTTACTCTTGGCTCAGGAGCATTCAAGGCAGTCCAGGGGCCAGATGATTTCCCCTGCATATAGATTCAACGTTTAGAGGGAAAAATGCTAAAAAAGAAAAAAAAAACAGCTATTAAACTTAAATGTTCAGGAATCCAATGGATGGGTTGTATTTGGTTGACTATCAATTGGGAACTAAGTAAGTCAATGACAATTCAATTGGGAGCTGAAGTCACCGTGATGTCTCCTAGCTGCTGCTTCGTGTGAATGCAATTATAACGGATCCACTAAGGATCAAGGGTGTGTTAGTTCTGGGAGTGTGTGTTCAGAATTTGGGTGCACCACACCTGTCAGATTCAGTAAGAAAACTCTGAACACATACTATAGGAAGGGACAAGTATCATGTCTTCAGCATAGGTGAGGGTGAAGTGGATGAGATACCAAGAGGGACCAGTCTTGGTTCTTTCTCTCCAGAAGCTCCATGTAGGGCCAGGTAGATGGGCAGACAGTCAAATGATAAATTTAGGATGAATTCTAATGGGAGTCATAGGAAGATTTCAAGCACAGGGCTGCAGAAACGTAGAAGAAAGATAACTCATCATAACTCAAAGATAACTCTTTGAGCCAAGAGTGGAGCTCAATCAGCAGATTTAAGACTTTAGATAGGTAGATGCTACTTTTTAAAATCTAACTTTCCTCTTTAGTTCATGATTTGAGACAAAGCAATTGGAGATATTTATAAATGGGGGAAGGAGGTGAGTGTGGGTGGGATGGGTGCTGACTTCACAGTCTTACTATGTCAGACATAACGATGGCATTGGGCGTTGTAGAGGGTTAGCACCAGCTCTCAGCCTGGGGTGAGGACAGTCAGACGCTGGAGATGACTTGCTTTTCCACATGGAGAATAGACTTCCACAGGTGAACCCCTGGTCTAACCTGTTCCTTCATAGACTGGGAGGCATTTTTATGGCAACACCACTATTTCATAAAAGTTCCTTGGTGAGGAAAAATGCCACTTTTTCTTGTCAACTAGTTTGGGAGCTGGGAATTGGAGATTGGGCTGTGACAATCAGCCTTTTCAAGTTTGGACATACTCCAGACACACAAAATCCGTTTTGAGGGGGACTTACCTGTTTTAAGAAAATTATAAAAGTAATGCATTTTTATGGTAAAATTTCAAACAATAGAAGAGAGAGACTGTGTAATTTACTTCTCTACTCCAGGGAGCCACTGACAACTGTGAATTGTCCTCTTTTTGGCTTATTATAATCCTTTTTATGTCATAAATACTTTTAGCCTCTCAAATGATAACAAGTACACGTGTGCTGTCTAATAGTTGGGTGAATAGATTCATGTGTCTGAAGCCACACAACACTAACGACAGCTGGGTCTTGTCACTCCCTGCCCCTGGGCTCTGAGTCACAGCACTTGGAACTGCAGATCCTGCAAATTTTTGTACCCATGTGCTTGGTTTCCTTGTAGCTCTCACAGCCAGCATTTTGACATTTTGATTAGGTTGAGCAAGGAAGAGAAACTTTAGTTATTTATCACCTTTGTTCATGTCAGACTTTCCTTTAATTATTATTTTTTAAATCCTGTTCTTAAAATGTGGAGCTGAGATGTGATTGGTCCAAGTTTGTGGCAGAAGGGCAGAGCTATGTAGAAGACAAACACCAGGTCTGAAGTGAGGCGTCATTGGGCCATCACTCAGCCCTACCGTGTATGGCGTGGGTTTACCTGAATAAATTACCTAAGCTCTGTGAGCATCTGTAACTCAGCAACAAAGCACAGAGAGCAGTACATTTCCTGTTTAGGTCACAGTGAAAGCCCTATGAGTTAATGGTGTGAAATTGACTTGTACATTGCAAATTACCATGTGACCCATGTATCACCCAAGTATCACCCACGTGACCCTCGGTTAACAATATCAAGACTCTGGCATGGGCTCCCAGCACGGGAATCCAGGGTGTCAACTCCTCTTCATCTTGACATAGTCTAAGATGAAGGTTGGCTCAGCCATTCTCCTTTGCAGCCATTAATCTTGTCACAACCACCATTATATAAGTTATACAAATAAAGGCAGACATTTTTCCAATTTTATAGATGAAGACACTGAGGCTCAGAGAGGTTGAATGACATGCTGTAGTGAATTGCAGCATTGTGACCTGAAGCCAGCATGTCCAGTCATTTCTCTGCCTGCTCTCAGAGTCATCCCTTGACTATTGGTGATCTACACTCATGTGTAGTGGTCTATACTTAGGTGTGTACCCTTTTCCATCACCCCATTGTCCCTAAATTCTTTGCATCCTAGCATCTCAAGAAATCTGTCCAAACTACTCTTCCTAAGTCCAGCCAAGCCTTTTACATCCCCAGCTCAATGAGTTTTTTGTCTGTAATCTTCCAACCTGCCCGTTTTGCAACATGTGCCTCGTAAGGCCACTTTCAGAAACCTATCCCTCAATTTCAATTCAACGTCCAGAGAACTTCATGGACATCTGCTCTGTATTAGGGTCTTAGGACCTGGTGCTGTGCAGGAAAGAAAGATAAACAATATTTACTCTCTAGGCTCTGAATTTTCACTATTTCCTAGTCTAATGGAAAAAGATACAAGCTGACAGTAACACGATATAACAGACATCCGCTTTCCATTGTCTCCTCCTATCCTTCCCATTACTGCCTTTGATTCATCATGGAAGTTTTCCTCCTTCTCCTGTCCCTGAAGTCCCCAAAAGGGAACATCTTCAAGAATTTAACATTTTCATGGCAATCATAATGATGATGATGATAATGATCCTCCTCCTTATCATCATTGTCACGTCATTGTAACAGATCTATTGAGCACATATTATGTTCTAGACACTGTGCTAAGCAATTTACTTGCATTTATTTCATTTGAATCATGCAGTAATTTAATAATGTTGATACACTTATCTGCATTTCCCAAATGGGGAAAGGCCAGTTGATGCTCCCATGTTCCTAACTGTATTCCAGATGCTTACTCGCGGGCCTCTGCTGGCTTCATATGATCTTTGGGATGTGGTTATCTATGCCTGCATGCAGCTACCTTCCATCTTCATCTCTAGTCTGGACCATTTCCCCAATGTTCTCAACCAATCTTTACATCACTTTTTCTGTAAATATCAACTTCACTCTCCAAATTGCTTGGTGATAGATGCTGGAAACTAGGTTCTTTCTGACTCTTCTTTCTTTTTTTGGAGGGGGGGACAGAATCTCACCCTGTCTCCCAGGCTGGAGTGAAGTGGCACAATCTTGGGTCACTGCAACTTTCACCTCCCGGGTTCAAGCGATTTTCCCACCTCAGCCTCCCAAATAGCTGAGACTATAAGTTTGCACCACCATGCCCAGCTAATTTTTGTATTTTTAGTAGAGACAGGGTTTCACCACTTTGGCCAGGCTGGTCTTGAACTCCTGATCTCCAGGGACCTGCCCTCCTCGCGCTCCCAAAGTGCTGGGTTTACAGCCATCAGCCAATTCTTTCTACAAAGTGGTTTGCATAATTTTCAGGGACCAACTCAAATACCAGTTCCTCATGATCTCAATCACCCCAGTTGAAAGAGATCCCTCCCTCCTCTGCAGTTCTGCAGAGCACATTTTGCATGACACTTGGAGCTTCTACCAAGTTCCATAATGAATGCCATATACTATTTGTGAACATTTCTTATTATCTTTAATAGATGGTGTCTTTTCATTTATGTCCTTATATTAATGAGAAAGTATATACTCAAGTCCTATGTTGCTTTCACCCTTTAGATAATAAGAATTATTTTCAAATCCTAGAGTATCTCCTAGGATGCTCAGGATGAATATCACAAAGAAGAAATACTTCCAGAAGAGCAAGGAAATAGGGAGAGAACAGTAGCAGCTAATGCAAAGACAACAAATGATTTACAACATGAGAACAATCTGAACACACTTATGGTTTAACAAAACATAAATAAATTCGTGAGATACTGAGTGTGGCAGGCAGCCACTGCAATGGCCCCCAGTAACCCTTGCCTTTAGGGAATGCTGGTATCGTGCTTTGGTGCAGATATGATATGGAGGGTGGAGCAGAGGCTTATGAGACTGAAGGCCAGAAGACCAAGAGCTGAACTCAGGTCTGCTGTGTTTCGGATGCCAGTGGGAGAAAGAGGCAGACCTGAGTGCCAGAGCCATCTAGAAGAAGCAATCAAGAGTTAATACAATGGTTGAGCATGAGAGAAGCAATTAAGAGAGGAGGCAGCCTAGGGATACTGTTCAGGGGACAGGGTAGGTGGCGGTCCCATCAATTAGAATTAAAGTGGTGATGCCAGCAGGCACTGAGGGAGACATGCTATGGAGAGAGAGCCAGGCTTAACATATGGCATCTTTTTAAAACAGGCTCAAACTAGTTTAGGAATTTACAGGCTTAGCAGTGATGTGGGGTTGCATGCCTTTCCCAGAGTTTCTAAAATCATGCCTGACAAGATGGGGACTGACTCTCCTAATTCCTATAGGCAAAATCAAGGAGGGGATAAGTGTATGAGAAATTCATATAAAGCTACCCTAAAGACATTTTTCTACCCATTTGGCAGCAATATTTTCACCACAAATAGAATGAAGTGCATAATACTACCTCACCTTCTGTTTACACTGGGTAACTCCAACCGGGTTCTTTCTATTTAATCATGGCCCTGTCCCAGTAAAAACACACCCTATACTACCTCTGGCCACCAGCCTACACAGTTCTGATGGCTGCTTCCTCAGGGAGGACTTTTAGGGGACAGGTGGCTCTTACAAAGCAATCATGAGCTCAACTCATCAATGGGCTGGCAGCTGAGGTGGGGAAGTGATGCATCCAAGGCAAAAGGTGTGACCCAGGGGACTTTTTGTTAAAACAGGTCGTCTGCCACTATCCTTTCTTCAGAACTGGTAATTGAAATGAGCCTATTGACTGATGTGGTAATAGGCCATGGATGACTATTAAATGATTTGCACATGGTGGCTAGTATCTATGGAGCTGTTATTACGTACCTGGCATGGCAATGGTGCTTTAATGCATTTCTCTGACAAAAAAAGGCATAAAGTAGGTATCAGAATTTTTACTTAAGGATAAGGAGGAGGCACAGTGGCTCACACCTGTAATCCTAGCACTTTGGGAGGTCAAGGTGGGTGGATCTCCTGAGGTCAAGAGTTTGAGACAAGCCTGGCCAACATGGTGAAACCCAGTGTCTATTGAAAATACAAAAATTATCTAGAAGTGGTGGCGGGCACCTGTAATCGTAGCTACTTGGGAGGCTGAGGCAGAAAAGTTGCTTGAACCTGGGAGGTTGAGGTTGCAGTGAGCCCAGATCACGCCATTGCACTCCAGCCTGGGTGACAGCAAAACTCTGTTTCCAAAAAAAAAAAAAAAAAAAGATTAAGGAAACTAAGGCTAAGACAAACGAAATAACTTTCTAAAATTTGAAGCCCAGGACCATCAGGCTCACAGATTATGCTAACTACTTGCTTTATTATTCAGGTTATTGTAGTTATATTTTATATCCATGTTTCTGTCAAAGGTTTTTGGTGTGGGGTTTCCCAGTGGAAAGGTAAATGATTATATATGGTGGAGAATAAATGAGAGAGGGCTTGGGGAATGGAAGCCACACCTCACCCACTTGGCTCAGACCACAGGGCTACTCCTGTTTTGAGAATTTCCAGCTAACTGCCTTATAAAATTACATAGCATGGTATTTATGGTGCTAGAGCACCAAGAAAAATTCAATAAAATGATGAATTTGACATCTCTGACTCAATCTCCTCTTCCATATTTTTCAAGAGGTTTTATGATTGCATATATTAGGGGCCAGCAAACCTTTTCTGTAAAGGGCTAGACAGTAAATATTTCTAGGCATTGCTGGCCATGTGGCTTCTGTTGCAACTACTTAATTCTGCAGCTATAGTACAGAAGCAGTCATAAACAATACATAAACAAATGGCCATGGCTTTGTTCCAATAAAAATTTATTTATAAAACTGGGTGGCAACTGGATTTAGCCAGCAGTCCATAGTTTTCTGACCCCTGGCATAAATTTATGAGACACTGAGTGTGGCAGGCAGCCTCTACGATTGCTGCCAAGGATTCCTGTCTTTGTGAAATGCTGTGATTCATGCTCTGGTGTAAGCCACTCCTTTTGATTATGAGCTGGCCTCATTCACTCATTTCTAATAAATAGATTATAAGTCTATGAAGCAATAGATTATAACCTAATCTCAGAAGTCATGAGAGTAAGCTATAAAAAGGCTGTGGGTTCAGTTTTGGATGCCTTCTCACTCTTCTTGCTCTTGTGGAAGCCTGCTGCCATGTTTTGAGTCGCCCTATGGAGAGACCTACAAGGCAATGAACTGAGGGGCTTCTCTGGCCAACAGCTAGTCAGTCACTAAGGCTCTTAATATACCAGCCCACAGGGAACTAACTCCCTCCAATAACCATGTGAGTGAGTTTATGGAAGTAGATCCTTCCCTGTGTAGGCTTCAGATACAAATGCAGCCCTGGCTGACAGCTTAACTGCGACTTCATGACTGAGCTTGATCTAGAAGCACCCAGCTGGGCCATGCCTAGTTTCTACAATCCACAGAATGTGTGAGATAACAATGTTTCTCGTCTTCATCCACTAAGTTTTGGGATAATTTGTTATGCAGCAATGGATAACTAATATAGTGAGGTATAGTGCAAAGAATGGAAGAGATTTAGAGACCTATGTTTCAGTCCCAGTTTTTTTACAAATTTGCTATGTAAATTTAGACTAACTGTTGACCAAGTCTAGCCCTTCCATTTTTTATTCTGCCTACAAAAGGGAAAGGAATCATGGATTTCTGAGGTCATTACAGGTCTAAGTCTTCATGGTTCATTGAATTGTCAAGCTGATTCCTGCATCTAAACCAGAGTCTTGAATTGGAAGCCCATGAGTAAAATATAGTCCATCGAAGTATTTTGATATTAGGTGTCAACATTTAAAACACTAAAAATTTTGCATAAAAATTCAGTTTTCTGACTTCCTCAGAAAAATTCAATGATTAAACCACCAGGGCCCACGTTTCTACATGTAACACTGAGATTTATCCAAAAATCTCTTGTCCCGTTACATCACAGGTCCCCAACCTCTGGGCCATGGACCAGTACCCGTCCCTGGACTGTTAGGAACCGTGCCACACAGCATGAGGTGGGTGACAGGCAAGTGAGCGAAGCTTCATCTGTATTTAAAGCTGCTCCTCATCACTTGCATTACCACCTGAGCCCCACCTCCTGTAAGATAAGTGGCAGCATTAGATTCTCATAGGACTGCAAACCCTATTGTGAACTGTGCGTGCCAGGGATCTAGGTTGCATGTTTCTTATAAGAATCTAATGCCTGATGATCTGTCACTCTCTCCTATCACCCCCAGATAGAGCTCTTTAGTTGCAGGAAAACAAGCTCAGGGCTCCCACTGATTCTACACTATGATAAGTTGTATAATTATTTCACTGTATGTTACAATGTAATAATAGAAATAAAGTGCACAATAAATGTAATGCACTTGAATCATTCCAAAACCATCTCCCCCACCTTGGTCCATGGAAAAATTGTCTTCTACAAAGCTAGTCCCTGGTGCCAAAAAGGTTGGGGACAGCTTCCTTACATAGAATATGAGTGCTCCAATGCACTGCAGTACCCAATTCCTTACTATCTCTCACTGGCCTGGCTCTGATGGTCTTTGGAGAACCACTTGAATGATGCTTATTTTGAGATCTTCCCTAAAACAGAGAAATTATGTTCTTTTACCATCTGCTTGTATCTTGGGTCCAGGACACTGGCCAATTTTTATTTCAATATGGCCTTTGCGAAGTTCTGTGATGTCATAACATCTAGATCCACAAGTCCCGCTCACACAAACTTCAGGGAAATCCCAGATCAGAGCCACATATTCTTACATTAGAACATTAGAGCTCTTATGTTCTTCTCTCTCTTCCTCACATCTAGAATACATCTTATCCCTCCCTCTTTACAGAAAAAGACACACACTTCTACATACACACACACATTTCTAGTTTCACACCATTGTGGTTGGTAAAACATACTTCATATGATGTTAATCTTCTTAAATTTATTAACTTGTTTTGTGGCCTCACATGTTATCTACTCTGGAAAATATTCTACGTGCCCTTGAGAAGAACGTGTATTCTTCTGTTGAATAGAATGTTCAGTATATGTCTGTCAGGTCCATTTGGTCTTTAGTGTTGTTCAAGTCCACTGTTTCTTTGTTGTGTTTCTTTCTAGATGACCTATCCAATGTTGAAAGTGGGGTGTTGAAGTCTCTGATATTACTGAATTGCTGTTACTCCTTTCAGTTCTCTAAATCTTTGCTTTATATATTTATAATTGTTTTATTTTCTTGATGAATTGACCACTTTATCATTATATAATAACTTTATTTGTCTCTTGTTACAGCTTTTGACTTAAAGTCTCTTTTATCTGATGTAGGAACAGCCACTCTTGCTCTTTTTGGTTACCACTTCCATGGAATATTTTTCCCATCCCTTTACTTTCAGCCTGTGTGAGTCCTTCTAGCTAAAGTGAGTCTCTTGTAGACAGCATATAGTTGGACCTTGCTTTTTGATACATTCAACCACTTTACATGTTTTGATTAGAAAATTTAATCCATTTACATTCAAAGTGATAGGTAATGACTTACTATTGTCATGTTGTTAATTGTTTTTCTTTAGTGTTTGTAGTTCCTTTGCTTATAAAATCAATGCACTATTTTTTTTCTCTTTGTTAACTTCAGATCTCAGAGTATATTTAAGAATATCACATCTTTGAGCAGTTGCCCATTAATTCAATCTCAAAACTGGGCATCTTCTTTAAGTCATGCTATGAGTTCCTCATGCCATTCTGTGCAATGGCAAACCAAAAATGTGTTTTAGTTTTTCTCAAAAACACATTGAAATCTCTTTATCTAGTTTTTGGAGACGGAAGATTATAGGAGTGGAAATCAGTACCCTCCTGTTCTCTATTCCTCTCTGATACAAGCATGTGCACAGAGGTGGTTTTTGGCATTTCTCCATTTCCTGGGGACAGCTTCTTTGAAAAGGAAGTCTTTTTCTCTATTTTTATTTCCATAAAGGCTACTCAGCCAAATAAATGAGGTAGCTGTTTCTTTCCCTACCCTGCAATCTATTTGTTCTTTTTTCAAGGTTCCAACTTCTTCTTACCTTTTTTTCCTTTTTTCCAGGAAGAAAAAAAATATTTAATTTGATCCTAACTTGAAGAATCCAGGTTCAACACCTCCTGAGATACAAAAAGAGGGTGACAGTGTACCTTAATGATCCAAGAAGGCATGAGGTGGAGCAGGAAAGAAATCAAATGCTACTTTGGTGAACAATGAGATCCTAGCTCTTGGGGAAGTGAGAAGCATCTCAGTAATCAGGGAAATATTTCTTTCTTCACTTGGGGTTGAGACTGTACTGTCCTCACAACCTAACATTTGTCCTGGGGAGTTGTACAGATGTTCTATCTAACAGGTTCATGAGCTAAGAAATAAGTTTGTTTGCACTCACCCTGGTGGGCATGCATGGAGACAGCCTGAGGGTTCGACCAGTACCCAGTAGACAAGGCATTTTAGAGAACTCAGCCCCTCAGGCTTAATGTTCTCTGGAGCTTGGGTGTCACTAGATACCCATGATATTCCTGCTGCTATTCTCAGTGACTGCTCCAGCCTGTTTAAGCGAAGGGAAAGAGGTGCTGGAACAATCAAGTGGTGTCCTCACTGCTGGCAGGTGGGAGGGAGGGAGTGAAGGAGAGCGGTGAAGCAAGACTGCACTCCCAAGCAGTGAAGGAGAGAAGGAGGGTGAATGAAGGAGGAGGACAACTTGGGGTCAAGAGACTGAGGCTGGAACACGTAAGAGCCCACTGGCCTTTTAAAGGACCTAAGCAAAGAAACTTCCCTTTTGGAATCTGGGAAAAGCATTAATTTTCCAGACTTTAATTTGTTGCCCTTCTTTGATGAAATCTCCAGAAACTTTGATAAAATGTTCTGTTTGTACTGCATAGGTCTCGTACAAAAGTGTAAGGGAGTTTGAGGGAACTTTTGGTCAGGGGAGGGTGACTGTGGTCCACTGCAACCCTCCTGTGTGCTCCTGGAGAGAGGGCATCATCTTTTACATGGAGGTGACCACAGCAGAAGACCATGACCCCCAGCAGGGCCTCGGTTCCAGGCAACGCTCACAACACATAGGAGGACCCAGAAACACTTTGTTCAGGAAGAACCACAACTCTGTACTTCAAGCAATGGTTCTGAGCTCTGGATGCAGAATGAACACAATGAGGTATCTTAATAATAACAGCTAAAGATCCACCCCAGACAAGGAAGTCACATCACTGCAGGAGGTGCCTTGGCATAATATTTAATTTTCAAAAGCAGCTGAGATGGGGATGAGAACCAGAGGATTAGAGGAAGATGACTCCTTAAGGATGAGGACACTCATCTGGCTTAGAGACACAACCTGGCCTGTAGCTGATACCGTCTGCACCTCAGGCTCCTCCCTGTAAAACAACTCAGTGTCAATGGTAAACTCAAATGTGAAGCTTTTCCAGTTCCTTTGGTTTTGCTCACCTGTGACGTGCACCACACCTAGCATCGAACATCGCAGCTGAATATTCAGTCCTGAGTCACCATGACTCTGCCATCAGCTGGTCAGGCAGATGAGAATTCCAGGAAGCCCGAGGCTGGCGCATCCCCCTGCCGGGAAGGGACCTAGCCTTTGCCCTGTCTCGTGGTGTGAATGTGCATTCCTGGTGCTGAGATTGCCCAGCCACCTTTACTCCCAGTCATGCTAGAGTCTGCCAGGCTTTCCTCACCTGGAGGAGGACACATGAGTCTTGTGGGAGGAATTGGATAGAAAGACACCCCCCTTTAGAGGAAGAAGGATGGAGAAGCACAATGATGCCGAAATGCTGCCTTCCAAGACTTCTTCAGCTGTAGCAACTTTCCCCACTTCCAGGCACTACCACATGCCTGGTCAATCCTACAGAGAGGCTGAGAGTCTCTTTGTCACCTGGTCCCCCCATTGCTGCCCCTCTACCCGGCCTGGCAGCTGATGCTTCCCTCCATGGGCTCCCCCACCCAGGATCTAGGCGCTGAGTCAACTGGGAGGCAGGAAGGGAGGACAGAGTCCCTTTGACTCTCCCCACATTCTGGTGGGGCTGATCTGTCACTCTTCCGGGTGCCAGCCACTGGGCTAGTTCTTAACTTCCTTCCTTCATTTCTTCCTTCCTTCCTCCCAGTTTCATTCCTCCCTCCTTTTCCTCCTTCTTTCCACAAACATAGGCATCGAGCTAAATATTCAGGAAAATAAATGGTGCACAGGTCACAGGCTCTGGGTGGCACAGGAGTCTGTAGAGGACAGCAGACACAGGAGGCAGTTGCATGGTGACAGACTCCAGCTCCAGGTGGGCCCAGCAGTGGAGGAGTCACAGGAGCGGCAGCCAGCCACATTCGGGCCTGAGTGTCAGCTTCCCGGAGAAAGTGTAGTCAGAGCTGCAAGCTAAAGGGTGAACAGGGGAAAATGTGAGCAATGCCCCAGGTGTAGGAACCAGAGGGTACAAAACTGGAAAATAAAAAGCATGTGAGTTCAGGAATTTAAAATACCTTGGGGCTGGAAGTGGTGGCTCAACACCTAAAAAAACTAGCAGTGTGCAATGGTGCATGCCGGTGGTCCCAGGTATTTGGGAGGCTAAGGTGGGAGGAGCACTTGAGCCCAGGAGGTAGAGGCTGCAATAAGCGGTAACAGTGCCACTGCACTCCAGCCTGAGCAACAGAGTGAGTCCCTGTTTCAAAAAACAACAACAAGAAAAAATACTTTGGGCTGGTTGGAGATGAACAAGGCAGCAGTTCTGGCTGGGGAGTTTAGCGGGGGCTTCTGTACAAGGGGTCTTGGGGACCCTATTGGGAAGTTTGGGGCTAACCAGGAGGACAGTGAGCAGCTTGTGATGGGGTTTAGGCAGTCAATGCGGGGGTCAGACTAGGCTTCAGGACAGTCAGCCTGGTACCTAGGGAGGCCTGGGAGCACCAGGCTCAGCGTCAGGGAGGCTCTTGACCTCCTTCCTGTCTGGTGCCCATCGCCCCTTTACGGGCCACCTGGCTTTGGTTTGGATGTCTCCGTCTTGCTTTTAGACCAAAACCGGTGGCTGAATCCATGCCCAGGGCCTGGGACCTGGCTTTGCTCTCTGCTGGCCTCCCTGTGCTTGCTCATCGAGTCTTTCCCACTTGTCATTTTCAGTTTCCATGCTGTACCCAGGATCCTACCATAGGAAGGAAGCCAGTTCGCTCTGCTACATTGAATTTATGCGTCTCTCTTGCTTTTCTGCACCATGCAGACCCACTCGGGGACCAGGGGAGCCTCCTGTAGTGATGGGTCTCATGTCTGAGCCTGACCCTTCTCTCTCCCTGCAGCCCTGCATTGGAGTCCCAGGACACGAGAAGCTGGCAATTCAAGGCCTGACAACAGGCTTAAGCCAGTGTCTAGAGGCATGGAACTGTGCCTCTAGTTCCATTTATATTTTTGAGTGGGAAATATGAACAGTGGATTCAAACCTCTCCTTGGAAGTTCAAATGACAGGAGGAGAAGCCTGCTATGCTAACATGGATCAAAGGGATGGAGACTTTTGAGTGTAAAATCATCCACCGGCTTCTCCCAATACCCACTGCTGGGACAGACACAAATCTCCCTCCTTCCAGGACCATCTTGCCAGGCTCCTGTCTGCTTCCTTCTCCTGAGACAGGGCAGGGGTCCCTTATCTCTTAGTCTTGAGGTGAGCTGTGAAATACCTTGAGATGGCTTCCCAGAGCGGCATGGAGCAAAGCTCACAAGTCATTTTCCACCCTGCCCAAATCCAGGAACACATGCATTTGGCAGAAACCCCAACTCCTTTCACACATTCCCACCACAGTGAGAATAGGAGACTCCGCCCCTTTCTTCCACTTTACCAGCTGTGTGCTCTTGGGCAAGTTTCTTAACTTGGGTGAGTTTCCACTTCTTCATGTCCAAGTAATAATAACCACTTCATTGCAGATCAAGTGTAAAACATAAAAAGCAATTCTTAATGCATGGTCTTCTGTTATCCTTGTTATGACCACAGTGATTGTCACAAGCACTATTTATTAAGAGAGGGAGAGCTAGAAGTGACGTTGTGGGTGAACAGCATGTCTCCTATATTCTACGGCATAGGAACCATGTGGCATAAGGGAAAGTGCACCAGGTTGGGGGCCCATCAGTTTCCACCATTAACTTGCTTCATGCAGACATGCCTCTTGAACCTTAAAATAGACATGGTAAAAGTCTGCTGGCTCCTGGCTGTGTGGCTCTGGGTAAGTGAGTTCACATTTCTGAGTCTTAAGTATCTCATCTACAGTGTAGGCATATTCATGCCACTCCATAGATGACCTGGGATCAATGCATGGGCGGTGCTCGGCACAGAAGCTGGAGTGGAGAAAGCATTCAGTAAGCTCCAACGAGCTGGGAGAGGTGGTGTTGCTAGGTCTACCTGCAGGAGGTGCTTGGGCCCCTGGGAGTTTAGCAACAGAGTTCTTCTATACCTGTATGCTGGACAGATCTGGTCTGAGCTCTGCATCTGCCTGGGCCTTGTCTGTGCCGGTGCTTGTGTCCCATCCCAGGGGCCTCCCTCTGGGTAACCACAGTGACCACGAAGCCCTTGCTAGCCTGTCTATAGGGTGGGCTACTCCTTTGTGTGCATTCTCAGATTTAGTCAGGACAGGCACATGTTTCCCTGCAGGCGAGACCTGTGACTAAGCTTCCAGTGGAGTCACCTGTAGAACAACCTGCAGGTGATCTAACACACCCGTGGCATCCCATGGGGAGGAATCCTGGAAACAGCTTGAACCTCTGGCATCCTGCGATCCCGAGGACCATCAGGATTTTAGAGATGCCATTTATGGTCTTCTGAGTGTGGCGGACCCTTGCTTCTCTGCAGAGTGAGGGAGGAAGCCGAGGACCCTGGGTGAATTTCTTTTATAATTTTGGGTGAATTTCTTAATTCATTCCGAACAGATGACATTATTTGTGTGCATAGAGGGGTATGTGGAAGGCAATTCCAAAAGAGGAATTTTAGTATTCTGAGGTATTGCAGTGTTATTGTTAAAGCACATAGCCTATGGTACTGCAAGAGTAGGATTTTGAAAGGTTTTCTTCTTTGTTTTGTTAAAAATCCATCTTATCCCATTATTGTTGCAGTAGGTTAACAGACAGCCATTTTCAGTTGGTTGATAATCAGCCTGGGAGAGCTATGCTGCCCGTCTCTGCCTCATGTGAGGAAGGATAGGGGCTTGGAGGAGTTTCAGTGGGAAGGACCTGCTCATATCGCCCAGCAAGGATTGTCATGGGGGTGGGATTTGGTGATAATAAATCACCTTCGGAGATGGGTGGCAGGACAAGAGCCTCACCTTTCTGTGACGATTATTTGCATTCAAGTGTTCCAAGAGGTGGCAAGACAGACCTGACTGCCTTGATCTGAAGAGCCCAGACCAACTCTAAAAGGTTTAGACTTTGAGCTTGTGTGGGAGATTGGCTCATGCATGGGTGGTTTAAAAATCCATTCTAGGCCGGTCGTGGTGGGTGATGCCTGTAATCCCAGCACTTTGGGAGGCCAAGGAGGGTGGATCACCTGAGGTCAGGAGTTCGAGACCAGCTGGCCAACATGGTGAAACCCCGTCTCTACTAAAAATATAAAAACTAGCCAGGTTCAGGTGTGCACATCTGTAATTCCAGCTATTTGGGAAGGTTGAGGCAGGAGTATCCCTTGAACCTGGGAGGCGGAGGTTGCGGTGAGCCAAGATTGCACCACTGCACTCCAGCCTGGGTGATGGAGTGAGACTCAGTCTAAAAAAAAAAAAAAAAATCCATTCTGGCTATAATTGCATAGTGAGACACTATGTGTAAATTATACATGTATCTGCATGTGTGTGTTTTAGTCACTAAATTACTCCACCTGTATGATGTTAAAATGCAATATGTATTCTTTCCAGGTTGACAACTATCTCGAATCACATTTGCTGTATCTTATTTGAATCAAGAAGATTCAATTATTAGTTAATAAAATGAATCACCTGTACAGTCCCAATACTGTATGGTTCATAGGAATTTCATGTAATCTTTGTTTTCAAAATCAAAGAGCAAACAACGTGTGTTCAAATTATCAAGGAAGGGCCAAAGCTCAGTGAGGTCAAGGACGGCAGACATAGGACAAGGACGCAGGCATTTTCATTCCTAGTTCAGGGCTTTTTCCAGGATGCCATGAGGCTCATTGGGGCATGGCTTCAATTTAGTGACATCCTGGGTCCCTTTTCTGTCTATGATTCCATGAGGGAGGGACAGAAGGTGCACATGTCATGCTGTCAGAGGCAGATGCTCAGTGTGGAGACTCAGGGGCCAGGGGACTTTTCACTTCTCCAGCCCCAACACGTCGAGCCTCCCTGTTAGCTCTGCCGCCTCCCGTGGGGTAAGTGTTAAGCCCCTGAAAATGAAGGGGTTACAAGTTCTGTTGTGAGGCCCTATAATAAAGGAGAGCTAATAAAGGCTTCGCCCCACCTTCTGACCAGATTGTAGAGATGAGTACCCCAATGGGACGGGGAGTGGTTGGAATGAGGAGAGGAAGAAGGCGGTGAAACCAGGGGATTGTGAGAGATAAGACAAGGATGCGGGCTTCAGGCTGTGACTAGGATGTGGCCGCGATCACAGTGGGGTTTCCCAGCATCCCCTGGTGAAATCTGCCCCAGTGCTTGGATTAAAAAGGACAGTAGTGGTGCACTGAAGAAGACCAGTGGTTGAGGCTTAGGTTAATTCACTCATTCCTTCCTCTATTTCATATTTATTGTTCTTCAGTGGTTACTAAAGATGTAAATATGAGTATTTATGTACCAGGCCCTGTCCTTGAGGAGCTCAAGGTCTAGTGGGAGGACTATAAATATGTAAATAAATGATGGCAACAGAGTGACAAGACCCTATGATAGGATGCACCGAAGTGTCTGAGGGGCAGAGACGTAGAGCAATTGATAATGCCAGGCAGGAATGCGGGGAGAGGGCCAGGAAAGCTTCAGAGTGGGGTTGAAATTTGAGCCAATTTGAGTACTAGGAGGGAACAGCTCTGTCATTCCTGGTTACTGTGTCATCTCAGGAAGCTGATTCCTTAGAGATACAGTGGAGATGATCACACTTATCTCAGAAGAAAGAGCTATGTGAAAAGTATGAGGATTTGCCAAGAAAAACATCCTGGGCCCCCATTGGACCAGGCCTAGTCCTTCTGCCCCTGCTGGCTGGCTGGAGCTCCGGCCCATCACCAGGCACCCTCCTGCCCCTCTTAGGGTTGGCAGAGGGTTCACGCACCTCTGAGTGCCAGCCAGAGAAGCAACTTGCGATGTCCTGGGTCTCCCAGCACCTCTTCCCAGCTTCCCCTGACCACAGGCTGAAGGTGTCTTAGCAAGGACAAGGCAGATGAATCCTCAAGTTGAAAACAGATCTGGACGGAGGGCAGGATGGGGTGGACATAATCACTACTTTTATTTGTCCTCGCACTGAGGATCATACTCCGGTCTCTCACATGGATCCCTGGGGAGCCAGTCCACGGAGCACAGCCGAGAGGCAGTCCAGGCTTAGTCAGAGCCACAGACCGTGGGTGAGGCTCCTGCTCTTCGGCTGCAGAGAGCTGCCTCCTGGCCTCTGAAGCCGATCCACCTGGGCCACCCTGCGGTCACAACTCCAGAAGACAGGAGGCAGGAAGAGGAAGTCTCTACTCTCCTTATCCACAGCGTTGTCTGTGCTGCTGGCCTGTCCCTGTTCCCAAATAAGAGCAGATGCCTGACAATGCCTCAATAAATATCCCTGCTGATTCAGTCTGAACTTAATTCATTTCCGCACCCCCGGCGTGAATGGTACCCTGTGCAGGGCAGAGACGAATGAGGCACTGTAATCAGTGCCAAGAGATTCAGGCCAGAAGCTTTGGTAACCTGGGCCCCCTGGCTCTCCCCTGCGGTGACCCCAGCTGCTCCTGTCCTTAGCCCAGTGCCCAGCTTCAGAACAAGTGGTCAAAAAAAAAAAAAAAAAAAAAAAAAAAAAAAAAATCCCATCTGCAGGCGCCGGAAGGGCAGCGCGCCCTCGCGTGGTAGGTGTTGGTATTGCCGGGATGCCTGCCTGACCCAAGCCTTTCAGGCTTTGAAAAAGAGCGTTCTGGGGATTCTGTCTTAGAACCACGCCAGGACATTTTAGGACTGAGTTCAATCCTGTCACTTTACAGATGGGGACAGGGATGCTATGGAGATCTGCCCAATATCCCAGAGGGGCGGAACAAGAAAGTAAGCCCCAGTTTTGGGGGCTCTCACTTGGTCTCTGGGCTGATCCAGTCAGATTCATTCTCAGGCCTTACAGAGACACTTTACATTGAAAAAAAGAAAAAGAAAAAACAGCCAAAAAGTAAACAAAAATTAAAAAGGGAACAGAGCAACTCCAGAGCTCACCACTGAGGACTCCAGGAGCCTGCACCGCCTTCCCTCCCGTCCCTTCCCTTCCCCTCTCCTCCCCTTCCCTTCCCTTCCCTTCCGTGTTTGCTTCCCGGAAGCCTCAGCAAACACTCCCAGACAGCCTGTTTTGTGCTGGGCAACGCCATAGGTACTAGTTTTTTTACCATGCCTTACAAGTGGACAAACACTTCCTTTGGAGAAATTTTACATAAGAGGGAGATGACATTTTCCACAATTTAGATCAGCCCAGGCCCAGGGTCCACCTTAAAAATATTAAATAATACAGCCTAGGGCCCACGCGAGTGCCCTGCTGGCCGGCCCTGGACTCTGCAGAGGGCTCCCTGGGGGTTCTCACCTGCAGCACCCTGGCAGGGAGGGACGGGGTTCCCATCCTCCCCATCTCACCTGGTGGAGACCCCTTGGTCCTTGGGTGAGGCTCTGCTTCCACACCCCCAGGCTGCTGTGCTCTGATGGAGTCTGAGATCGAGCCCACCTCCTTCATTTCATTTCTGAGGAACATGAGGCCAAAAGAAGGTGCTGCTGTCTAACGGCACCTGCCCAGAAGTCCCATCCTTATGGAACCAGGCTCCAGCCCCCCAGTGGCCCTTCATGTTATTTTGTGTTTCTGGTACACAGATCTGCTGGTGTGGGTTGGTGGCACTCCTGGCTGAGAACGTGTCTGCCAGTTCTGAGGCATGCACGTTTGCTGCGTTTCACTCTCAGCCAAGGCTAATAGGGGCCAATGCCCTTCAGGAAGTCATTCCCTTCAGGGATGGAACAATGGCTCTCCCCTCTAGAGGCATGACAGAGAGCCCTGCAGCGGTGCCTGTGCCTAAGAGAGACTTACTCTGTGCACTTCCAGAGGTCTGTCTGATTGCATTTAGAAAAGAAAAAAAACAAGAGTGAGTTTAGAAGAGGTTGCGAGAGGCCAAAGGCAAGATGACAAATATTCATTGCAACTTGAGCTGGGAATTGAGACTGTAGCCCCAAAGTGTACATTCTAGTGGGCTCTTTACAGCACCTCAGCTCATTCAGAAGCACACTGGACTCAGGCAGCGACAGAAACAGGAACACAGAGCATCTTCCCAAGCCACCTGTCAGTCAGGAAAAAGCTTGGCATGTGGTCTCTATCTCTCAGCATGTTTGTTTTTATTATTTTTTAAATTCCTTACTTGTAATTGGTGTTCACTACTATTGGAATTAGTATTCAACAAATTCAAGCAGGATCCAGAGAAAGGCAAAAGGCAGCTAAGCATTCAGGAATCTCCATGAACAGGGGCCCTGCCTTGCTCCAATTGCACAGAAATATGTTTTTTAGAAGGATCATAGAAGAATGAATGCTGGCTGATAGGCATACTGAGAATGCCATTTATGAATTGCTAGCCTGGGGGAAATGTGCTTCACCTGATGATTTTCATTTTTCTTTCATTCCTAAAATGGACCTGCTTACCCCCTATTATACACACTATCAGCTTGTTGTATTAATAAATTGAAATAGCCTAAGAGTAAATGCTTGAAAACAACACTATCCTACTGAAATGTGACCTGTTGGTGTTATTGCTTGAGGACGCATAAAGGGAAAAGGGATAAGGTGCATTACCATCTGGGTGAATAAGCAGGAGAAGGCTAGTGCTGGGTGTGTAAGAAAGAAGTCATCAGATGGAAAACAGAGCAGCAGATTGGTTGCATTTATGTCTCTCTGAAAATCAGTTTGGAGCTCGGTTTCTAGTCAGTTCCCATCTCCAGATACTTAAGAGATATTCCCTTGACTAGGAAAGGAAAGTGGAATATCACAAAATTCTGAGACCCCTTTGAAAAGGCAGTACATGGAGAAGTAAGGAAGTTAAAAAAATGTCTTTTATCAGCTCTTCACCTTTGGTGCTAAATTCATTCAACAAATATTTATTGAACACCTACTATAAGCCACACATTCCTTTAAGCCCTTGGGATACTTCAACATCCCTGCCTTCCGGGAGCTTATATTTTAGATCCCAGATCTGCCATCCATCTCTGGTTTCTCTTTTCCTTCTTCATCTGTATTTGATACGCAACACCTATTCCAGGGATCAGAGCTAATGTCACGCTTTTTCTCACCAGAATGGCAGAAAAAAAGTCTGCAGATCCCTTGCTGCATACGGCAGATGGTATTTCTAATTCCCAGTGGAACATCCCCTATGGATACAACAGAAGAGAGTTGACATTTAACTCATATAGTGCAGAGAATAGAAGATGAACCCAGCCCACTGCCAAGGGTTATATATTCTGACAAGGCTAAGTATTTTTGGACAAGCCCCAGTTTAACCGAACTTTGGCCTCTTAGCTTTAAAACAGGAACGATAATTTATATCTGAAATGTTGCCAGGAGGATGATAGGGTGTGTTTTATGAATGCTCACCTGGCCCATCTAGGCCCTAAAAAGCCCACGCAGATCTTAAATGAGGGTCCTCGAGCCTCCTGGTGAGAGATGTGCACTAGAAGGAAACAAAGGGAGTTTTGGAAAACAGAAGTGGTCCAGAATAGGACAGGTCTTGGTCTCTAAGGAAATTAGAGGTATTAACCCATTCTCAACTTATGGCCCAATTTTTAGTTTTATGTCCTACAACGAAAAGGAGAAAATAAAACCTCTCTCCTCACCAGGACCTGTGGGCTTGTAAGTCACAAATGACCACCTAAATTTTTATAACAACAGGACATTGGGCAAGAGATGGTTGAAAGAAAGATCTTACTTATGTCAGATCTGCAAATGCTACGTACGATGACTTTAAACAGCAGCAACAACAGCAGCAACAACAACAACAGCACAGTGTTGGTCTTGCGTGATTAGGAAAACACTCTTGCACAACATCCAACCTCCAAACGGGGTCTAATCCCTGATTCTGTATCATCTCAGCCCTGTCACAGCTTGGAGGAGACAGCAAAGTGAAGAAGGTGGGGGGTCCACCTTTAGTCAAGACAGAAGAGCCCCCAGCCTGGAAGCGTGGAGACCTGGATTCTGGTCTTACTTCTTCCAATATCTCATTATGTCTCCTTAGACAACTCATTTAACTGGTTACACTTCAGCTTGCCCATCTGTAAATGTGTTCTATGTGCAAGCAGGGGGAATATTATAAGTTTGAAGACCTACTATGACCATAAAGATTCATTGCACCATGGTAAATTAACACTTTCTCTGGACTTTGGTTTTCTTTTTGTAGAGCATGGGGCTGCTATAGACAATCTCTGATTCCCTTCCAGCTCTGACATTCATATGACTATAACTTCCTTCTGAAAACTTTTCTCAGACTGCAGTGAGTGCTTGCCACTTGTATCAGAGCAAGCATACCCCTTTGTCTTGTGTCAAGACCTTTATAACACTTATTTAGCTTTTAAAAAACTTCACAGGGGAGATCAAAATTGTCCAAGACTGAGCCCCACAGTGGCCCACCTGCATCCACTAACAACATACAGACACATCTACACACTGTCCATACAGACACACACATAAATGGAATTCCTGCACTACCTTCCCCAGGGCTAACCAGGAGACATTTACCTGAGTTTGTTTGGACCAAACAAAAGAGAACAGCAAACAGAAAAAAGACCTTCATGTTTTAAGGTCCGTTGAACCTCCCTGCCCTCCCGTGAAGGAGCACAAATATGATGAATGATGGAATGAAATGGAGCGGAGAAGGCACAAAATGGGACATTTATAGGTTTTTGGGAATACTGATCAGCATGAGCATATTTATCTGCTCTACTGAGTAAGGCTGTGGGCAGAAGGTTACTGACTACTCTTCCCTTTCTGCCTAAAAATAGACTGGCTTCCTGATATTCAGAGAAGCAGGGATCAACCAATAATTCCATATACGGATATTGAAGAGGAAAGTGAACCAACATTGAGGTGTGGCTACTTAGTGCCAAGCCCTGTGCTAGGTGCTAGAGACATGGTTGTGTAAAGATATATTTTCTGCCTTCAGAAAGCTGCGGTGTCCACCACAGTTGAGCAGATAATTAGCTTATTTCCCAGCAACATGACTCCCATCTACCAACAGAAACATAGGCCCACGTGCATTAGGAGACATGTGCACGAACGTTCATTGTAGCACATTTCCTTGCAGCCAAGAGAATGCAACCAAATAGTGTATTATGACAACAACAAAACACAATGTATTTCCACACCACAACAAGAATAGAAAAACAAGAAGATGTGTACAACAACGTGGATGAACCTCACAAACGCTATGCTGAAAGAAAAAAAAAACAGAGACAACGTACCACATTATTCCAAAAATTTGGCAAAATTCACCTATTTATGAAGAGCCAGGATATTGTCTACTTTGGAGGAAGAGGACATGCTCTTCTCTCATTTGATGAAGTTATCCGCTGTCGGAGGTGACAGTCTAGTGAGGGATGCAGAGAGCCCCCGGCAACCACAGGGCTGTGTCATCCTGGGCTGGAGGGAGGTTTGTGGGCTCTGGGGTGCTGGGAGTTGTGAAAACAGAATCTGCAAGGACACGATATTTTTGTGTGTGGGTTTATATAATGTGTGGTATTAAAACACACAGTGGATAAAGCTGCACATTTTGCCCCTATTTGATTTTAGTCCCAGGATCACTTAGATTTATTTCCCTTAAAATTCTCTTAAGCAAAAGGGGCAAGAGAGAAGGATGTCTTCTCTCCTATCCCCCTGGGCTTCATAACAATTGCTGTTAGCTTCTTATTAATCCTTCCAGAGGTGTCCCATGTGTATGGAAGCAGAGATGAATCCATACCCCATTTTTATGTAAGCAATAGCAGACTCTAGATATCATTCTGGACTTGCCTATATTACTTGTTATAGCTTGCAGAGCCTTGTTATTCTTCAGATTAGACACATCATATTTTCTGCAAGCTGTCTTCTGCGTTATTTAACCAGCCTCAACAACCATATCTCACCATGAGTCTTACCTAGACATGGATTTTGAAAAAGAGACATCAAGCAGTGGTCTTGGACTTTCTGCATGGGTGAACAGTGTGAGCATCTCAAAGAGGCAGGGGCTGGGTGTTCATTTTGAACTTTCCACCTCTGGAGAGATTAAGCAGGACAATGTGCCCTGGCAGGGACTCTCTGACTCACAGACCTTTCTGTACCTTGCAAAATCACCTTCGAAGTTAAGACTTTAGGGAAAATTGGGCACTCCAAGCTGCTTTTGACCCTCCATCAAAAAAAAAGAGAGAAAAAAAAAAGTTACCTTAAATGTTAGCTATGTACTAAGTAATTGTAAAATAGTTATGAATATTTGTGAGGGTCCAACTCAGTACTTTAAGAAATCGATTAAAATGTGAAATTCTTTCTCTGTGGAGCATTTGTTCTGAAGACATCTCTGAAATCTCTCAAAAAAAAAAAAAAAAAAAAGAAAGAAAGAAAAGCAATTTCATTTGCCCCTTAGGGAAATTGGCTTCCACACCAAGATGATACCCTAAGTTCAAGGGTCCCAAGGAATAATGACAATTCTGAATGTATCCTGTGCATGGACAAAGTGGCTGTACGATACATGAACCATTGTTTGATAAAAACACTGAGTGTGGATATTCAAAAATTTGAGTCATTTTTTAAAAGTCACTAAGATGACTTATAGATAAAACAATAAAATGCATATTTTATACTTTACATTCATTCTTTCTATTTATACTACACGTTATTTGGAAAGGATCCAAGGTAAATGTGGATGGCATATTTTTTCTAGCAGTACAGTTACTAATCAAATCATTGTGAAATTATAGTTTAGAAAATTTCTGTATAGTTTGGAAACAATAAACTATGTTGGAAAATAAATTCATTTGGGGGAGAAATAAATTAATAGTATTAAATTTTATCATGTACCTTCTCCTCCAGACTTGAATCCATTCCCAAATCACAGACCCAGAAAGCAATCCCCACGGAACTATTTTGTGGATAATTCTGAAGAATAAGGCATATCATTTCAAAGAAATCAAACTAGAAAATCACGCTTATTGGCTAATTTTGTTAATATCTGGTTATAGGTTCATAGGTTCATATAATTGCAGAGTTGAAAGGAAATAGAGTTCAATTTGTGCCAACACACAAGCTAATTATTCTGATGTGCATCATACTCATGAATGGAAAAGAAGAGTGTAAGGAGAAGAGAGGAAAGATAACTTTGGGTTTGCAAACATTTGATAGTAGAAAAAATGTTTCTATATTTTAAAAAATATTGATACAATTCAACAACAAAAAGACAAACAACACACTTAAAAATGGACAAAGGACTTAAATAGATTTTTCCAAAGAAGAAATTCAAATGACCAGCAAGCACACGAAAGATGCTCAATATCATTAGTCATTAGAAACATGCAAATCAAAACCACAATGAAATATCACTTCACATCTACTAGGACAGTCATAAAAAAAATAAAACTTCAGAAGCAGTGGCTCACACCTGTAATCCCAGCACTTTGGGAGGCCAAGGCGGGTGGATCACAAGGTCAGGAGTTCGAGACCAGCCTGGCCAATATGGTGAAACCCCATCTCTACTAAAAATACAAAAATTAGCCGGGCAATTAGCTAGGCATGCTGGTGGGTGCCTGTAATCCCAGCTACTCAGGAGGCTGAGGCAGGAGAATCGCTTGAACCCGGGAGGCGGAAGTTGCAGTGAGCTGAGATCGGGCCACTGCACTCCAGCCTGGGCGCCAGAGCGAGACTCTGTCTCAAAATGAAACAAAACAAAACAAAATTTTTGAAAACAGCAAGTGTTGGTGAGAATGTGGAGACATTGTAACCTTCATATGTTGCTGCTGGGAATGTACAGTGGTGCAGCTGCTGTGGAAAAGTCTGGCAGTTCCTCAGAAAGTTAAACAATATGAGTTACCAATATGGCCTAGCAATTCAACTCCTAGGTGTATACATACAAGCGGTGAAAATAGGTGTTCAAACAGCAACCTGTACATGAGTGTAGTGTTCATAGCAGAATTAGTCACAAGTGTCAACGGTGGAAGCAATGCAAATGTGCATCAGTTGATGAATGTATAAGCAAAGTGTGGCACATCCATACAATGCAATATTATTTAGTCACAAAAGGAAAAGAAGTAATGCCACATTCTCCAACATGGAGGAACTTTGAAAATCTCACATTAAGTAAAATAAGCTAGGCACAAAATACCACATATTGTATGATTCCATATATATGAAATGTGCACAGCTGGCAAATCCAGTGGCTGCTTACTGGTGTCTCCTTTTGGGATGATGAAAAAGTCAGCTGGGGTTTCTCCCCACTTTTTTATCCTCATGGACAATGCTAATGTTACTCCTCTTGCTCCGGAGGTTTTATTTATTTATGTATTTTGGGTTTTCAAGAAAGAGGCAGGGTTTGTGTTCATGAATTTAATCTCTCTTTATGAAGGCATACTAACTTTCCATTTTGGTCTTATTATTTATTTCCATTTTGGTCTTATCAACTAAGGGAGATTCCCTGGGTGCAGAAGGTCATTTCCCATGACCCAAAGAGGTAAAAATAAGCCAGGTGAGAGCAGGTCAAGCCTGCAGAGTTGCGGTGACGACCACATGTAGGGACAGGAAGAAAAGATTAGAAGCGCCCATTATTTATGTCACACGAGGTGCAATGGGGTGGAATTGACTGAGCCTGCCCACCTGTTCCTTGCCCCGCAAACCTCAGGCATTGAAGAGAAGACAGGCTTCCTGATGATGGGGACTCTCTGAGCAATGGATGAGTCAGAAGGATCAAATCCCGGGAAAAGCTGCTGGGGTGCAGGGGAGGGAAGGATGCTGCGCGGAAGGTGGGCGTGCAGAGTGGAATACAAGGCAGTCAGGTGTGCTGCAGTGCGTTCTGAGACAGCCTCCAGCAAGCTTCTGTCTAAGGACCTCTTCCCACTGCGTAAAACTGGTGGCCATAAAACCTCATCAGGGCTCAGGGGCCTGTACTAAAAAGCTGCTGTGAGAACAAAGAATGCATAACTAACGGAATTGGTGGCTCAGGACTGACCTTGAGAACCCATTATATTTATTCAGTTGTCTCCAAGCAGGATGGCACATTTGTTTTTTTAACGTCTGTAATTTTTATTTATTTTTATTTTATTTTACTTTAAGTTCTGGGATACATGTGCAGAACGTGCAGGTTTGTTACATAGATATGCATGTGCCATGGTGGTTTTCTGCACCCATCAACCCGTCATCTATATTCTAAGCCCCACATACATTAAGTATTTGTCCTAATGCTCTCCCTCCCCTTGTCCACAACCCAGCACTGCAAATATTATAATATCAAAGAATGAGAGGAAAAAAAAATCAGTTTCTACCTGTTTTTTATGAATCCCAGGTAGGCTCCAAAATCTCCCTGGGTAACATGCTTTAAATGTCATATCATCTTTTTATAAAATTTTTATTTATTTTTACTCACCGCTATGCAAACAAGGAGTCTTATCATCTTACTGCCCAGGAAGTGCTTTCTTATGTTAACTCTGTGAGTTTCTGGATGCAACTTAAGTCTACAACAGAATGTCTTTGCTTATAATTAAGTGATATCTTTGTATATACATATATATGTTTATTTTTAGGCACATTAATTTTGTTCTTACAAATGTATATTTAACATTTAAGAGTAATGCAATAACTTGATGGTATTTTTAAAGGTGCAAATATCTAAAAATCACCAATAATTTTAACATTAGAAACTTTATTGTTTTTAAGCATACTTTTCACAGTTAATTTTATATCAAATATGTGAACATTGGTATCATAATTTTTAGGACATGTAAGTATTTTGAAAATGTTATGCATTTTGATGGTTTTTCACTGTGTTATATTTATTATACCTAAGGAATATGTAATATCTCTGAGTAGATTTATTGTAGTTTGCTAATATAGTGCTCCATTTTGAACTTTTTAGAGTTTTTTTTGGTTTCTCAAAGTATTTTTTTATTTCCCAGGATAATTTCTGAGCAGAATAACTGAAACAATGAGAACGAGTATTTTATATCTTACATACATATTAAGATTGCTTTACAAAGAGGTTATTTAAGTTACCAGTGCTTCTGGTTTTGTATGTGAGGACTAGTTTCATATACCTTCATTATCCGTGGGTATCAGCCCCGTGTGAGTGTGCCCATACATAAGTTGATTAAGGAACATCTTTGTTCAGAAAAAAAGCCTGGAAAGGTGGCATTCTGTAAAGGGCTCTGTGTACCTAGTTTCTTTCCTATGCTGAGCCCCAGGATCCTGATTCTTACCCAGATGCTTATACTTAGGTTGGTGCAAAAGTAATTGCGGTTTTGACCGTTATTTTCAATGGCAAAAACCACAATTACTTTTGTAGCAATCTAATACATAACAATATTTGCAGGAAGTTTTAATTTATGGGGATTAAAGAAAGCTGCAAAGAGAATAATGAGCTCAAAGTTTTGTGATGTGCAGTTTATTATTAATTAACTTGAGCCTAAAATAATGATCACTGATGAAGATTTTATGGACAGATTAGGCAAATATCATTATTTCTTCCCTATTTATTTATTAAAGACATCCATGAAACTTCTTTTAAGTAGAGATACCCTACAGAAAAGTTTAAGACAAACAGCAGATTCTACCCACATTCACTCTTTGCCACCTCTCACTCGCTTGCTTACCCTACCAAAGCAATCCTGCACAGCTGGTCTGCATGAGCAAGCAGATGTTAGCGGTCAGTGTAAAACTAGCAGAAGTGAAGTCAGCACTTTTAGAAACTGGAAGAGACTTAACTGAACTGGAATATGTGCGATTTCAATGGAAAAATGCAGTTTTAAAACAATCAATATGTATTTATTCCTAATGAGATTTGAGAAACTGTGGTCAGCAAAATGAGAATTAGATCCCATGAGAAAGTCACACGTTGAGAAAGAAAGGGACTATTTGCAAATATAAGACTATTTAAAAATAATTAAAAATCTAATAACTGAACTTCAAAATCCAAAAATAGTAAAAAAAAAAAAAAAATAGAAGGGCTCTACAGATATAAAAATAAATATCTGCAAAGTAGAGAACAAAAGGGAAAAGCATGAAAATTATGGTTGAAAGATAATGAGAGGATATTTCAAGGATAACTGGGGTTTAAGCAGGAGGCATTCCAGAGAAAGGGAAGATAATTGATGGAGGAAAGAATATGTAAGGTTAGATATAAAAGGAGCACATGTACATGGATAAGAATAAAGCGGTAACCTGGCCGGGCGCGGTGGCTCACGCCTGTAATTCCAGCACTTCGGGAGGCCGAGGCGGACAGATCACCTGAGGTCGGGAGTTTGAGACCAGCCTGATCAACATGGAGAAACCCCGTCTCTACTAAAAATACAAAATTAGCCAGGCATGGTGGTGGACACCTGTAATCCCAGCTACTTAGGAAGGCTGAGGCAGGAGAATTGCTTGAACCTGGGAGAATCGCTTGAACCCGGGAGGTGGAGGTGGTGGTGAGCCAAAATCGCACCATTGCACTCCAGCCTGGGCAACAAGGGTGAAACTCTGTCTCAAAAAAAAAAGAAAAAAGAGAATAAAGTAGTAACCCAGTAAAACTATTAAATTTTACAGAAGAGAAAAAATGATCAATAAACAAAAGAAAAAACGCTCAACTACACAGTAATCAAGGGTGTGCCAGACTGATATCTGCAAGATGGTGGACTAAGAGGCTCCAGCCTTTCCTTCCTTCCACGGATATACCAAAGAAATATCAACACACAGATCGGTTCTTTCTGAGAGAAAACCATGGACTAATTGAACGACTACTACACATCAAGCAACTGAGAAAATATTCATGTGAAAACAGGTGGGAAGAGCTGAGACACACTCCCCGCACAATCCCTATCCCAGGCATAACACCTTACAATTAATTGGTAAGGAAGTCCCAACTCCTAGCTTCTCCCTGAGGAGTGAAGGGTTTGGACCACACATATAGTACCCTGACCTTTATGCTTCCCACCCAGGGGTTTGGCTCCTAAATCACCCAGCTCAGGGTTGATAGAGCTGGGCATCTGCAGGTCTCCCTAAACCACAGACACCAAAGAGATGGTGGGACACAGATTTGCAAGCACTTTTGGCAGCTCTCTCCCTGGGCTCAGGCCAGAGCAGGCAGGTAAATGCCCACCTCCCGGTTTCTACCTGCAAGGGGTTTATCTACCCATTTTCCCATCTGCTGCCTGAGGGTTGACTTCTGGGTCTGTATCTGGGAGCCAAAGGGGCAGGGTGAACAGTAGACCTGTGGGAGCCTGAACAGAGGTATAGGTAGGCACTGCACCTGCTCCTCTCGACTAGCTCCAGCAAGAAATCCAGGTCTCCAGCTTCTCCCTTGAAGGAGAATACTTCAAGCACAGTTTTATAGCTGCCACCTGGGGGACTGGCTCCTAAATCACTTATCTCTAGAAGTTAATGTGAGGCAGGAGAATTGCAGAGGAAATTGGAAGTTGGATAAAGGATAGAGTGAATAAAAGCAGAAACAGAAGCAAGGTGAAGGGGTGGGTGAGCAAGAAGCAAGATAAAAGGCAGAAGTGAAGCAGCCAAAAGAAAAAGTGAGATAAAGAAGAGAGCAAGGACCCCATGGCCAGCAAGATCCAGATCAAACCAGGAAGGGGCAGCTCTTCAGAGATAGGCATGCGCATTAAAGAGAAAAAGTATCCTTAACAGGATGCTGTATGATAATCAGCTCATTAAAGCTCATGCATATGGACTACCTATCACGCATGTAGTTAAAATTATGGGATGGAGACAATTCACAAGCCCGCACAGGCTAAAGTAACTAAGCAACACACCTATCTATCAAAAGGCAGGCACCGGCAAAAGATCAGGCAGCCTTGCGAAGAGAAGGGGAAAAAACACATAAAAAGACCCAAGGTACACCGAAGCCATGCTAATCTCATTTGGCAGAAGTCAGCCCACTCTCCCCTCTCCGGGAATGTAATACTGCGCTTCACACACTTTTGCTGCTTGCTTTGCTGTCTGAGTATCACATCCAGTTCTTTGTTCAGGACACCAAAAGCCTGGAATTGCACAGCACCATCGGGTTATAAATGGGTCTCTGCATTTTGTGTCTTCTAAGGCCACAGAGAACAAATGGGTAGTTTTAAAGGGGCACAAGAGGACTTCCAGAGGGTATTCTTCCAGGTTTAGCACAAAGAGAACAGGCAGTAACTCCCAGCTCTCAGTATCTCCCCAGAAGGCATTTGCCTGCACACTCTCTCAGCTGCTGCTAGAGAACAGGGCTTCGAACTGGCCTGCAGGTAGGAGATGATGGGGCTGATGGAGAATGGGTTTGACCACACACCTGACACCTCAACTACATTTCACAGTACTTAGAATAGAATGGACTCCATTGCACAGTACCTAGAATAGAAGTAGGTATTCAAAAAATAGTTTTTAAATAAAAGAACAAATTATTTTAATTCTTTCTAATAAAAGTTTATGATATCCACATTTACTAGCACAAATTGTGTGATTTTGAAAATTCTGTTCATGTCAAGCTAAGTCATCTTCTGTAAGATCACAGGTAGCATTTTTGTCATTTATCTTGCCACAATAAAATATTTGAACTGTCTGGCACAAGTGGCAATATCTCCGCTCCCTGCTGCTCAGACACTTCCGCAAAAAACCTGCACCTGATTGGACAACGTGGCCCCGGAGAACAGGTAAGTGGCAGAGCTTTGTTTCTATATCAGCAACATCAGTTTTAATGTAAACAGCAGGCGTCTTTCTTTTTAGAGCAGTAGCCTACTTGTGTTTCCATATAATTACAGTATTCTTGGCAGAAGCCTTCACTTCTCCTGCAGTCAACAACTTTTAAATCTGATGCAGGTTCTGCATTAAAAAAAGAAAAAATCCAACATTAGCTTCTTAAGACCATCTCCAGAATCAAACAGTGGTCATTTGAGCCGTGAGGGACAGGGTGGGGGTGGCATGGATATGAAACAGCTTTCCATAGTTAATAGCTTCAAGTTCCAAACTAAAACATCAACTCCAGATATATAGCTCTGCCCCACTAAATCTCCTTTAACCAAAGGAAGGAATAATCCTGTCTCACAGGAATACTGTTAGACTAAATAACACACGCCTACTATTGCACCTGTTTATATTTGTTGTGTAATAATTGAGTTTTCTTTTTCCCTTCCCTTGGGAGGAGATCCAGATGAATGAGTCCTTTGGAACTGTGGGCCAATTAGAAAGGGATGGGAGGTTGGGTAGGATGCTGCAGGCATCAAATTCAGCAGGACTTTATTTGCTGGATGTCACAGCAATTTGCCAACACCCTCCTGTCTTTCTTGCTCTTGCCCACTGATCTGCTAACCTAGTTCTCCCTGTCTTAGGGTCAGCAATCAGCTTGGCATTAAAGAAGCATCTTGGAAACTACAGGCTCTTCCAGGCCCTTTTGGATTTGAAGCTGGTCCTGCCCAGGGGTTTGGGGGCTGACCAGAAGCCTGGCCCTTCTGGAAGAGTCCAGAAGAGTGGCTGTGGGCTCAATTGTCCCTTGCCATGTCCTGCTACCTCCTTGCCTGAGTAGACTGACAATACAGTCTATTCTCTGCCCCCATCCTCAGGAAGCATTTCCCAGACCTCAATGGACACCTGAAACTTAGTAGGTAGGTATTCAGTAAATTCCTTGAACGGGAACGACCTCCAAAGCTAAGGGCATGGGGCTGCAACCTGGCAGGAGGCCATGTTTCCACCAGTGTCTCCTCTGGCACCTGTTCTTGGAGGAAGCCAGCAATTACTGGTGTGGCTTCAGATAAATTGCCTTTTGGCCCCTCAATACTCCCACGTTCCACAAGGCCCTCAATGATCCAGCCCCAGGGGAAGCTGTGAGACCCCGTGGTCTCCCTGACAGGCAGGGCAGCCCAATGCACCCGCACCATGTCTTCCCCAAACAATGACTGCTCACCCACCCCGACCAGCACAGACATCTTCCCGTCTATTTGTTCCCTCTACGTCTCCCCAGTGGATGCACTTGTTGCACGTGTTGGTCCCTGACTCACCTTGGTAAGGTGGGGTGCGCGGTGGTAAGAGGTCCCGTTTCACTGCGTGGCGTAGCAGCTGAAACCCGTTTGTGCCTTGCCCAGGGGCTCTTTCCCTGAGTTCTCCGAGAGCCTCAGTGGCTGAGTGGTTCACATGTCTGGCTTGAGACGATCCTGTGCAAGTGGAAACACACGTCTGCGGATGCTCTGAGGCCTCCGCCTGGCAGACCCGTCAGCATGAGGCACCTACACTCTACCAGGTGAGTGAGCATGGGTGATTGGGTGGGGGAGTTGGGAGGGGTGCTAGTGTTCCGTGTGTGTGCACATTTGTGCACATGCGTTGTATGCACCTATGTGTAGAGAGAGAAGGTGAATGAAGTGTAAGAAATGTATGCCATGAATGGTGAGTCTGAGCACCTCCTCAAAGCCAGCACAGCCAGAGAATTTATTTCAAGTGTCACTAATGCAGTTGTTAAGATTCCCTAAAATGTAATGTTCTTCTCTGTAAGGGAAAGGGGAATGTTAAAAGGATAAGAAAATGGAGTCGGGGAGGGACACTCTTCCCTGGGAAGCAAGTGCCATCAGCCAATTCAGAGTGCCATTTATGAACCCAGTTCAGAGACTCGTACCCAAAGCTCCACCAGGAATACATGCCCCAAGGACTTCATCTCTCCCTGTCCAGCCTGGACTCCCATACCTCAGATGACCATTGCAGAGAGATTCTGGCACCCAGACCCGGGTCACCTTTCCATTTTACCTGGAAACAGCAGGGCCACAAGGAGAAGGCTGGTGACGGACGGGAGCAATCGTTGCCTCATGTCTGCCAAGAGCACTGCAAGCCAGAAAGCACCCAGGGTGGGTGGGCAGGCAGCGGGGCTCCTTTGATGGAGTGAGGCTGGGTGTGTGGGCCCGGAGCGTGGGAAGAGCTGTGCTCCAGGATGACTTCTCATTCTCAAAGGACAATGTGGACACGCTACTATCCCACTGCTGGTGGAACAAACACTTGAGACACATATTTCAGGAAGTAAATAATACGCCTGAATGCCTTGGGTGGGTTTGGTGAATAAGGAAGAACAGAGAGAAACAGAAAGATGAAAGGCATGGAGGGGCAGAACAAACATAACTATCATAAAGTTGCCAATGTCCTCAAACGCTTCTCAAAAGCCCCCTAATGTTCATGAGAACAGGGACATAAATAAACTGCCATGTCGATTCTATCCTGTTGGCTGAGCGTTTTTATTTTAGTGTTAAAAAATCATGCATAAGACACACAACATAACAGGTAGGACCTGGTTTTACAAACTATCCCTTCCTGAAGTTATACAGAGAGTTCCAAGGCTGCTCAAAATGTTCTTTTCTTTTTCTTCTCCTCTCTGAGTCTCTCTCCCTGTTTCTTGGTCCCCTCCACTTCTCCTTCCTCACTTTGGACCCCCCTCCTTTCTATTTTAACTTATTTGAGTTGTCTTGATTTTTCTCTCCCCTTTCCATTCTCTTTACCCCCAGACACCTCCTGTTGATGTCACTGGGTCCAATTCAATTCTTTTAAAAAAGAAAAAAAAAATCTGTGTTTGAGTCTGGGTTTTCTCCTCTAGTAATATCCAAGCAGAGGACTTGTCTTCCCTTCTCCTTCATCTTTTTAAGCATTTTAACCAAGTGTGTGTTTCTTACTTGGCTGCATTAGCTCAGGTATGCATGTAACCCAGACAGTCTGCTCTGGACTTAACTAAAGTGAAGAAGGCTTTGGTTGAAGAGTTTTGTATTCACATAGCATCCAATGTAACATCAGTGATGTCTGGAAAAGATAGTGCTTATCTCATATGTCTCATTTGCATGTATATTTTAATCCAGACAGAGAAAACAACTTAGGTCATTTGTGTAAATAAAAATACTTACTCTCTACCTGGAGAAAGCTGGAAGCAAATGGAGAAAGAGGCAGCAATGACAATAGAGACCTGGGCATCCGCTGAAGCACCAGCAAAGGGCGGAAGGTTTGCAGCTGCGGACAGTTGCACATAGCAGCTGCCCTGGCAGCACAATGCGGAGGCCACTATCTTTTGGGTCTCAGGACAGATTCTCCACTGCAAAGCATGAGGTGCTGGTCAGGGAGAGCAGGAGCATCATTCACATCCTTTCACTTTAAGGAATTAGGAAGTCTTCCAATTCCAAGAGCACAGGGCAACACTGCGGAGATAGGTGACAACTGGCCCATGATAAGTTTCTTTAATCACTTACTGCATCAAATTCTGATAATTGGATGTTGGAAGAACATAGACAGTCAAGAAAGGAGGTAGACAGCTGCTCTACCTCAACCCTAAATGAAGATTTATTCGCTCATCTACATACTCTGGGTATTTTTTATACTCTAGTTCAATAGCAACTTCTTACAGTTGTATTTGTAATTATTTAAACTTGGAATGTGGATCTTTTATAACAGTGATGGAAATTTTGGAGTATATTGGTAACTTATTTCTATATATTTTTATCTTCTCTATAAAAGGAAAGAAAACAAAAACAAGCCTATTCCACCATTCAGATATTCATAGTAATGAATCATTAATCAAAATCATGACTTAAAATATAACAGCATTTGAGTAATTACCACCCAGGTAACGGAATCTTCTTTGAAGTCGTTAGAATTATTTGAAATTATTTAAATGAAGAAACTGAGCCAAAAATAGTTAGATCTCACTTCCTTTGTCTACGTCTTGAGATAAAGTAAGCCCCCTCTTCCATGCTTCTGAAAAGAACAATCTTAAAAAAGAGCAGCCGGGAAAGCCTAGTTCTGCTCTTTGACAGGCAAAAGCTGGTGAAGTCGTAATAAAGGCAATTAATGTTACATCTGTCCTAACACAACAATGCTCTCAGCTCCTGTCCTCTTCTGCCAGATTTCTGTGTCCTAAAAAAATCTTTGAATAATTCTCTTGCTAAAAGCCACATCCATCCTGAGGGGGAGGATGGCAGAACCCATTATAGAATATTCTAATAATTGTTTCAAGTTTTTTTTGGTCCATTCAATCAATAAATCATATTCTTTTTTTTTTAAGCTGCTTAGTATGTGGTATCTTGATTCGTTTGGACTAAGTAGGTGGGCTAAAGTAAAATGATCAAGATTTTATTGTCAAATAAGAAGTTCTGCAAATACATATTCCTGAAGGATCTTATTGGAAATTGCACACATGTGCAGGGGGTAAGATTTTCCACATCGGCACATCCTCCTTCTTGCTTCCCAAGTAGCATCCTGGTAAATCCTGGAAAATATGAATGCGAGAAGGAAAACCCTATTGTAGCCCAGTTTGGAATCAGAAGTTCTCTGCAGAATCAAATTTAGACTCTTCTTTTGCATTACTAAATGACCCAGTGAAAGTTTCTCTGGAGGAGACTCACAGAAGAGCGAAGCAAAGATTCCTATGCAGATTTTCTTATTCTTAAGTCTGAGATTGTAACATGCTAACCAGTCTGTAAGACCAACTAGAATGCCATTTAACAGAGGCACAGATTCCCCTCTAGGGAAAATAACTGATATATGGAAAAGACACAAATATTAGAGTCTTCTTTGGAAAAAGCAGTCAGGAAGAATTACATGATAGGAGAGAAAACTGCTTTTGGATCGTGGTTAAAGAAGTAGCTTTGAGAATTGTGCAAAAATATTCTTTGGTATTTTGTTTCTTTTTCATGCACAGAATCACAAAATGAATTGTGTTTTCAGAAGTCGATTTGATCTGTAGCCATTTCAGCCATCCCAAGAATGCTCTTAAGGCAGCATATGAAAGAACACAGGAAATCCTTTCATGAGCGCTAAGGCATAAACACCATTTAGTTTTGGTAATAAAAACATGGTATTGTTATAAGTTTAAATAAATCTGTTGAGATTGCCTATTCTTTTTCTTGAGACGGAGTCTGGCATTGTTGCCCAAGCTGGAGTGCAGCGGCGCCATCTCAGCTCACTGCAACCTCCGCCTCCCGGGTTCAAGCGACTCTCCTGCCTCAGCCTCCTGAGTAGCTGGGATTACAGGTGCCTGCCACCGCGCCCAGCTAATTTTTGTATTTTTAGTAGAGATCGGGTTTTCACCATGTTGGCCAGGCTGGTCTTGAACTCCTGACCTCAAGTGATCCTCCCGCCTCTGCCTCCCAAAGTGCTGGGATTACAGGCGTGAGCCACCCTGCCTGGCCGAGGTTGGCAATTCTGACGAAACAATCATAACATTTTGGAACTGAAAACTGTCTTAGAGACCTAACCAATATTTTAAGAAGAGGAAATGGAGGATGAGTGAAAAAGCGATGTGTCTATATGTGTTAATTAAAGACTAAAGATCTGGAGGAGGCTATGCACTGCAGACACTATTAACAGAATGGAGTCCATGTAAATAAACAAAGGGGTGCTCAAAGTTAAAGGGAAAGGCAACAGATTTGTTTGGGGAAGAGCAGGAGTTCATGGTGGTCACAGACATAAGAAGAAATGTAGTTTTTCACGGGAATAGTATCTTTTCTCCACGGTGCCATGATGCTTTTATTATTTTGGGTGTAATTTCTCATAACTGGAAAGCATTTCAGCCCCTTCCCAGTCCTCAGAGGTTGACCATTTTTTTCTCTCGGATTCAGCCACAAAGGCAGCTCTACCACTCACCATGTGTCTGTCTTTGACTTTGTCATGTTGGGAAGACTCAGGACCCCACCTATTTTTACCCACAGGGCCCTCTGTGCCTATGAAACTGAGGTCCCAGCAGTCCTTGTGGACATATCACAATCTAAAATTCAGGGATAAGAAAATCTACATAGGAATCTCTGCTTCACTCACCTGTGAGACTCTTCCAGGCTAATTTTCTTTGGGTCATGTGGTAATGCAAGAGAAAGTTGATTCTATAGCAACTTCTGAGCACAGACTTGGCTGCAATATGTTTCCCCTTTACACAGTCATATTTTCCAGGATTTAATGGGATGTCTCTTGGGAGGCAAGAAAGAGAATATGCCAGTGTGGAAAACCTTAACTCCTGCACGTTGAAAATTTCAAGTTCTGCTCTTTTGGATATTTAAATAAGGACCTGGGTGGTGATTTGCTCACCCAGAGATTTTCTCTGTCAATCTCTGTCTCTCTCTCTCAACTTCAAATAATAAAAAACGCATAAATTAAAAAGTGAAAAATATCCAAACAATCCTTCCTTCTGTTGATTTTCATTAGGCACATTTCAAAGGGTTACTGATCATTCATTATGAACTACAGACTTCAGATCTGTATCCATCCTTTGGAGATAGAAGATAAGTAGCAATGTTATTGGGTTTCTGATTGTGTTTGTAGTGCATCAGGTACAAATTATTAAATATTTCCTGCCAATTCTGGAAACAATAAAATAGAACAATCTATCTTTGTTCTTTTACTGTAAAGCCCTGAAATTAAAGTAGTGCGACTTTGTGATGTCGTTAAGTGCTGAGGATAGCAGTTCATTAATATGACTATGTGAATTACACCTGAGGGCGGGAGGGGGCGCTGTTTCAGAATCCAGCCTCTTTAGAGAGCAAAACAATAGGACACCAGGACGGCAAGCCAAACCCAGGGCTCTTCAGTGAAGACCACGATACAAGGCTTTCTACGTTATCTGACAATGAGATAGCTTTGCTTTCTGCTTGTTCTTGTCTCTCTGGCCACTACGGCGGGTGGCGTTGATTAAAGTCTGTAGAAGTCCCTTGCTTTGCTCTATATTTACATTGGGAGGTACAAGATGGCCTCCTTGGCAAGGCATCAAATTACATTTTAAAAGGAGACAAAAAATAATTGTAGCACAGGGTCAGCAGTTGGATCTCTGTTTGTAAGTGTTGTTGGGCAGAATGGCCATACGGCAGGAGGGGAAATCAAGGTACAAGTCAAATAAGTCACCTTCCCAAGGTCCCCTGCTAAGCAGTAGAGCTGGGATTCCAGGCTTTGCGTATTTGTACATGCCATGCTGTGCTGCCTCTGAACTGCACTTGAGATGTGGGGTCTAGGCCTGGTCTTGCCTAATATCGTGGCCAGTGTTAGGAAAACCACTAATCCGTCTGAACCTTAGTAACAGTGCCTAAAAGGTGAGGATGTTGACACTTACCATGCCTAATTCAAGAGTTTATGGTGAGGATCAAAGGAGATTATGTATTAAAAGTATTTTATAAAATACAAAATATGAGAATAATGAAAAGAGTCTAAAAAAATGTAAGACTAAAATAAATGTCACATTGTCTTATAGCGTGTTCTGTATGTTGCATTTGGAGTGTGGCATCCTTGGGGGTGGTTCAGTAGTTTCTTCTTTTCCTGTAATTGCAGTGTTGAGACCTAGGGGCTTGCCCAGATATGCACTCAATTTTCAGCACAATATTTTATAGATGGAATAGAAGTACACATCACCATCTGTGCAAGAGGCCTTGGAGGTAAACAACCTGAGGCAGTATGTGGACCTTCCAGGATCCAGATTCTAATAAATCAACTCTTAAAAAGGCACTTATGAAATGCTCAGGGTCATTTGAATACAGATTGGCTGTTAAATTGTATTTAGGAATGAATGCTGATTTTTTCCAGGGGTGATAATAGTATTGGGGTTCTATTTTACAAAACGAGTTCTTTCCCCCTGAGTTACACCTTCTAGAGTATTTTCAAATGGGCACCTTTGAAATAATTTATTTTTATTTGAGATAATCTAGGAGAGAGTTATCAAGGGATGAAACAAGACTAACCACATATTGAGGCTGGGCGATGCCTACGCGAAGGGCCGTTACACTGTTTTGGTAGAAAGGGCACAATGCAGCCTCAGTTTCCACCCTGACAAGGTGAGGATGATGCTGCTTACCATGACTAGAAGCTCGTACGTGGCATTATGTCCTTCTATTAGGAAGCACAGGGTAGCAGGTTGTCTTTCTGGCTTATTTTAATCGCTGTTGACATTCCTTGGCTAGATCCCTGTTTCCCTATGTGTTTGCAAAATGGCGACACTCCTCATTTATTAGCTGGGCTGCTTTCGAAGAGAGAAGCTTTTGACTACCTTAAAATTTGGTTTGGACAGGAAAGGCAGGCAGGTCAAATGTTTCATCACTCACCTTTCTTTACAGGTTTTCAGGATCAAGAATCCACAGCTCAGCGCAGGGCTGCTCTCTGCTGCCCTCTGCTGGATGGGACCCTCCACAGACGCCCACTTGATCAACCCCTTAAGCTCCAATGGGTTCCCAAGCTTGTCATCACACATCACCTCTTTTGTTTTTCTCCTCAGAGGTCTATGTTTTGAAATATAGTGTATTCTAAACAAGGCACACTTAACATTGATTTACTTTACATTTTAATTAACACATGATATATATAACTCCTGAGCAAAACTTTCGATCGGAAAAGAAAACCAATATTATCAGGATAAAAATGATGTTTTTCTTAGGTTTATAGCTGATTAGGTAGACATATTTTTTGTTCAACTTATAAAGTGTTGAAACTCATGCTTAACTCCCATTGTTATTCTCCATTATCACAACCAGAGGCGGCTTTCCAGCCTGTATTCTTCTTCAATCTCCTATATTGGCTTTGCATTGAGTGGAAGCTCAGCAAACCTTCTTTGATAACTGAACCCGTGGTTGCAATGGGGATGCCCTTGCTGCTAGGCCGCAGGAAGGAAAGCTACTGAGGTCCTACTTCCAGCGACTCTAGGGACCAGCACTACTGCGTTTCAGGGTTTTGTACGATTCAGTAAGCTCTCATCCCATTTTCTCAAACAGCATGCATAGGTGTTGGGACATCTTCCAATTCTGTATTCTTGGCTGCGACATTTCTTCCGGCAACGGGCAGTCCCATAACCACATATTCTGTCCAATTCAAATTCGCTTCTCACTAGATAACAGGATATGGCACTGTCATTAATTGCTTACTGGCACCAAAAGGCAAGGCTTTGGTAGAAGGTGTTTTCGGAGGGGGATAGAGAATGCTAGTGCATGGTGGTAGAGGTTTTCCTGGACCCCCATCCTCCTCCACTTTCCTAGATGATTGACTTGACCTTCTGATTCCCAACCAGCATGGATTTTATTTGAAAATGTACATCATTCCATGTCACACTTATTTTCAAAATCCCTACAAGTTTACTATTGTTTTCTTTATTAAATCTCTCCAAGCCCCTTACTTGGTCTCCAAAGCAATCGTGATCTGATCTTGGGCCACTTTTTCAGACTCATGCTTTTCCACTGTGGCCCTCACTCTGTCCATGAAACTCTCGCCGGCTTCCCTTCTGTTCCGTGTGAGCTTACTCTTTGCTATCCTGGTACCTTCACGTGCACTGTCCCCTCTGCCTGGAAGGTTTTTCTTCCTTCCCATAAGTGAATTCTTTGAACTTTTATGTCTCAACCTTAAGTTCCCAATATTGGGCAAATCTTTCTCTGTCCTCTTCGTGTATTCAAATGCCCCAAAAGTATTTTTTCTCCCTATGCATTTGTTATTCTTTTATATCACCTATCGCAAGTTGTAGTTATATATCTATGTATCTATATAGGTATATATATATACACATATATAGAGAGAGATACATACAAACATAGACATAGATATAGATATGTATATATGTATGTATATTTTGTTATTTGCTATTCTCATTCGAACTATGAGCTCCCTGACAATGAGGCCCATGTTTATGTTGCTTACCATTGTGTAACTGCTACCAGGAACATAGCCTGTTCTCAATAAGGACGTGGTGAGTAAATGATTGGATAGACTAGACCAGAATAAACTAGAGTGGTTGCAAGTAGAGAGGAGGAAACTAGAAAGGAGCAGAATCCTGATTGTTCGGCCGTTGGCCCAGAGCAGTTTTCAGGAGACATGGATTTAGCTTCTCAGTCTCAGGGTGCGCTCTCTGAGGCTGAAAGCAGCTTTGTAAAACTCATTATCTCACATGCCACACTGATAGGATCTTACAGAGATATCAGGAAAACCCAGAAGCAAGGCTGATGGTAGGGAGGACAGCGTAAGGTGGACCGAGAGAGTCTCGCTGGAGAGAGCTTTGCTAGAGGTTCTCTAGCAAACTCAGCAGGAGCCAGGCTTGGGAGAGGGTGTCAGAAGAACCCTGGGGAGAGGAGAGTCAGGGCTGCAAATGGACCTCTTTGCAGAGGTCGGGGCCCAAGAGTCCTAATTTCATCTTAGCCTTAAGTCCTTCTCCCCTGTTGCATCTGTTCCTTTTCTACAAAGCAGAAACGGGCTGCTAATCCTCGCACCAGGGTTTTATGTCTTTCATTTGTTCTGGTAAAGAGAAGCCTCCTGTTTCTGATGCTTAGGTATCAAGGTTCTTTGTCCAGGATGTAGGTGAGGACTAAAAGGCAGTTTGACCAATTCATGTGCTGGATAGGATATTGTAGGGGTTAATATTTGCAATGGCCCCACAGCGGGTGATGAGGAAAGACTGTTTTGCTGTAGGCTTCATTCAAAAGCAAGCCCTTGTGGTCACAGTACAAGGCAATGAAGAAAGGAGTGAGGTGGGCTGCAGTGTGTATCATGCTGAGGGAGTATGTGGAGGTTGAGTAGCAGATATGTGCCTTCTGACATATCTGTGGCAGGTCGCTTTACAACCTGGAGTTAGAGGAGGAAAAAGAGGACAGCATGCTTGCTCAGGGAAAACGAAGCTTAGCGTTAGGGGAGAAGAAGAATAGACTAGGAAGAGAACACAACCTTTAAAATGTTAGACTGTCAGTTTCAAACAAGCCCTCACAGGCCATCTATTTAGAGATGGGAATGAAGGCTCAGAGAAGGAAAGTGACTAATCTGACGTCACACAGCAACTTATGTGTCAAAGCTGGAAGAAAAACCTAGTTGGTATGTCTTACAGTCTCAGTAAACAGAATGCAAAAGGGAGAATGCAGTCCATACACTAAGGCTGAGTAATAAACATTTCCTAAGCAATAAATACATTCCAGGGTAGACTACACTACACTAGTTTCTTTCTTGCATAAGCAATTTTCCTCCTCTGCTCTACAGACCCAGAAAATCTTAGGCAGGTCTCAGGTCTTAGTTAATGTAGAAAGTTTATTTTGTCAAGGTTGAGGACACACCTGTGACACAACCTCAGGAGGTCCTGAGGACATGTGCCCAAGGTGGTTGTGATACAGCTTGCTTGGTTTTATACATTTTAGGGAGACATAATACATCAATCAAGACGTGTAAGATTTGCTTTGTTTTTTTTTTTGTTTGTTTTTTTGGTTTTTTTTGAGACAGAGTCTTGCTCTGTCGCCTAGGGTAGAGTGCAATGGCACGATCTCAGCTCACTGCAACCTCCACCTCTTGGGTTCAAGCGATTCTCCTGCCTCCGCCTCCTGAGCAGCTGGAATTACAGACATGCACCACCACACCCAGCTAATTTTTGTATTTTTAGTAGAGACGAGGTTTCACCGTGTTGGCCAGGCCAGTCTCGAACTCCTGACCTCAAGTGATCTGCAGACCTCAGCCTCCCAAAATGCTGAGATTACAGGTGTGAGCCGCTACACCTGGCTGATTTACATTGGTTTGGTCCAGAAAGGTGGGACTATTCAAAGTGGGGGTGGCGGGGGGCCTGTGGGGGTGCAGTGGGAGTGTGTGGCAGGTGGCCTTCCAGGCTATAGGTAAATTTAAACATTTTCTGGTTGACAATTGATTGAGTTTGTCTAAAGACCTGGGATCAATAGACAGGAATGTTTGGGTTGCGACAAGAGGTTGTATTGTGGAGGCCAAAGTTGTATCATGCAGTTGATGCTTTTAGCTAGCAGGCTTCAGAGAGAACAGGCTGTAAAATGTTTCTTATCACACTTAAAGTCTGTGTTGATGTTCATGATGGAAAGTGTAATGAGGCATGTCCAACCCCCACTTCCTTTCATGGCCTGAAGCAGTCTTTCAGATTAAATTTTAAGAGCCCTGGCTGAGGAGGGAGTCCATTTAGATGGTTGGGGAGGGGGCTTAGAATTTTATTTTTGGTTGACAGCACCCATCCCCAGTCCCTGTGGGTATCTGAGGGGCTGACAGTGTGTGACAGCCAAACTTACCCAAAGCAGGGGTGGCAGGAGAAGAGGCAGGCAGCGCATGTCATTCACCCTCACCCACTTCTGCCACTTCCCTCCCTAATCCTCTTCCTGCTAATGGTCTTTCTCAGAATTCAACTGCAGAGGACAGTCTGACCCAGCCCTCTGCAGCCAAGTGTGGATAATGGCAGCCAGCTCTGCGGTGCATTCTTCGGGATCTGGAGGGATCCCTGACCCAGGCTTTCCATCCCAAGTTCTTTGTCTTGGGATCAAAGGTTGAAGAAAACCTGTTCTTTGATAAATTGCTATCATATTTTAACAGACCTGGAACATGCCCATAGCAGAATTTCACAGAAGTGTCTTTGGGAAATGACACGGGAAGAAAGAAAAAGGAAGAGTTAACCTAAACAGGTACCCTCTGAAAAAAAATCATTAACCCATCTGAATCACAGTGGAGGCACAGCCCGGAAGGGCAAAAAGATGGGTGCTGGGTGTCTGTCAAAGCCCCATAAAATTGACTGAGCAGCTTGGAAGAGAAGATCCGATGGCTTCTACGAGTCAAAACAATTGGTTTCGTCCCAGCACTGCTAGACTTGTTAAGCAACTCTAAAAATCTTATTTTCTCTCACTGTACCATAGAGAATGCTGCTCAGCTTGTAAAAGAAGGGAATTAGATTAGGTGCTCTCTCATATCCATTGCAAATATATTAAGAAATACATGCTTCTGGGGACATAGATTAACGTAGGAGTCAGAAGATTGCTGACATCTCAGTCTAAAATTTCCTGAGCAGAGTTCAAAGGCACCTGCTATTTGTGTTGTCAGTAAATTACGTTCTTGCCTACTGAAATCACTGCATCCCCTTTAACCCTAATCATCTGACTTGATATGAAAAGTTGCAAAATTTAGGAGGATGAGTAGGCGCCCTTTTCTGTGCAGAGTAAAGCTGTTCAGAAGGAGGAGGATGGGGGAAGGCATCTTATTCTACAAAATCAACAATGAATAATTGCTGTTGCCCTGCAATGGAACAAGCATGGCTAGTGAGTCCTCATTGCTGAGGATTCCATGAGGAATTGTTACCGTGTGTGGCCAGGGTGCCAAGGACATCTAGGACTCCTGATCCCTACGTTTCTTTTTTCCTCCTTGAGCTAGTAAGCCTCGTGGCTGTAAGGTGCATACAAGGACTGCCACATACTGCATTTTACTAATGGACCCAATGAAAGCAAAGAGAAAAAAGGCTGAGATTGAAGAAGGTTACTCCATCCTTCAGGATTTATTTTCTAAATCAAATGTTTTTCTTCTCCCCCTGTCATCCCCAGCAACTGTGTATATTTCCAGCTGAGAGTCCCTTTTTACCTGGAAGATCTTGATAGAGTAGAAGAGAAATGGCTAATAGCAGCACAAGTCTCTGCATAATGCTGGGGCTGCTGGCGAGAAGCAGACGCAAGTCGGAGGGAATCACCCCAGGCAGGAGCAGGGCAGGTGTATTTATGGGCAGAGGCTGCTCTTGATTACTGAGGCTTATCAAAATGCAGCGTTCCTTGGTGAACACTCACCAAGGCACAGTGTGGGGGAGGTGTTGGGGCTACAGAAATGCCAGCTGGGCAGTGTTGAGGGTGGGGAGAGAGTATTACCATAGGTAAAGTCCAAGTCACTTCACTTGCTTCCCTGAATCGTTTCTGAAGCAAGAACTGGATTAGATGATCTCTAAGATACCTTCCAGCCTTGACATTCCTCAATTCTGGTGAGAGGACTTTCTCTTCCATTTCAGTACATTTCAGTCAGGAGATTCTTGTTGAAAATTGTGATGTGGCTAATGGAATTGAAGTCCATAGCCCCCAAGACCTCTCTGAAGTAAACATTGAAACAAACATACAATGTCAAGGAGAAGAATGGCATGGAGCGTGGGGAGGTCATAAATGCGTGAAAGGTCCCAGGACATTTCTGTGATAGAAAGAGTGTAGGATGAGGATGACAAGTGACAACAAGGAATACTTGATGGCGGGCATTGTCCAAGGGTGGGATTGTAACCACAGAGCATCAGGCTCACTTAGGGCTTAGGTGAAAAGGAGGACAAGAATGAGAAGAGAGGTTAAAAGGAGACAATTCATGAGAATGCTGTATTTCTAACAATGGCTTCAAATAAAACATAACCTTCCAGAGAGCATACGCCTGGCCCTCAACCCGGGGTGTATGCTCCCTGGATTTAACCCCAACCCCACCCGAGGCAAAACATATAGAGCATATGCTCCTGGCATTTGCCCTTAGGGAAAACACCAGATAATTTTATTTTAAGAAAAAAAAAATACTTCATTTCTCTAAAATGAAGTACTTTAGAGAAAGTAAAAACGTCCAATCTTGAAAGTTGACATTCTCGAATAAGCTCCCCTTATTCTAGAACACAGATTAGACAAAGCCTGACAGACATACGTTGCTTGCACATCCTAAGCAAAATCTAGCAGTCAGTGTGTCTTCCCCAGAGTTCTCACTTAGGGGAGAATGTGATGGAAAACCAGGTCTCCTTTCACAGTAACGAAATAGAATAGAACATCAGAAATCATAAACTATGCCAGTTTGGGTGCTCCATGAAGCATTTATCAACAGGAATTAGAAAGGAAATAAATTTATTGGGAAATGCCTGTGAAAGATAAAGGGGAGCCAGGCGCAGTGGCTCACACCTGTAAATCTCAGCACTTGGGGAGGCTGAGCGAGGGAGGAGGATCATGTGAGCTCAGGGGTTTGAGTCCATCATGGACGGCATAGAGAGACCCCGACTCTACACAAAAAGAAAATTAGCCAGGGATGGTGGTGTGTCCCTGTAGTCCCAGCTACTTGGGAGGCTGAGGCAGGGGGGTCTCTTGAGCCCGGAAGTTCGAGGTTGCAGTAAGCTATGATGGCACTACTGCACTCCAGTGTAGTAGGCAATACAGCAAAACCTTGTCTCTGAAAAAAATAAAATAAAATAAAAATTCAAAACAAAAAGATGAAGGGGAGAGGGAGCAAGATTGAGTAGGGAAAGTCTTCAGAACATGATGTCAATTAACACCTGTGAAAAGGTTTGGAGTCGGGGGAGCCTCAGACTACAGTGCAGAAAATTTCAGCATTGCCAGTGGGGAACCCCAGGGCAAAGACTGTCCTACACCAGCAGACATGGCCCAGCTCTAGTCCACATTGTGCTCATTCACTGCCTGGAAGCAGCCAGGGCAAGAGTGGTAGCCATGGGAATCCTGCCGCAGGTTACAAACGTGCAGCACGTAGAGGCCGTCGGATACTCTCCTCACAGCAGACACACAGCAAGCACAAATGTGCAGGATCCATGGGACCCTCCTAGCCTGCCACATGTCAGGCTTTAGTAATTTTTGATGATGAGCTTCAAGGGAAAAACATCAGCCAATATTCAAGGTCATCTATGTGACCAGGATTCTGAAGAAAACTGAAAAATTCTGATGATAATAAATATTCAGCAATTCTTCAAAAAAAAAAAAAAAGTAATTCATATACAGGGACTGAATAACCAAACTTCAAAAGAAATCCTATATCTTCTTAGGAGAAAAAAATAATAAAAGCTTTATTTGCTGAGTCCTTATAAAGTATTTCAGAGTTCTGGTTTCGGTCGCTACAAGTAAAAAGACTGAAAGTAACTACTTTACTCCTTTAAAAAAGAAAAAAAAAAGCCAAATAAATGGAAAAATCAATGACTTTTCTTGGACCCATTAGGGAACTGAGGGCTCCGGGCAAACCCATTGCGTGGAAATCTGGAGTCACAGCTGAGATGAGCTAACCTGGAATGGAAGCTCTGAAACCATGAACTAGCAGGAACACTTACGGTGATTTCGACAACTTGCTGGAGGCTGAACGTGGACATTTAGGAGAGTGAAAAACTGCTAGAGACCATGGTCAAAGGCTCTCCCTTCTCAACCCCTGCTTTCCTGGGTTTTAAATCCAGGAAGCCCCCAAGGTTATCATGGTGAAGAGCCAGAATGGAAGCCCTCATTGCCCTGAAAGGAGAAGGGAAGAGTGATATTGTGAAACATGTCCAGAGGATTCCCCATAACCAAAGCCTCCTCCTCTGCAGGAAAAACAATTTTACTCGAGCCATATCCCACCTGGAGGGGAAGACGTTTCCCTATTCCAGCCCCATCTGACCTTCCTGTCTCACTTGAGGGATGGGGGTAGCTAAGAATTTCTTGAGAGCCGGGCACGGTGGCTCATGCTTGTAACCCCAGCACTCTGGGAGGCCAAGGTGGGCAGATCACCAGGTCAGAAGTTCAAGACCAGCCTGCCCAATATGGTGAAACCCCATCTCTACTTAAAAAGTACAAAAATTAGCCAGGTGTGGTGGTACACACCTGTAGTCCCAGCTACTTGGGAGGCTGAGGCAGAAGAGTCACTGAACCTGGGAGGAGGAGGTTGAAGTGAGCCAAGATCATGCCACTGTACTCCAGCCTGGTGACAGAGATTTAAAAAAAAAAAAGTTCTTGTGACAGTCACAGTGCAGGGACACACAGGCTCAGGTAAAGATGAGATTTACTTATAAGATTATAGAATGCTTCCTTTTCCCCTGCCTCTTTTTTGTTCATCCCTTGCAGCTGTCTGAGACATAAGATCCTTAATATCATCCTCAGGTTAGTCCCATTCAACCATCGCCTCCATTTGCAGGCTTGACCAGGTCCCAGTATCATGTGGATAAATTGACAAAGATCAGGAAGTCATGGATTGTATGTTTAAATGAGGATTCTAAATTCCTCAGCAAATTCCTGGGGGTTTTCCTTTGGGTTAGGGAAGTCTTTCACTATTTCTGTCAGTTCGGATTTTGACCAAGACATAAAGGTAATTAAAGAAGGCAGACACAGTTGATCTGAGGAACTAACTTTAGAAGGCATTTTCCTAACTTGCTTCTCATCTTCAGAGTAGAAAGGCAGCTGAGTGAAGAGGGTAGTGGAATCAGAGTAATTAGGCAGAGGAAGAAGAGAGACAGGAGGAAAAGAAGGAGCATTGAGAGTTGAGTGAGTCAATGTACAATTTTTTATCATCACTGATTAAGTGCTTAAGCTTTTAATTTGCCTTTTGTAAAGAGTCTTTAAGAAAGGCAAGTTTTGATTTGCTTAGTCTTTTAGAAGCTTCTGCATGCCTATTAAAAACATATCTCATTTTTTTTTTTGAGGCATTTAAGATCACTTCTCTTTCAATGTAGCTTATAGATGAATAACTGTTTAGGTTAAAATTTCTTCACTGTGACCAGTGTAATCCTAAGTTGTCTTTAGTAAAGTTTACACATTTATTTAGAAAAACACAGGTTCTGGGTCCATAATTTTTATACATGAACGTAGCTAGAGTCCCAGATGGAGAGGTTCCAGACTACCTGGATACAGATGAACTCATGATTCTTTGTCTTCCCTAAACCCTACCTTCTTAAGACCTTCTGTTGGACCCAGTCCAGTTTCTGCTGGATCCAGACACAGAGAGAAAGCGGTGAGTAAAACCGGCTCAGCTGGTAACTACATCTGGCTACTCATTGTCCCAGGAACCATTATCAGGGCTTCTTTGGGTCCCTCTTCTGACAACAGAAGTATTAAAAAATAAACTTAGGCACATAAAAATCTTAGAGTTTTCTTTTGAGCAGATATCAATTTAAGAATCGGGCAGGCTCCAAATCACAAGTCTTTTGGGGCTCACGCAAAGAGGCACGAGGAAAAGGCTTTTATAGGGTGAAAATGGAAGAAAGGCAAATTAAACATCTAATTGGTTAAGGTGGAGTATAAGCCTTATTCGAATCATTCCATTCCCTTGTTAGAGGTTAGTTGGTGGTTTCTGATTGGTTAAAGTTTTCTTTTACCATTCAAACCGAGTTGGGTTTTAGTTTGCTTATGTAGAAACCGAGTGCACTGAAGCTCCCGCAGTCTAATGGCCTCTCATTTAATTATTTTAACAAGAGAAATATTCTGTGTTCATATAATAGAGAATTTAACGTTAAGATGTCAATATTTACAACTTGACCTATAGATTAAATATAATCCCAGTCAAACTTTTAGCAAAATATGTTGTTGACATTTCCATACTGATTCAAAAGACCTAGGATCGTCAATACAATACCGGAAAGAACAAGGTTGGTGGATGATAGGGTTTCTGTCCCCATCTAAATCTCATCTTGGGTTCTTGCTCCCATAATCCCCATGAGTCATGGGAGGGACATGGTGAGAAGTAAATGAATCATGAGGTGTTTCTTTTCTGTGCTTTTCTCATGAAAATGAGTAAGTCTCACAAGATCTGATGGTTTTATAAAGGTCAGTTCCCCTGCACACGCTGTCTTTCCTGTCACCATGTAAGACATACCTTGCTCCTCCTTTGCCTTGAGTCATGATGGTGAGACCTCCCCAACTGTGTGGAACTGTAAGTCCATTAAACCTCTTTTTCTTCATAAATTACCCCATCTCGGATATTTATTTATAGCAATGTGAAAATGGGTTAATACAGTGAACTTACACTACCTTATATCAAGACTCACTAAAAAACTGCAATGATGAAGGCAGTGTGGGAGTGGTGAAGCAATAAATAAATAGATCAAACAGAGAAACAGAACAGAATGGATAGCTCAGAAAAGATCAAAGCAACTCCTCTCTATCAAAGAAGCAAAGGTAATATAATGGAGGAAGAATAGTCTTCTCAACAAATGGTGCTTGAACAATTAGATATCCCTATGCAAAAGAGAAAGAGAAGGAGAGGTAGAGAGGAGAAGAGGAGGCAATGAAGTGGGGGAAAAGAGGGAGGGAGGGAGAGAGAGAGAGAGAGAGAGAGAGAGAGAGAGATGGCCTACGATGAGGGAGTGATTAAACAAACTGTGGTTCATCCGTATCCTGGAATACTGCCCAACAATAAGAAGGAAAGAGCTATTGATAAATGCAACAACCTGGATGAATCCCCAGAAAGTTATGCTGACTGAAAAAAGCCAGTCTAATAAGGATATATACATTCTATTTATATGGCATTCCTAAAAGGACAAAATTGTAGAAATGGAGAATAAATCACTTATACAGGGGTTAAGACGGAGGTGGAGGTGTGAGGGAAGAGAGAGTGGCTCTGAAAGGGTAACATGAGAAGTCCTCCTGATAATGGAAATGTTATGCATCAGTGTCAATAACCTGGTTGTGATATTGCACTATGGTTTTACAAAGATGTTACTATTGAGGAAAATAGAGTAAAAGATCTGGGTATCTCTCTGCATTATTATTATTATTTTTGGAACTGTAGAGGAATCTACAATTACCTCAAACTAGAAAGTGTAACTAAAACATCCTTTTCGTGAAAGGGTTATTGATTCTAATAGAATTAAATCTATCGACTTTGAAAAATTAAAGGGGAGGTAAGGCAAGATTTCTGAGCCAGCAGGAAACCAAAACTAACTCTTGAGCACTGGAAACATGATAGGAAATTCTTACTTAAACTAAGTAATTGTCTCAGTCCATTCATGCTGCTATAATAAAATATCTTATGCTGGGTGATTTATAAACAATAGAAATTTATTACTTACAGTTTTAGGGGCTGGAAGACCTCAAAATATTTACTATATCCTGAGGACCCAGTTTGTGCTTTCAAGATAGCACCTTGTTGCTCAGCCTTCACATGGCAGAAGAGACAAACGCTGTGTCCTCCCATGGTGGAAGGAGCAAGGCAGTTTCTTTCAACCTCTTTCATAAGGGTGCTAATTCCATTCATGAGGGCAGGGCCCTTGAGGCTTAATCACCTCCTCAAAGGCCTCATCTGTTAATCACCAGAGTGGGGATTAGGCTTCAGCATTAATTTTGGAAGAACACATTCCCACCATAACAGTAATTTTGAGGCTTAGAATCAGAAGGTAAACTGTCAGCCAGTTCCTAGGAAAATCGTAGGCAGTGATTTGGGGAAGAGGGTCTAAATCACTGGAGTTACTGAGACTCATAGAGGTAATTATGACTCCCTTGCCTGTCAGCAAATTTTATCTCAGACTTACGTGTAGAGAACAAGTCTATAGAAAATATTTAACTAGCCCCAATTAAAGACATGGGGTCATGATGATTAATTTAGACAGGTGTGTGTGTGACACATAAAAGTCTTTGATAAATGGACCGCCTATCCATCAATTTGTCGTTCATGTAGCTATTCATGTAAATGTATGCTCATTTATGTGGGCATATGGCATGATGGTAAAAATTTTTAAAAAGTGTTCTCTTGAGATAGTTTGATGAGAATGATGGTTTCCAGTTTCAAGGACAAAAAACCAAACACCACATGTTCTCACTCATAGGTGGGAATTGAACAATGAGAACACTTGGACACAGGAAGGGGAACATCACACACCGGGGCCTGTTGTGGGGTGGGGGGAGGGGGGAGGGATAGCATTAGGAGATATACCTAATGTAAATGATGAGTTAATGGGTGCAGCACACCAACATGGCACATGTGTACATATGTAACAAACCTGCACATTGTGCACATGTACCCTAGAACTTAAAGTATAATAAAAAGAAAAAGAAAAAAAGAATAAAATTTTGTTTTGTATTAAAAAAAAGTGTGCTCATTTCTCTACCTATTCATCTTCTTTCCACCTCCCTCTCTCTTTTCTTTATTTTCTTTTGTTTACTTCTTTCATGTCAATAGGTTAGTAAGCGCCAACTTACTAGACTGAGCACAAGCTAGAGATTTGTTGATTTCTAGTCTCTTCTAGTCCTCTTTTAAGAAAAATATCAGATGGCTTTGGGACAATTTATCTACTCCAGAATGATAGAAAAATAAACCGGGATGGAGGGAGCATCAAGGTCAGGCAGTGTTGTTCTCCTTTCTAAATGAAACACTTGACAAACTGAGCAAAGACAGTCATTTATTTTTATTAAAGTGTCTGCCTACAGCAGAGGCAAGAGTAAAAAGAAGCTAGGTTATGTATGCTTCTCTGGAAACCTAAATCTTCTGCATTAATCTATAATGCTCCCACATGGCTGGATGGTCCGACAGCATTTCAGAGACTTCTGGCAGAGAGCAATAAGTTCTTCATTTTTCCCGCAATTGTTCTTGCATGTCCCTTTAAGTTTGTTGCATTTCTCATCAAAAAATGCATTCTTGGCTACACGAGGGAAGGAGCCATTTGGATTAATTCCCTTTTCAGACATGTATGTTTACCAGATACAGTTGTATGACTACTTGGTGAAGATTTTTTCACAAGCTGTCATAGTGCCATATCCTACCGGTAAATGAGATGGTAGGGGACCTGATTTTTATCTGATATTTCAGTCTCATAGTCACACAGGGTGAAATACCGGAAAGAATACATTTGTCTTCCAGCATTTGAGACCAAGCTGTGTAGGAGCTTTGGGAAACGTCCCTAAGCTATGGTTCTTTAATCGAAATCTGTTGGGGATAATTATCAACTTGTTCCCATAAACACTCCCAGAGGCTGCTAATTTTCCTAGTGCACTCTCAGAGGCTGCTACTTGGTGAGAGTAGAGCAAGAGCTGAGACTGAGGAGATAGCTCCAGACCAGAGCAAAGGAAGGGATAAAGATATAAAAAGAGAATGAGTTTACTGTGGTAGATAGAAACTTGCTTGGAAGGCTCAGCCTGATTTCTCCTCCATATTCACCAAAGCAACGACTGCGGAAAACTTGTGCTTTAGAGAAGGAGGGTGCAGCATGTTGGGAATGTTTTTCTAAGATTTTCTCAGTTCATTTTGCGGAGAATTCCAGTTCCCACCTTAGGGCTTTATCAGTAGCAGTCCCAAGAGCAGCCTGCTTCAAGTTAAGGACAGACAGCACGTCTTATCAGGATCAACATTTTAGAGCTGCCCAATTTGTGTATATATAATGAAGGCATCAGATGTACAGAGATTGCATTTAATGTCTATACTATAATGTATATACATTTAATGTCAACATATAAAGGTGCCTAATTCAAATCTACATAAAACTTACAGCCAGGTGGATTAGTGCCAGCATATGCACTAATGATTATCCAGGATCAGCACATCAGTTCATAAGTGAAAATACTCCACTATTTCAAAGCTCGATGAACTCTGGCTCTCACTGGCAGGGGTCTATGTTCTCTCTGCCCTACTGTAAGGCAGATACTAATATAATACTATACTATAGACTATAGCGTGGTATTCAGATAAAATCTTTTTGGTTTAGTATAGTATCATAGTATAGCTTAGTATATACTATAAAAATACTAGTATTATAGTATATACTGGTATAATAGTGTATACTATAGTATTATACTAGTATATATACTATACTATATACTAGTGTGTTATAGTAGTATATATACTATATACCAGTGTATTATACTAGTATACTATACTATATACTAGTGTATTATACTAGTATGTACACTATACTATGTACTAGTATATAATACTACTAGTAATAATATAGTATATATACTATATTATCATACCAGTATATATACTATACTATATACTAGAGTATTATACTAGTATATATACTATATACTAGAGTATTATAATAGTATATACACTATACTATATATTAGTGTATTATACTAGTATATACACTATACTATATACTAGTGTATTATACTAGTATATACACTATACTATATACTAGTGTATTATACTAGTATATACACTATACTATATGCTAGAGTATTATACTAGTATATACACTATACTGTATACTAGTGTATATATTAGTATATACACTATACTATATACTAGTGTATTATACTAGTATATACACTATACTATATACTTGTGTATTATACTAGTATATACACTATACTATATACTAGAGTATTATACTAGTATGTATACTATGCTATATACTAGAGTATTATACTAGTATGTATACTATACTATATACTAGAGTATTATACTAGTATATATACTATATTACATACTAGTATATAATACTACTAGTAATAATATACTAGTATAATATAGTATCTGGCCAGGTGCAGTGTCTCACACCTATAATCCCAGCACTTTGGGAGGCTGAGGAGGGTGGATCACGAGGTCAGGAGTTCGAGACCAGGCTGACCAACACGGTGAAACCCCGTCTCTACTAAAAATACAAAAAATTAGCCAGGCAAGGTGGCACATGCCTGTAATCCCAGCTACTCAGGAGGCTGAGGCAGGAGAATCGCATGAACCCCGGTGGCAGAGGTTGCAGTGAGCTGAGATTGTGAAACTGCACTCCAGCCCGGGGAACAGAGTGAGACTCTATCTCAAAAAAAAAAAAAAAATATGTATATATATATATATAATATATACTAGTACAATACTATATAGTATATAATACTAGTACAATACCATACTGTAACATCAGTAAATAATTATAGTATATACTATGCTATACTATAATACTATACTAAACCAAAAAGATTTTCTCTAATACTATTGTATTATAGTATTATACTCTAGTATATCTAATAGGTAATTATTAGATTATCTAATAATTATATAACAAGCATTATGTAATTATAGATAAGTATCTGTAATTACATAATAATTATAGTAACTAATTATACTTTTATAATTATAGTATTATCTAACAGATAATTTTATAGTATATAACATCTTTTTTTTGACTTATTATATAATAAGTATGAGTGATCTGAAAAAGATACCTCTGGCCAGTTTCGAACGTGCATATCAAAACCAGTGGCCTGAATACGGCATAGGTCACTGTGGGTCCTAGATCCTCATGTTTTGACACAGAATCTACTCTCACAGGCTTGTCACAAAACAGACCAGAGCTATGAGCAGCTGATGTGAAAAGTTGAGCATCATACCTGGGATCGTATATCACTGGTATCTGGCAGAAATTGGGAGTTACTGTGGGCTCTGAGAATCCCTTTCTTCAGCTCTCTGGAGGCTCACATGAGCCTGGTCTTAAGCCTTAATTTTGAAGAGGATACAATTGGAGCCACTGGAGATTCCCAGGAGCAGGAGAAAATGAAGAGAGTTTTGATATGGGAAGGGTGTCTTTAATGCCTCTTACTGTGGCAAGACAGTTGGGCTCCTACCCTGGCTTTGTTTTGGTTATCTATAAGACTCTGAGAAGCACTGAGCCCATCTGAGGCACAATTTCTGCATCTGTAATAAAATTTGTAAAATGGACCTTCAAACCCAAAAAGATTTTCTCTAACTTCCATTAAATTAGGGGTAAGACAGAGTTTTCCGTAAAGGCGCTGGCACTGGAAGACTAGATGCATTTTATGTGAAGCTCTCATCACAGTACTTGGCTTGATGATATGTGATCAAGAAATGGCAGTCCAAGTTACGCTGCTTTACCTGTTGCCATGACTGGCATGAGTGCATAGGTGTCTCTAAGCTCAGATCCTTACCTGTCCCTTCTCCTTACCTGTCTCAATCTCTACCATAACTACATTTTAAAAGGTTCATAGACTGCTATCCTTGTTTTTAATTTTTTCTCAATTTTTGTTTTTGTTAGTGAGCATGAGATGGGATGCCAAAAGGCATCTTTCCTGGCCTTCTTTTATTCTTTCAAACCTGTGACAGCCCCTCCTAGATAACAATGTAAAATGCAAAGGAATTACAGAAGAGGCGTTGGGGAATATCACCTCTTGTAGTAGATGGGTTGATCACGCCCAGGCATTCACTGAAGGGGACCCTGTCTGTGGGACACCACCTCCGATCACCTTCCCTGTAAAGATGCCCATTTTACCTGGGGTCAGAAAGAAGAGCACGGCAAAGAGAAAGAGGAAAGTCCTCATGACTGGGTGGGTCTTGAGAGATCAGCACCGTGTCCATGAGGAAAGAGCCGCAAACACCCACATTTATACATTTCTCCAGACCAAGTAACATCTTGATCAGTGAGGCTTAGCAGAAACGAGAGGATTTCCATGCTCTGCTGCACAGAGCCCACCCAACCTCAGTGGGTGTCACTCAGTCTACAGCTCATCATATTTCTGATTCTGGAAAGTTTTGAAGAAGGAAAGTGGGGATGAAGGGAGGACAGAGTAGGGCAGACACAGAAAAAATAAAAAAATCTGGAGTCCAGTAGTTTGGTTTCTAATCCTGGCTGTGTTCCTGAACAGCTTTGGTTTACTCATATGTAAAATGGGAGTAATTATACAATATCTCAATGCTTCAGTTAAGAGCTGAGGAACCGTAGTGAGGTGGAATCTGAATTCCAGATTCAGTCTTTTTGAGCTTTGTAAACTTGGCAAAGGGCTTGACCTAAGCATATATTTGTTAAAAAATGTGAATCTTGCTGTATGCTGCACGCTTTTCGTGCTTGGTCCTGCCATGCTGCTCACCTGTACCATGGCACTGTTGGCGCAGCAAGGAGCTGGTAACCATCATGCCTTGCCCTAGACACCTGGGCTCAAGCAATCTACCTGCCTTAGGCTCCCAAAAGCTACGATAATAGACATAAGCCACCCATCTGGGCCAATATTCATGTCCTTAATGAATTTAAAATATGCAGTAATTATGGCTTTGGTGCGTGAGGTGATATCTTACAGGAAAGGGGACTCAGAGCTAACTTGACAAAATGATTGCTACCCCTCCTTTTCTCCCTGTGATACTTGTAGAGAATAAAAATGAAAGCTAGAAAAGTGAGAGTCCACATTTATTGAGTTCTTACATGGTACCAGGCCTCCTTCCAAGCATTCCACATATTCAAAACACTTTTGCATTATAATCATACTAGATTCTTACAACACCTTTAGAGGCAGGCAGAATTTGCAAGTGGGTTCTTATTTTCTCCCAGAAAACAGAAGCTGGAAGAGATGAAAGGGGTCACTATCTTCTGGCCCCTGCATTAGTATGGTGGAAACTCACATGGCCCCTGCTCTTTCAACCTCTAGCCTGGTGTTCTTTCCACTACACCAGTTAGACTCCCCAAAATAAAAGGCTTTCTGGATGCCAAGGGTTATTATCCATGATATCATCCCTTTATCCTGGGAAATGGAGCATATAATTGTGTTTTATTGATTCACTTCACGGATCAAGAGCATCTCCCCATTACTTTTAAATAAAAATGAGCCTCTCATTTGGGTCTTCTCAAGGAAATCCCAATCTCTATTCCGAAGAGTCTTCCCTAAAAGATGGCCCTGATCAGGAAGACATTTTATTTTCTATTTGCTATGTTCTTCATTTTGGTTCAACTGCCATCAGGTAAGTAAAAATGGATGGGATTTTGATTGGGCAGATTATAAAGCCTGTTGATTCTTCCATGTTTGACCTTAATGGTCAAGCTCTCATGGCACCTGTCATGGGAATTTCTTAGACCTACAGTGACATTTACTAAGAGCAAACAGCATATAGTGTATTTTTTTTTTTTTGTAATTTGTTTTTGCTGGTTACCTGGAATGCTGGCCTTGAGAAACAGAATAAAGATTGCAACTCTGTGATCTACTGTCTCCTGTTATGCTATGTCACATGTGAAGTTGGGAGTGTTTTATACAGTGTTAATTCCTGTGTTGATTTTAATTTTCAAAATGTATTTTGTTTTGAATTTAGGGTGCCAGGCAGGACTTGATTTTTCCCAACCATTTCCATCAGGTAAGTTAAATCTCTTGTATATAATTATTTTTTCTCTTAGGAGCTCTGGCGCTGTTAGCTCTCTCTGATGTCTGGAGGCAAAGAGGGGACAGAGATAGTGGCAGAAATAGAATTGTCTGAAAAATCAGTTCACTAACTTATCTCCTTCTCTTTCTCTTGTTCCAAGTATAATATTTGGATATTTTTGATTTCACAGAAAAATATCTTTGTGACTGGACTGTAATTTGGCCATAGAGATTTGGACTCAGTGGCTTTTCCCATTAGCTGTTGGTGCTCACTAAACCAAGTTCTTAGATTTATTCTTGTACCAGCCAATTAGCACTGCTCTGTGAACACGCCTGCCCATCTCTTGCAAGCTCTGCTGCTAAGTCTGGTAATAATATATGTCACAAATGCATGAGGTTAGTTGAAGGAAGCTCAAATTAAAGAGTGAGGTTGCCTCAGTGAAAACTCAGCACCATTGCAGAAAAGCTATTCATAACGAATAGCCCCCAGATCTTTTCTTTTTCTTTGAAGTCATCTTATACAGAAAGAAAGGACATTGTAAACAAAACTAAAAGAAATATTGTAGACAAAGTTGAAATGGTTTTAGACAGAATTTCAAAGTGAGAAATATGAAGGTTGCTACTAGTCCTTGAGTGTTTGCTCTGTACCAGGCATCCTGCTAAAAACTTTACATGGACTTTGTCATGTAATCCTCAAAACAGTCCTATGTGGTAGGTATTATTATAATGAAAATATTTACATATAATATTCCATTTGATCCCTAAACTGATTTAAAAAATGTAGTCAGGTGCTTCTAGAATGGCCACTGGACAAATGAGAATATGGACCTTAACCTGCCGGCTACTAGGCCCAAACTAGAGTTGATCTTCAAGGATCTTTAAAAAACCACAATATACCCCTCCCATTTTTTGTCTAGTAAACTTCACAGTCATATCAGGTATGTATTTTTATAGTTCTGTAATATGTATGTCTCTTTGTCTGTCTGTGGTTTACTTTTGATCCCTGCCAGATTATAAACACTTGGAGAGTAGGAATTGCGATGATCTGTTGCATAAAAATTAACTCTCCCCAACTCCCTACTGCAAAAAGCAGAAACTATTTTTGAAAAATCTGGGCTGATTCTTGAAAATATTCTTTGTAATCATACGTACGAACTGTCCCTTTTTTTTTGGTGGTCTTTGACATGTTCCCCATTTCTAGACATTTCCTGGAAAGCTCCCTCAGCAGCTCTTTCTTGGCACAGGTGAGTTTGCTGTCTGTGAGTCGTGCAAGCTTGGTCGGGGAAAATGCAGGAAGGAGTGCTTGGAGAATGAGAAGCCCGATGGAAATTGCAGGCTGAACTTTCTCTGCTGCAGACAGAGGATCTGACAAACCAGACCAGCACACTTCTGGCCTTAGAAGCAGACCTGGATATTCAAAGAAGTTCAAGAGAAGTTATGTGGCTTATCCAAATCACACAGTGAGTGAGTCTCAGAATCATTCTCATTTCTTTCTCCCTTTGTTACGTTTTATTGCTTATTTTTTAAAGATGACTTTTTTTCTTTTTTTTTTTTTTTGAGAAGGAGTCTCACTCTGTCGCCCAGGCTGGAGTGCAGTGGCTCGATCTTGGCTCACTGCAACCTCCACCTCCCGGGTTCAAGCAATTCTCCTGCTTCAGCCTCCCAAGTAGCTGGGACTACAGGCGCATACCGCCATGCCTGGCTAATTTTTGTATTTTTACTAGAGATGAGGTTTCACCATGTTGGCAAGGCTGGTCTCGATCTCCTGACCTCAGGTGATCTGCTCGCCTTGGCCTCCAAAAGTGCTGGGATTATAGGCATGAGCCACCATGCTGGGCGAGATGACCTTTAAAAAACATCAAGACATGAGTGTGTACCTAGTATCTGCTCAATCAGATACCACTACTATGTATATGTAGAGTACCTTACAATTTATGAAGTATTTTCCATACTTCTCTCATATGACTCATGATTACCTTATGAGGTAGGTTTTATTACTGCCATTTACATTTGAAAATATTGAGGCTCAAGAGGCTGTTAATTCTTCAGAGCCATAGCTAGGATCCAGTAACTGCTGTGCACATTGCTGTCATGTTTTATGTATCCATCTATATGTACTAACTATGTTAATGGAATAATAATTCTATCAAATATAATACATTATTTTTATATTCACATTATTTCTTGGTTTGTCTAAATATTGTCATTCATTGATTCTAGTACTTATGGTGTATTTACCTGTGAAAGAAAATGATTAGAGATTAACTTAAAATGTTCAACACAGAATATGCATAAATGGTTGACTGTCTAATTTTGCCTTGTGAAATAAAATCCAGCTTCACAAAATAAAGGCCAAAATTACCAGCCCTATGACCAGTGACTTGAACTTGGTTACTTAGTTTTAACGTATGAGATTAAACAATGTTTTGTTTAACATTTGGGCCTATTATTTGTCTCTTTGTGCTCAAATCTGTTCCTTGTTTTTTTCTGCTTTGCTGAGTAAAATGGGAACTATTAGTTGCAAACTACATTTTCCAGGCTTCCTGACTTCTGGCTAGTTTTGGTCAATGTGTCTCCTAGGAGAATGGGAGATTGAAGAAGGAAGGACAATGTGAATTTCTCCCCGACTCCCTCTCTTTTCCAGCAGTGGCTTTTCATGCTCAGCAAGGCCGCTGCTTTTCTGTCTTCTGCACTCACCTGGCAGTCCCACCGCAAGTTTAGCTTCTGCCAGCCAGTGCTGCTCCCAGGCTCACACAAATCCTTCCATTTTTCCTCAAACCTTAGGGCAGTGGGAGATTTCTGCTGTGACTATCAGTAGGGTTGCCTCATTGCTCCCGCTTTGCATTGTCATCTTTTCCAACACTTTATCTGTACATATTAAATTCTTTCTATAGAACTATCCATTGGGGGAACCCTTTTAATGCTTGATTGGTTCAATTTTTAGATTCACTCTATTTACATATGATCCACTGTTTTCCAAAAGAGATTTGAAACACAGCCCTCAAGAAGCCTAGAGTGTTTCCTTCATTTACACAGGAATTACCCCAGGGAAGTGGGAAGTGGGGTATTTGGTCTTAAGAGTCCAGTTCACAGTAATTTTCTGCTGGCAGATGGTCTTCCTCCCCAGGTCTCCACAGTGCAAATGCAGCTGCTAGCTTACAGAACACCATGAAACTGGAATACTACTTACTCATTCCAAATACTGCATTGCTTTATCTTAAAAAAATGCTCTGGAACCTAGTTGAAGTTTCTTTTAATGAAAGATTCATGTGAGTGTCTCAGAGTCATACAAAGTGGTAGACCAGTAGCTGTGCCCTGATATTACCTCACTAATGACCTCATGTAGCATCCAGATGGCAGCTGCAGAGGACACCTCCCACAGGTGCTCACCTAGTCACAAATTGTTCCCTTTCATGGCAGGCCAAGTCTCACTAACGCAAGACTCCATAACAACTGCTTTAGTACCCACTGAGGGGTTAAGTTAAATATTAAAAGCTTAAAAAGCCAGTGCCCTGATATAAAGGCTTGAATGTAACAAAAGCCCACTAAGAGTTTTGCTTAGGCCTTTCCTGGGCCTTAAAGCACGACAAACTAATGAAGGAGTTCTTAACAGGACCCGTTTAGGATTAAACAAGTTTATAGGAGGTCTGAAGAAACTCCCCAAATATCAGTGATTTAGCAGGAGACAAGGTGAGGGTAATAACCCCAGCACCTGGACCCATTTAGATTAAGTACATTTACTGAGGCTCCAGAGGAAGGTCTTCGGGACTCAGACCTTAGTTATAGATTAAAAGAAGTTAATAACTTATGTCTTTAGATGAATGCACACTTACACATAAACATATAGCTTGGAAGGTATATAAGCTCTGGAAAACTTTGTAATTTTAAGTTGGTCTGGCGATAATTTCCAGGACTTCTCCCTATAACTGGTTGCAGAAATAAAAACTCTCTTCCTCCCGAGTTTATTTGCATCTTGTTATTGGGCTGTGAGAAATAGCAGCCCAACTCTCCGTTTGGTCCAGGAACACTTTCTTTACACTTTAGATTCATGGAAACAAAGAGACTGAAAGTAAAAGGATGGAAAGAGATTTGCCATACAAACAATAACCAAAAGAGAGCTGTAGTGGCTATACCAATAGTGTACAAAACAAACTTTAAGACAAAATTGGTACTAAAGATGAAGAAGGGCATTTTGTAATGTTAGCAAGTTAATCTATCACGATAATATAACAAGTATAAAAACATGCACCTAACAACAGAGTGCCAAAATACATGAAGAGAAAATTGACAGAATTGAAGGGAGAAATAGAGAAGTCAACAGTAATAGCAGGAGACTTTAATATACCACTTTTAATAATAGACAAAACAACTAGAAAAAAGATTAGCAAGGAAATACAAAATTTGAATAGCACTGTAACACAATGACCTCAAAGCGTGGAACACTGCACCAATTACAGCAAAATACACATTCTTCTTCTGTTCACATGAAATATTCTTTAGAATAGACTGTATGTTAGATTTAAATACAAGCTCCTCAATACATTTAAAAGGATAGGAATCATACAAAGTATGTTCTCTGAACAAAATGGGATAATAGAAAGAAATTTGGGAAAGTCACAACTATGTGGAAATTAAACAGCATAAATGTGAATAAATGATGGGTCAAAGCAGAAAACATAAGGGAATGTAGAAAATATTTTAAAGGGAGCCCCCAAACACTTTAAAATATACAACACAACAGCAACTTACCAAAACTGTGAGATGCAGCTAAAACAATGCTTACAGGAAAATGTATGGTTGTAAATGCCTGTATTTATAAAGAAGATAGATTTAAAATCAGTAAATTATCTTCCATCTCAAGAAAATTAAGGAAGAGCCAACTAAACCCAAAGCAAGCACAAGGAAGAAAATAATAAATATTAGCACGGAAATAAATGAAATAGAGACTAAGAAAACAATAGAATAAATCAACACAACAAAAATTTATTTTTTGAAATGATCAACAAAATTGGCAAGCCTCTAACTAGACTGACTAAGAAAAAAAGAGAATACTCATATTACTAAAATCATGAGTGAAAGAGAAGTTTTACAAAAGATCTTACAAAAGTATTTTTTAATATTATTAAGGAATACTATAAACAATTTTATGGCAACAATTTTGATAATCTAGATGAATAAATGCCTAGAAATGCATACATATCAAACCTAATTCAAGAAGAAATAGAAAGTCTAAAATGGACCTATAACAAATAAAGTGCATGAATTGACAGTAATAACACTAACAAAAATCCCACATAGTAAAACCCAGGGCCAAATGGCTCCACTGGAACATTGTAAAGATGTTACTCTATTTTATTTTGCCTCGATTTTTTTTTCAGACAGGGTCTCACTCTGAAGCTCAGGCTGCAGTGCAGTGGTATGATCTCGGCTCACCCCATCCTCTGCCTCCGGGGCTCAAGTGATCCTCCCACCTCAGCCTCCTGAGTGGCTGGGACCACAGGTGCCTGCCACCATGTCCAGTTAATTTTCGTATGTTTTGTAGAGATAGGGGTCTCATTATGTTGCCCAGGCTAGTTTCGAACTAAACTCCTGGCTCAAGTGATCTGCCCACCTTGGCCTCCCAAAGTGCTGGGATTACAGGCGTGAACCGCCACACCTGTCCTGGCTTGCATATTTTTTGATGAGAAGTTTGCTGCAGTTATTCTGTCATCTTTCTACAGGCAGGAGGCATGTATGCCTTCTCTGTTGACAAAGGTAGAGGATGTTCTTTGTTTTTCTTTTTTAATGTGCTCCCTTCTCCTCGTTCTCCTAGCTTTAATATTTTGTTTTGCATTTTTTTAGATTGTTCATTCACCAGTGCCGTACAAACAACTGTTGTTCTTCCCTCAGTTTCTTAATTAAGAAATTAAGACTTTCTTTTCCATAAAAGAGAAAGATTCTTGCAAGCTTTTGTTCTTTCTCACAGTGGCTACTGTTCCCCTCAGCCGACTTACATCATGAAATACTCTAATCTTTTTTGTAAGCACCTGCTGAGTCTATGGAGAAGACATTAGAAGTTGCTGTGAACTTCTCTTTTGTCTGTGACCCCAGACATTTATATTGTTTCTCTAGTTTATGCTTGCTCTTAGCAATTCTCTACAGACTTTACCTGAAATCTTTTAAATCATATTCTGGGGGTAATCTGCTTCAGGTAAGCAAGCACTCATGGTCTTTATTTTTTGGAGGTTCCTGTCTTTTCTTATATTTCTAGGTAGGTGGCTGATTTGTGACCTTAGCTTTCCAATGAGTTAAAGAAACTGAATATTTGCAGTCTGCCGTGTGTTTTGCTGTGTACTTGTTTCATGTGGGATGATTTTCTTTACGTATTTCTACATCTTAAGCAGAAGCCATTCTTCATTTAATAACACACTTACTTTCTTTAAGACATACAGAAATACTTATATTTTCTGCTAATTCTTGTGCCAATTTTGGTAAGTTAAATTTTTGAGAGAATTCTTTTATTTTATGTAAGTTGTGAAATGTTTTGGCATATACCTGTTGACAACATTTTTATATTAGTTTAATGTTTCTTGGATCTGTAGTGATAACTTCTTTTTCACTTATTCTGCATACTTGGGCTTACATTGTTCCCTTTTCTAAGGTTCTTAGAGCATAATTTTAAGTCATAGATTTAAACATTTCTTCTTTTCTACAATAAGTATTTGGATACAAATTTCTTTCGAAGTCATTGTTTTGTTGTGCTCCACAAAATTCGATATACAGAAATGCTTTCCAATTATTCTCATTATTTATTCTTTGATACAAACACAATCTAGAATGATGTTGCTTTATCTCCACATATTTGAAAATATCCTAAATAGCTTATTTTATAGATTGCCAATTTAATCCCCTTGTGGTGAGAAATACACTCTGAAGTATTTAAATGTGCTTAAACACATCAATATTTGTTTTATGGCCTAGCATATGGTTCATTTTTATGAATGTATCATATGTACTTGAAAAAAATGTGTATTTTGCAGTTGTCTTATGATGTGTTCTATAAATATCAATGCAGTCAGTGGAATGGTGGTATTGTTCAGATCATGCATGACTTTGCTAATTTTTCCCTGTGTTCTATCAGTTGCTGAGAGAGTGGTGTAAAAATTTTCTACTATGAATATAGAAGTGTCTATTTCTCCCTTTAATTAAATCAAATAATATAAAAACATGTTAATGGTTTTTATGTATTTTCAATGGATTAACCCTTTTCTCCTTAAGCAACAGCACTCCATGCAATACAGCGAGACCCTGTCAAAAAAAAAAAAAAAAAAAACCTGCACACGTACTCCTGAATTTAAAATTAAAGGTTTTTGTGTGTTTGTTTTAATTATTATTTTAAGAATAGGTTTTATGTAAAATCATGTACTAGGAAAAGCGTGGTGGCTATATATCTTATAGACATGGTAATACTTGAGATAAGACTTGAAGGAAAAATGAGAGAAGTCTAAGCAGAGACACAGAATAGAATATTCCAGGCAGAAAGGCAGGGTTCTCTGCGTTTGTCTCCCACAAATGTGGTTTAGTTAAAATCTGATCCATCAGCCCACACATTAATCAGTGGAGCATGGAAAATAGTATGTTCCCAATGAACATTACAAACCGAGGATGACTTCCAGTCCCTTCAGGGCAGTAGAACATATTTTAATCAATGCCCCTTGATAAAAGAGCTTGATTCCAGCTACTGCACTTCCTTCATCAGCTCTCCACTGATGCCTGGAGCCATGAAAATATTTGTCTTTATTTTGGCTGCTCTCATTCTTCTTGCTCAAATTTTCCAAGGTAAGAGGGAAATTCTTCTAGAAGTAGAGATGACAGTCTGCTCAGGATCTGTCTTTTGAGATGAAAGCTCAACTTTTACAAAGTTGAAGGTTCCAAGGCAAACCAGTCACTGAAAATCTTTTCCTGAGCTCCGACACAAAACAATGGGACCACATTGACCGGGACCATCTCCATCCATAATAGTTTCTAGTCAACTTCCCTAACAGCTCTGCCAAGGAATTCAGACATCTTTGTACTTTTAGATCTCTTTCCTCCTTTGTAATCTGCAACGCAGGTTCAGCATATTCTTTTTTTTTTTTTTTTTTTTTTTTGAGACGGAGTCTCGCGCTGTCGCCCAGGCTGGAGTGCAGTGGTGCGATCTCGGCTCACTGCAAGCTCTGCCTCCCAGGTTCATGCCATTCTCCTGCCTCAGCCTCCCGAGTAGCTGGGACTACACGCACCCGCCACCACGCCTGGGTAATTTTTTTGTATTTTTAGTAGAGACGGGGTTTCACTGTGTTAGCCAGGATGGTCTTGATGTCCTGACTTCGTGATCCGCCCTCCTCGGCCTCCCAGAGCCCTGGGATTACAGGCATGAGCCACCGCGCCTGGCCAGCATATTCTAAAGTGATTTCTTTAAAATGAAAAAAAAAAAAAAAAAGAAAGAAAAGATTATCCAAGGAAATGCCAAACATATTTGTTAAGTTAGGGAAGTACAGCCTTTGTAGTCTAAATTAAACTAAAGTTATGTTACTAGATTCTTAGACAGCTAATTTTTTTTCATGTCTGAGTCGTCGGTCCAAATCTCTTATCCATACATTATTTTAGACTTTTTGGCTTTCACACACTGGTTGGAAATTATGCCATTAAAACCACTAAACTAACATCTTGCTTACTATTCTCTTAAGTCTTTGCGTCTTTGAGATTCTCTTTGCTTCATACAACCACGACTCTGTTCCTAAGAAATGTTTATGTCCATACCTCCTCAACTATCCTTCGTTCCTTCTGTTGTGAAGCTTTTCCTATTAGAGGTTCTCCATGCATCATGAAGCCCCCTGTCTGTTCCTTCATGGCTCCTGAATTTCTACATTCCTTTATTACACATTCTGTCCTCAGTAGTCCTAGAAAACCAATAGATATTGAATGTGTGCTAACCACTTGTAAGAAATTGTTCTGTCCACTATGATAAAGGTAGGTAAAACGAAGAGGTAAAAATATAAAGCATGGACATTGACCTTAATTTGCTTGAAGTTATTAGTCTATTCCTTCTGTGTTGTTCGAAAATAGGTTGCTTGTAGTGGTAAATAAGCTTTCAATACATTTAACATGTATAAGTAAGTATCAATGAGACAGGAAAATTCACAAATAACTTTAATATGAAACAGTTTTCACAAGTGCCATAAAAGATGCAAATTATAAAGAGAAGTCATAGATGTGGAAACTTGGTTCTAACTAGGAAATGCAGAAAGGCTTCCTGGGAAGTAGTATTTGTTTTGCACATTTGGAAATAGGCAAGACTAGAACTAAAGAACAGAGCCAGGGAACAATGTCCCCATGAAAGTTTCAGTGACTCCATGAAAGTGTCAGTTGTAAAATCAGTTCCCGATTTTCTGCCCTCAGCATCTTTTTGCAGATGTCAGACAATGCTCCAGAATAGATAAACTCATTTAAAATTGTCTTCTCCATCCACTTTAATCAGTACTCCAATTTATTCAGATCAGTCTATAGATGTGGATGCCTAATAGCTCCCTGTCCACAAAACTCATCTCAGATGTATTTGAATTACAATAATAAGCATAGTTTGGGCACAAATTAGAACCACCACCATCACCATAATCACATAGAATCTCAGAGTTAGAAGTGAATTTAATGATCAATATAAAAGGTAATAAACATAGGTTATTAGGCCAAACTTATATGAGTTTGGATCTCAGTGCTAATCTTTATAAGCTGTATGCACCCTGTGTTTTACTTTCCATTCTATAAATGATAATAATAATAGCATTGTTTTGAAGATGAATAAACTTGTTATATTAATTAGAAACTAACTTGTTATAATAAAGAATCTTAATGATAGAATGACTGAAGAAAGACAAAACCTTATTTCTCTTTCATGTAAAAGTCCAAAAATAGCTAAGTTGACTAGGTGCGGGTAGAGGGTTCTTTTTCACCAAGTTATGTTGTGATTTGGGCTGAAGGTCAACCCTGCCATCCTAAACAGTTGACCATTTTATTTGGTTCCAAGGATATTCTAACAGGCAGGGTTAGAAAGTATAGAACCTGATTAAGATTACATAGAAGCAGCTCACATCATTCCACTCCTTTTTCATTTTTCCAAATTTGTTCATGTGGACATATAGAAATAGGAAGCTAGGAGCTGATGTGAATAGCTAAGTATTCATGTGTCCAGCTAAACCCAGAGGTTCTATGACTAAAAGTCTGAAGGTAAAAATGACTGCTTTGGGACAGTTTAACAATCTCTCTGTATAACTGCTTGAGCAGTGGCAGGCACATACTCTATGCTATGTTAGAGTTTACCATTGTTGGTCATTTGTTCTTCTACTTATTTTTTTGTTCTCTGCCCTGATTCAGTATTGAACACCCTATACATGTATATATATATATATGTGTGTGTGTGTGTGTGTATGTGTGTGCGTGTGTGTGTCTCAACTGATTGTCCAGTTGCCTGATAAATTTAAGTGATCTGTAGTTCACAGTATCCCAAGTTCAACTTTGGACTATTCAAAAATTTCTCCTTAATTTGAGCAGAAATCTAAGTCCCTGCAATTTCTTTCCATTAGTCTTTGCCTTAACTTGGCACTAACAAAATATATTCCACATGATAATATTTCAGATATATGGCAGCTAATATGTACTGTTTCTCCCCCAAAGTTGTTATTTCCAGGAATAAACATTACTCCTTTTGAGAAGAACTGCTACTTCTTCCACTATTGTTTCCTAAGAATGTATCTTACCAATTAAAAAAGATTCCTGTTTTGACATATTTTTTCCTCTTCAACCTAATCTCTGTTATGAATGAACACACATTGCCTGTGTCTCTCTAAATTTGCTTGCCAGAGCTAAATACACGATTCCATTGGTGTTCTTTGCACAGTAAATTGAGAAGGACTAGCATCATGTTGTTTATCTTTCTACCTAAAACTGTGAGACTCCGAAATCATATGCCAGGGCATATGATCTACTATTGGCCTGCCTATAATGTAACAGAACAATCTTTAACTTTTGCTATAAATCAGAGACTATTTGGATACAGGGGAAAAAAAATCTGTTGGTAAGGATCGTTCATTGGAATTAGAAAGTATTTTGTCATCTTCCTTGGAAGAAACATTCTGTTTCTGTACAAGCTAGATATGATTTTGACATATGAAAATCTTTTCTGTTTTTTTCCAATTGGCTATTTAATAAGGACATTGATTATATTGTACCAGGGGTCTGAGCTCAGACATGACTGTTCAGATAACATCTGATTTTTCTAATTTCTAGGTTTATAGTCTGTGTCTCTAGGAGTTATGGTAATGAGGAAGTCTGAATTTGGCCTGGGCGATGTAATTTTATCTTACAGTTACTAATTACTAGATAACTGAAGACAAATTGCTTTCTTTACTTAGCCAGGACAGCAATTCATAGAGCACTAATTAGTAAGAGAATGGAAGGTCACTGTGAAGCCGAATGTCTTACCTTTGAAGTAAAGATTGGGGGCTGTAGAGCTGAATTAGCACCATTTTGCTGCAAAAACAGAAAGAAACATTAAAAACTAAGCACCAGCTGCAAGAAACAAAGAGGTGAAGATTCTCTGGCTGCGATATCAGTGGGATAAATCTCTCTGGACCATCTCTCTTTGATCTGCAAAGGTTGGATTATCTGAAGCCATGTCTGTCCAGTTCCCAGTGCTACAAGGAGATACCCTTCCTAGGCTGTGAACTTCTTCCAGGCAGACACTATATCTTGTTGACCTTTGCACTCTCAGTTCCTGACACAGGGCCTATTAATGATTTCTTTTACTTTATATAAAAGTGAGCCATTGAATACACAGATAAAACAGATGGAATGGAATGGTTGGACTGGCACTCAGGTGAATTGAGTTCTAAAGTCATAGCTCTGGCTTTAAACAGATGTAGGACATTGGGCCCTCTGTGCCAGGATTCTGGTATCTATAATGTGAGCAGATTGAACCTCTCAGTAAACGGTATACCTGCTAGATGCTCATTGTGGCTGCTTCAGCAGTATCACTGTCATGTACTCCTTTCTCTCTTTTATAGGTAGGAACTGTTTAGATTCTTGTTCATTTACCTGTTCGATCTAAAACATCAAGTTTTAGAATGAAATGCACCCATATCAAAATTCAAGTTGGCTGTAGCTTGAGCAACATCTTCATTCTGGCCATTTGCAGTGAGAATTGATCAAATCATGGGTTTCTGAAGCAGTAAGTTCCCCAAAGGTCATCGAATTCAGTGCCCTTATTACAAAGGAGGAGAGTGAGACTGAAGAAGATTATACAGTTACTGACTTAGTCACATTTATATTCCAACTTCGGGCTTTCTGGACTTGTCTGCTTAGCATGTCCACAAAATAGCAGGCTGGAAGATAATAGAACAACAAAAGGCAGTCCTAAAGATGGAACGTTTCTCAGCGGGTTCAGGTGAACAGTTAAATGGAGGAAGAAATTGAAACAAACTGAAAAAAAAAAAAACCATAGAAAGAAAAAAAGACACTTTCTAAGAATCTCTTTTGTAATCCTGCAAACCCTGCCCTTTCAGAGCATAACAATGGCAAACTGAGGCTTACCTTTTCCCTAATTTGCCAAAATTTGGAGTCCCAGCTTTCCAGCAGAAGAAAGCATATATCACAGACCATTTCATCGTAGAAGATTTATAGTACACCATCCCAGAACAGAAGAAGTAAAATCCCTCTGCGCTGCTCTAGAAAATGTCCTTCTCTATTCAGTTAAGCTGGCTTCCTGTAGAGATGTAAATAAAAGAGGAAAAAAAATCTGGAACAAGACAACGTGTAAAATGTTTTAAAATAAAAAATAAAATGTGTTTTGAAAGATCTTCTGGTATTGCCACTTGTCTTCATGGTGCTAATTTTCTTATTCTGAAAACTATGCTGGAGGAAAATATGTAAAGTTATCTGTTTCAATCAGAGGATTTTTCTGTTCTGCATTTTCCCTAGAAATTCCTTAAACATTGTCTCAGATAAAACTAACTGCCTTTGAGAATCTAAGTGTGTTTAGACTTTCTCGTTTCTTCATTTTTTATTTTTCCTCTTCTTTCTCTGTCAGTCAAATGACTTGAAATATAGCATACATTTCCTGTCTCCAGTGTTTTTATACCCTATTTCCTTCTCAACCTATAGAAATCTCTTAAAGCCAGGCATGGAGGCTCATGCCTGCAATTTCAGCACTTTGGGAGGCCAAGACAGGAGGATCCTTTGAGCCCAGGAGTTCGAGACCAGCCTGGGCAACATAGGGAGACCCCATCTCTACAAAAATTTAAAAATTTAGGCTGGGCACAGTGGCTCACGCCTGTAATCCCAGCACTTTGGGGGGCCGAGGTGGGCAAATCACAAGGTCGGGAGTTTGAGACCAGCTTGACCAACCTGGTGAAACCCCGTCTCTACTAAAAATACAAAAAGCAGCCAGGCGTGGTGGCATGCATCTGTAATCCCAGCTCCTTGGGAGTCTGAGACAGGGGAATCGCTTGAACCCGGGAGGCAGAGGTTGCAGTGAGCCAAGATCATGCCATTGCACTCCAGCCTGGGTGACAAGAGCAAGTCTACGTCTCAAAAAAAAAAAAAAAGAAAAGAAAAGCCCGGTATAGTGGCTCACACCCATAGCCCCAATTGCTTGGGGGCTGAGCCCTGGAAGTTGAGGCTGCAGTGAGCCTGATCATGCCATTGCACTCCAGCCTGAGTGACAGAGGGAGACTCTGTCTCAAAAAAAAAAAAAAAAAAAAAAAAAAAAAAAGAGACCCTGTTTCAAAAGAAGAAGAAGGAGAAGAAGAAAAAAGAAGAAGAAGAAGAAGATTATTTTAGCTCTCATCATACTATTGGAATTTCTCTTTATAAAGGTACCAGGTACCTCCTTAGTCAGTTAATAGTAGTTTTTCTCTTAATAAATTACCAGGGCCAACTCCAGTGACCTATGGCCAGTATTCATCCTTCAGGCCCTTTCTGAAACATTTTACAAGGTGATCTATCTCCTGCACCTTAATTTCTCTCTCTTCTGGCCGTGAGAATGTTTGTCTGCTGGACATTTCTCTTTGTCTTCTCCACACATTCTCAGTCTTCTTTGCTGACTGTTCCTCATATTCTCTTGGCTAGGATTGCTTTCACCTATGTTTCATTCTCTTCTTATTATACGTGTTATCTCCAAACAATCTCCTCCATTCTCATGGTTCCCACTCTTTATGGACTAATGACATGGTGTTACTTCTTTACTTTTATGATTTCTTTACTCTGCTCTGTGGTGCTGTGCTGGGACTCTGAAAACAGCATTTGTTATACTGCTTGGCCAGTTAGCTTCTTGTTAGCACCTTTAATGAAAGGTATTAGCAGGAGAGTGGAAAACAAGACCAAGAGTGAAGGCATCTGTTCTATGCCGTTTTTGTCAGCCCCATTCCAATAGCAGCAGATGGTTGGCTCCAGGCTTCAGGCTTTATATTCTTTCCACTTTCTCAGCAGCCCCACAAATACGCCAGAAAAGGACCAGCAGCCTCCTAGCTCTACCTCCTTGGTTGTAAGAGGACCGGCTGAGCTACAATCTGATTTTCTATGCACCTTGTCTATCCAAGCACCTGTTGGACCATGTCTCCTCCTCAGAAGTCTGAACACTGGCTATCAAGTGCCTCTGCCTCATTTGCCTGCACATCAGTCATTGAGCATTGCTCCCTTCAAATTTTAAGCGTGACTGATGTGGTGTAACCCACTAGGAGACATGGGCACCTGGTACTGTGTCTCCTCCTCATAGGTTCAAGCTCTAGCTGCGTACAAGTAAGATAATTTTGGGCGCTAGCCCCTGAGAGTAACTTTACTCCTTTGTTCCTATATGTTAAAAGGCGATATCCCTTTTGTATGGTTATCTCTGTGCCTTTTCAACCTTCCACTACTTATGTATCCAATTTAAGTTTACTGAGCTACTCTAAGTGGATTTCTGATAGGCACTTCAAAGGTAATGTCTTTATTGCAATTTATTGGTTTGCTTCCAAATCTGGCCTTCGTTTAATATTCTAAATCTTAGAAAATATTACTATCGTTTACTTGACATTCAGGGTAAAAGTAGAGGTTTACTCAGGAATGCTTACTTTTCTGAATAAGTCACACAATTTACTCATGACATTAATCTGCATAAATTGCTTATTAATCCCTGTAAATCTTAATGCAATTATCTCCTTCCCTCTTTCTCCTCACTGATGTTGTTCTAGATCAGTGTCTTATTATCTTCAGCCTCTGCTCTTACTCTGTCAAACTTGGTGTTAACAAATTCACCCTCACTGCCAATTATCTAAAATTTACTTATAATTTGTGGATTGAACTTTGCATGAAGTAAAGGAATAGTTCTACTTTTTCATGATGTATGAGCACACACACGAGCATACACACACCCATGTGAATTGAAAAACCATAAAAATTAGTCTAAGATTTATATTCAGATGTCTACGAATCCTTAGAACACTCAAATATTAGAACTAGAAGTAGCCTTAGAGATCACTTAAGTCCCTGCTTCCAGAACTATATTGGTTAATTATAGTCAGTGTAACTAGCCTAGAATACTTATAATTAGAGCTCTATGCCCCACTCTAACACTTTCAAATGGGGATCTCTTCAGAATCTAAATTTGTAAAATGACTTTTCCAATTAAGTCTCCTGCACAGTGACATTTGAGACCTGTTGATCACTGAACACAGAAGCATCTGAGATCCATTGATCTCTGTCACACACCTCCAGTTAGTTGCAGAAATAGATTCAGGCTCAAATCCAGGATTGCTGCCTTCATGTCCAGTGGCATATCACTGTGTTGCACTTTTCCATTTGTAAAGGAGGTATGGAGAGGGCATGACCAAGTGGTTCACCTTGCTCAACCCCAGGAACAGAAGCTCAAACTTTATTGGGTAGACAGACACATGTACAGCAAATGAACATTCCATGTGTTAAGTTCTACATCCTGATCCGAGACCTGTGGGAGTTTAGAACATGTGCATTTAGACTAATTACGACTGGAGTCATTGGGGTCCAGAGAGGTTTCACAGACAAAATGTCCTGTGACCATTTAAACCAACTGGTTTATCAACTTAGCGTAAATCACTTTAACTGAAACTGAAGGAGTATTGCTGCTAAACTTCCTTTGTTGCCAATATATTTGTAGTTTATGTTCCCATTTGACAATTATTTCCATTCAAAACTGCTCACTTTCATTCTTCTGGGGAACTGAACCGAAAATGTTAAGGACTCTCTGTTCTCTTATGAAAGCCATTCTGCTCATATGGTGCACCTCTGTCCCTGATTGTCTATATCGAGGTATAGAAAGGTCCTTTTCATCCAAACAAAGACATTCCACTGGCCCAGGTGAGCTGCTGACCAAAATGAAGCCACCTATCTTCTGTCTCTATGGTCACCTTCACCTGTGAGGACTATTATCATTCTCATTTGCCACTTAATTTTTTTCCCATTTCACTTTTTTTTTTTTTTTTTCGAAACAAGTCTCACTAGGTGGCAAAACAATCTGTGGAAGCCTTGACAAGTTTAACGAAACTGAGACCTTGAGGGAATCCCCTGGGCAAAATCTCCACTATCTATATGTGGAGAAGGGGCTGTATGAGAAACCAGGAAAACTGATGACAGAGAGAACTGTAGTCTTCTAACCCGTGCACAAGCCCTTCCGGCTGTGTGAACAGCAGAGCGGGCCAGGTAAAGGCTGACTTAGATGAACTGCAGTAAGAGGTGCTCCAGGTGTCTGGATCCACCTCTCCTTCATCACTGAAACTCAACAGGATCTGAGTAGTAGAAAATGGGGCACTTTCCTGATTTTTTTTTTTTTTTTTTTTTTTTTGAGACAGGGTCTCATTCTGTTTCCCAGTCTGGAGTGCAGTGGCACCATCATAGCTGGGATTACAGGCACATGCCACCATGTCTGGCTAAATTTTTTTATTTTAGTAGAGATGAGGTGTTACTATACTGCTCAGGCTGATCTCAGACACCTGAGTTCAAGCAAGCCTCTTTAGTGATTTTAAGAAACTTACAAGAGAGAGCTATGACAAAGCTCTGTGGACCCAAGGCAAACAGTGTAACAGGCTGACTTATAAGGATCACCATCAATCTTAGCAACCTAATCCATTGTCCTTCAATACTGCTGCTCTTCTGGGCTTGACTCTGTTCCTATGACTTTATTCCAATCCTTGGCTGTACCTCTTTTTTTTTTTTTTTTTTTTTTTTTTGGTCAACCGCTGGTCTTTTCAAATAGAACTTACAGAGATCAAAACTCTCACTCTGAAACTGAGTGTACTCCTTCACATTCAAGGTAGGAACAAGAACTACAGGTATAAAGTCTTCTGCATGGACAGGCTTTGGAGCAGCTCTGAATCAGACTCCCTACCTTTGTCCAAGGAAATGCATGTGCATTAGGATCAGATCCCCTCTGAGGAGGTAGGGCTGGTTATGCCCAGGAAGTGATGTGGACACATGTTGCCTTATATACACTGCATTGCATTTTAGATGGACCATCTTCTCATCAGGACTTCTTAGTGACCCAATCAAACAGCCTTCCTACAACCATTGTGCTTTGGTAGAGTTGTAGTTTCTTCTGGAAAAGCTAAGGAAATTTTCTAAGGTAGGACAGAAAAATCTTGTTTTAGATAGTAATCATAAATCATAATTTTAAAAATTATGCTTCAATGTATTGTCATTTTTTTCACTTCTCAGCTTTTTTTTTTTTTTTTTTTTTTTTTTTTTTTTTTTCTTGAGACGGAGTCTTGCTCTGTCACCCAGGCTGGAGTGCAGTGGCACAATCTTGGCTCATACAAGCTCCGCCTTCTGGCTCACGCCATTCTCCTGCCTCAGCCTCCTGAGTAGCTGGGACTACAGGCACCCGCCACTACGCCCGGCTAATTTTTTTGTACTTTTAGTACAGACGGGGTTTCACCGCGTTAGCCAGGATGATCTCGATCTCCTGACCTCGTGATCCACCCGCCTCGGCCTCCCAAAGTGCTGGGATTACAGGACTGAGCCAACGCGCCCAGCCCACTCCTCGTCTTTTATCAGATCCATTTTCTAGGCATGGAATCAGAGACTCAGAGACACAGTGAGCAGACCTTAATTTACCCAGACATTCATTTAGTGGGTTAGTTTCTCGTAAGGGGCTTCCAAATGTAGACAATGTGTGTCCCGTGCAGACTCAAGAGGAATCAATTCAGTCTATTTGAAGACTCCCCAAACTCATATTTTGTAGAAACCAAAAAACAAAATATTTGGTAGAGAAGGTCGAAGTGTCTGAACGGTACATACAGGCAGAGCTACATTACTTGGCTCCTATGTGAAGAGAGAGGGAGCTGCAGAAAAACTAAATGGGAAGGCTCAGATGTATGAATTTCTTCAACTGAAATTGCATACAATCCTGGCTCCTTAATCTGTGTCCACTTCCCAGCAGTTATGGGAGGTATGAGCTCAGCTCAGGGGAAACAAACTTAACAAACTTAGCTCTGGAAATCTGGAGAAGCAGTGAGCAGGGCTGATCCCCCAAGTACCCTGATGAATCCCAGTGTTCTTTCTGTTCAATTACCTAAGGGAAGCTATTCAAGTTTTAAGTCCGTTTTGAATCAAAATATTGATTTTTTTAAAAAAAAAAACTTAAAATTTAAAGAAACTGGTATTAGTTATGGGAAAACCAGAAGGGTACCCTCATTTGGAAATAATCTTTGAGAAATCTTTGCAGTGTGAACAGTTGGGATTTGGTCTTTCCAAAATCCAGCTAGCATGCACTTAAGAAAAAGGAAAATCAGGAAATGTAGAAAATGAAATGCTAACTTACATATTTCACTTTAACATTTATTAAGGATATTAATGGGCCTATTGAAAATTGAAAATGCAGTTTTGCTATTTTAAAAAATGTTCTTGTGTGAGAGTAGACATCCCTTGGTAAATGTCCATGGAAATATTGAACATTTAATTTTTCATTAGTTCTAAACAAAATCATGTATTTCCTAAAAGGTACGCATTTTACATGCCTCAATACCCATAGTTGACACAAAATACTCTGAAACAGAAAACAAAACATTAAACTATCCCATATTTTAAATTAAAAATATTTTTTCAAACAGTGCTGAGAACACTGAAATATGTGAAATTACAATATATTCTAAAACGATTACCTAAGAAAATTAGGGGATGTCATCCACGTTTGTCTCAAAGGAATTCAGATTTATGATTCATCTTAAGAAATGTGAAAAGAACACATTAAATATAAAGATGGATAAAGGAATTTATTAATATACACAGTAACTTTTGTTCTTTTAAAGCAAAGATTCGGGCCTCCTGGGCCCAGCTCAGGTCCTGGCTCAAAAAGTCCCTGGAACAGAGCCCTTGCTTTTGTCCCTGCCTCCCGGGTGATTGAGGAGTAGAAAAGGAACCTACATTCCTCATCCTTGGTGTGAATTTCCACGCTCCCCACCGGCCAACTGTGGCAATTCACATTGTAGTTCTGACAATAAATGGCCCGTTCTGACTGGGCTGGTGGGGGTCCTGGTCCAGCCACCTCCAGCCAGGGGTCCCTGGGTCGTGAAGGCGCCACGACCTGCTCCACTCAAGATGTGCAGCTCCACCCACTCACGCTAGAGAGGAAGAAGAACTTCTGCCATAAACTTTTGTTGTTATTGTTTTGTTTGGTTTGGTTTGAGACGGGGTCTCGTTCTGTTGCTCCGCCTGGAGTGCAGTGGCCCCATCACGGCTCACTGCAGCCTCGACCTCCTGGGCTCGAGTGATTCTCATGCTTCAGCCTCTGGAGGAGCTGGGGCCACAGGCACCCACCACCACACCTGGCTAAGTTTTTGTATTTTTGTAGAAACAAGGTCTCGCTCTGTTGCCCAGGCTCGTCTCAAACTCCGCCCACCTCAGCCTCCCAAAGTGCTGGGATTCCAGGTGCGAGCCACCGCACCCAGCCTCCTAAACTGTTTTTAATTTGTGCAGAATGAACCGGGTCATCAACCACTGTAAGTGGTCTGACTACCCTGACCATAAAGTGTCGGAAACACTCAACTTGCAACTGGTGGAAGCAGCCTAGCCCCACTGCACGTAAAACACTCGCGTTGTGGCAAACGCGGAGACCAAGGCTGCACTGGCCGGAAGTGGGGACAGATCCCGATACGCCCTGGGGACAGAGCAGGGATGCTGAGGCCTGGTCCACACTGGCTCTGCCCTCTTTCTGGCCCACTACCCCATCCTGAGACCGCAGGTTCCGGCGGACCCGGATGCAGGTTTTCCGGATGAAAGGCCCCTTTCCTGGAGTGGACTTTGATATTTTCTGTTCACAACTCCGTGTCACCATCCTCCACACCTAGGATCTGGCGTCTGGTGTCACTGCCGACGTCACAATCCCCGCACCTACGTGTCTCAGCCGCAGTAGCCCTACGTCGCTGTCAGACACTGGGAGGTTGGTGCCCCGCCATGCTTTTGTGTCTTTTGTCTTTTCACCCTCTCCCCTCCCCACCCAGTGCCCCGTCTAAGTCCCCACTCGGAAGTGGATTCTCACCCCTCGCGGCCCTTTGTGGGCAAAGCCAGGAGGAGGAAGGCCACAACCTCCCGCTGGCTTTGGGATTTCTTAGACATCAGTAGTCTTCTAAGGCCCTCCACCCTGCCCGCACCCCTCCTTCATCCTCGCGTCTCTTGGGACACTGCCCTGCTGCCCTCAGGCCTTTCCTTAGTCACAGACTCGGGGAGGCCCCTGAACCCCCTCGGCTTGGACATCACCGGCCACAGTCCTGTGACGCCCTGTGATCTTCTGTCCCAGATCTCATTCCACTGGCTGTGCCTGTCAGGGTGTGCTTAGATTTTGGAGTCCCAGTGTAAGGCGTGCTCTTATTGGGAAGGGGGCTTCTTCATTCTCTTCTTGTGAATGTAGATGTGAAGCCAGGGCATAAGGAGAAAAAGAGAGGCCAAAAGAGAACCAGAGAGCCAGGGAGCTAGGGAGAGTGAGGTTGAAAAAGAAGGTAACGTTGAGTATTGGGAAGCTGTCTCTGATGGATTTTGAAAAGCAGTGATAGTGAAAGAGTTCTAGAAGCTTTGTAGAAGGTGTTGAAAAAAATAGTGAAAGTTACGTGGGCAAGAAATAGTGGGATAGATGACACAGACAAAGAGAATCAGGAGAGAGGTGGAGGACAGAATAGAAAGGGGATTCTGACCAACCACAGCAGAGGAGTAAAGGAAAGAGATCCCCAATTCATTAGGGTTTTTTTAAAAAGTCTTAATTATATTCTCTTTTGTTTCAGATTCAGATGATGAGGCCTCTTTAGATTTTTAGTCTTTATTATATTTTGGAAATATCTTTTAGTACTTAGTAAAGGATTTTACGCTATTTCAATGTGCTCTTGGAAAGGGTATTGGTTTTTTTATATTAACAGTCAAAACCTAGTTTAATCAGTAAGTCTATTCTTCTACTGTCTCCATTATTTCCTTACATGGCCTTTTAACTGGGTCTGTAAAATACAATTTTCAGGGAAGTGTATGTTCCCTTGACCTCTCTCTGCAAATTTTCAAGGATGGACTGAAGTGATCAGGAATTTTGTTCTAGCAGAGCCATTCTGTTCATGATTACTAAATTGCTCAGAGCTAGTTCAAGCCAATAAGTAGGTATCCTTAATTTCATATTTTTGATAATTCAATGAGTTGTTCTGGAAAAAAAGGAATTAAATGCTTGAAATCAGATTATTGTGATTAAAACCATGAGAAAGAAGTTGCTCTTGCTCCAGAGCATGAAATATGGTATAGAATCTTTAGGGCAAAGAGAAGGAAAAACCCTATCACAATTCGTCACAGCACATCATTCTTGTGAAGCTAGTGGTGGTTACTCTCTACTGGCATCTCCTACTGACCTTGCCTGCCCCAAGAGCCAAGTACAGAATGACAAGGCAGCTTGATGAGGGGAGAGTCAAGACTTTTTAAACTAACTACAGAACAAAATTATCTCTCCAAGTAGGAGGGGACACTTGGTGCTATAAATGAATATAAATGACATGAGAATGACATGAGAATGAAAACTGTCAATATAATAAATAGTTTGCAAAAGCTCTAACTTAAAACACACAGGACTTTCAGAGTAGAGAATTCCTAGCTCTGTAAAGAATTTGGGACTCCATTTGAGAGAAGCCTTGGTCTCTACTCACTGTGAACCAACATTCAGCCAGGTACCACCGTTGGTATGTTACCAAAAAAACTCAGTAAAAAATGCTTTCTTAAGAAGGAAATAGGAAAGGAAAGTCTTTACAAGGGCAACTGATCATCTTGTGGATTACCAAATACTGCAGATTTCAGGTCAGAAAACGGAGTCATGGAGAATAAAAAGAAAAAACTAACACACAATTGAGCAAATAATTCATAATTTAGAGAATGTATCTACTCATTAAAAATGTGAAGTGTAAATGTATAACAGTTATGTGACCTGGGAATTTTGAATACAAAATTATGTAAGCAACTTTATTATTTTTTAATAGAAAAATACTTGCAAATATTGAAACAATAAAACCTGTTGCTGAAAAATCTAATATGTTGTTAAAGTTCTAGTTTTATTTATGCAGGTCTGACACATAGATTTGCATAAGCTATCCTTAGCATGTGAGTAGAGATTTCATCCTTCTCTTCCCGTTTCCCCATCATCAACAGCTTTTTTTTCTTCCCACAGCCAAACTCCCTTCATTCCAACTTCCACCAAAACCACTTCTCTGGATCCATCCCTGGAGTTGACACAACAGGGATCTTCAGCCCCAGGTGCCAGGTTTCTCAGTGATCCATTACACAGATTTAACAGGGAAATGGGGGCAGTATCAAAAACACCCAGTATAAACCATTGAATTACCCCAGCCCTTGTCTCTGCCCATGAACAACTGCCTGGGGCCAGAGAATTAGGCATCCCTGCTCTTCTTTCCCTCAGAAAGCCCTTGAGACGTTCTCCTTGAAGCTCCCCTAGGTGGGAGTAGAAGTTCATCTCCTGACACTCCACGTTTTATTCATGAGTCCTGAGTTATGACACAGAGGACACAGTTGTGCTCCCCTTACTATGGACTAGCAGATAAAGCACCTTAACCACTCAGCCACCATGCAAACCCTTCTTATATTTGATTCAATATACTTTTCCGCAAGCAAAATAAAAGTTCTGACCAAGGAGGCGTCGTCTGATTTGACTCTAGAACTTGGAAATGCATTGGCTTTTAGCAAATCTCAGTACTGAATGTAAACTTCAAGGAGAAATGGTTCCAGGAAATAAATTGGGATGACATTGAACTTTTAGCAAACTGCAAAATCCTGAAACCATGGACTTACTGAGGCCAATTAAATGGGCTAATTCATGGGTGGAAGTGGTACATCCTAAAAATTCTCCACAAGTGATTCTACACTGAAGCCAGGGTTTTTGTCAAGTACTGTGTGAGGATGAGGATGGCCATCTGCTTGGCAAGCCATCTGGTCCAGGCAGGGCTCACATTATTGTTCACAGTTTAACCTATTTAATTAAATAGTAATTTTCCCCCAAATCTTACATGACATAAGCTGTAGTCCTGAGCCACATTAAGATGTACTATTTATGCAGTAAAATTGTATGGGATTTGACAAATGCATAGCAGCAGTTTTCCAGCATTAAAGTATCACAGAACCCTTCTCTTATTCAAGCTCCTCTTCCGTCCACATACAGGGAATCAATCGCCTTTTGTATATGGTCCTTGGACGTTGCTTCTTTATTTCAGTTATCTTCCATCAAAGCAAATGATACCGTGCTCTATTTTCATTTGATCCTCCAAAAGAAAGGTACTGAATAATCTAAACCAGAATTTCAGCCATTGAGAGACTTAGGTCCATCGCTAAGCGGTAGAAGCCAAGCCTCTTGCGCTGCAACCCCATGGCCGGCAGAGGGCGAGGGAACACGCCGTCCCGCCCTCCGGGGCGCATGCGCTTTCTGCCTGCGGAGGCGGGGCTGGGTCTCCAGGAAGTACGTGAGTTTCCTTTCCTCTGGTCAGGGAGGAGGCGCCGCCCTGGCTTTGGGGCAACTAAGGCGATGTCCATCAGGAGGAAAACTTCCTGTCCGCAGCCCTAACTGCTGAGAAGGGAGATTCGCTGCAGAGTATCCCGGATATTTTTCTGAAACAGCCATAAAGACTTCATTTTCAGGGCTGTTGCCACGTGTTTTATTCTGTATTTTCTGTTGGGATACTTTAGCATTATTTTACAAATGTATAAATTTGGGGTTAGGGAGGGCTTTCTGATAGATAATAGAAGCAGGCTGTAACATGTCCTCCCTGTGACCTCATTGAGGATTGATTGTGAGGAGAAACAAGAAGAATTGTGAGGAAAATCTACAGAATACGGGGACCCTGCAGAGGAAGGGGTCGGGTCAGGGCAGGGCCACACAATTTCAGTGCAGCCCGTGGGAAAGGGGCCCTTGCAGGGAAACCCGCGCTCTGCCTCCGTGCATTTCCACATTGTGAGGGGCTCATCTTTCCTACAGTGCTAAAGTCACTGAAAAATAGACAATGAAAGAGAGGGACATTAATTCAACATTCAGTTGTTGACGATAAAGCATTCAGAACCACATCTTTCTCTTCATCACAGCACTGCAGATGTAAAAAATGGTTTTAATTTCAAAGGCAAGGGGAAGAGGTACACTTGTGAACAAGTTTGGACCCCAAATGAAAATATATTGCTTAAATATTTCTTCAAAAATAAGTCATTATTCTGTGTTGCAGGATATATCCTGAGATTTTTAAGCTATAACTTTATTAATTTATTGGTTAAAACACATTTTGTTTATAGCCAAAGCGATTATAAAGGTAGAATATTTGGCAAGTCCCTCATATTTTTCTTCTTCTACTAGGTTTTCAGCTAGAATTGACACACACAAACTCACAATGAGGGGCCTCTTTCTTGACCATAAAATATGCATACTCCAGAACCCTCAGTGTAAGCTGTTTCTTGAATATCTTAACCTGATCCCCACAACCAGAGAGAATGTAGAGAAGTAACCCGTTTTTTTTTTTTTAAACACAGTCTCGCACTGTCACCAGGCTGGAGTGCAATGTCGTGATCTTCGCTCACTGCAACCTCCGCCTCCCGGGTTCAAGCTATTCTCCTGTCTCAGCCTCCCGAGTAGCTGGGATTACAGGTGCCCGCCACCACACCCAGCTAATTTTTTGTATTTTTAGTTGAGATGGGGTTTCACTATGTTGGCCAGGCTGGTCTCAAACTTCTGACCTCCTGATCCGCCTGCCTCGGCCTCCCAAAGTGCTGGGATTATAGGCATGAGCCACCGTGCCCGGCCAAGTAACCCAACTTTAAAACTACATCTGGTTGGGCACCATGACTCATGCCGGTAATCCCAACATTTTGTGAGGCGGACATGGGCAGATCACTTGAGGTCAGGAGTTTGAGACCAGCCTGGCCAACATGGTGGAACCCCGTCTCTAACCAAAATACAAAAAGTAGCCGGGCATGGTGGTGCACACCTCTAATCCCAGCTACTCGAGAGGCTGAGACAGGAGAATCGCTTGAACCTGGGAGGCAGAGGTTGTAGTGAGCCAGACTGCACCACCTCACTCCAGCCTGGGCAACAGAACACAACTCCGTCTGAAAAACAAACAAACAAACTACATCTGATCTTCAGCAAAGTATCTGCTGTTCTGCTCAGAAAAGACCGAAATCCACAAAGCAGACAGACCTCTGAATAAAGACACTAAGGTCCGCCGTGGGCGCTTTTAAGAAGTTAGCAGGGCCTGTACTTCACCTAATAAGACTGAGGAGGATATCAGCTAAATGGAAAGAATCTACAAACAAATTTATACAATTTCTAGGGAGAGAATGACATCCTGAGCTCAAGGGCCTGTTAGTGACGGCACATTCAGTAATGGTGCAGCCTCACAGAATTTCCATTTAGTTCAATTTTGGTATTTACTGGTCATCTTTTCTCCCCAATACCATCCAACCTTTTTTATGTTGTCAAATAATTTTTAATCATAAAATGATTAACTCTGAGTTTGGGCATTTGGTGTCTGGCCTCCTGATGGAAGTTTAGGTGACTTTGTCCATGGAAATCATGGATTTTTAATTAATAAGTAATGTTGAAAGGGAAACTTGCATTATAATTCTGAAACCATTCCAGTGGGGGATACAGGCAAGAAATAAGCCAACAGACAGATTAGCACATAGTGATATATTAGAAATTAAGTAAAGGTCCTTTTGGTATTTTTCCCAGCTCATCTTATGATATGAGCCTATTATGTTTGGATAACTTTCCCCAGGAGATTCATTTTAAAAGTTCTTTCACTTAAAATACATATTATTTTATTATTTAAAAATACTGTCACCAGAAGCGGTGGCTCACGTCTGTAATCCCAGCACTTTGGGAGGCCGAGGTAGATGGATCACTTGAGGTCAGGAGTTTGAGACCAGCCTGGCCAGCACGGTGAAACCCCGTCTCTACTAAAAATACAAAAATTAGACAAGCGTGGTGGCACATGCCTGTAATCACAGCTACTCGGTACTCTGAGGCAGGAAAATCACTTGAACCCAGCGGGTGGAGCTTGCAGTGAGCCGAGATCGTACTACTGCATTCCTGCCTGGGAGACAGAGTGAGACTCCATCTCAAAAAAAAAAAAATACTGTCAGCCCTCCACATCCATGGGTTCCAGCTCCATGGATTCAACTAAACTTGAATAGAAAATATTCAGAAAATATTTACACAATTTCCACCCCCCGACAAAAAAAAATTTGAATTTTCCCTTCACCAAATTCTTTGTTGAGAACACGTAAGTAATGTAAGGTCTGGGCATTGTATTAGGTATTATAAGTAATCTAGAGATAATTTAAGCTATATGAATTAATATGAGTAAGTTACATCTAAATTCTCTACCACTTTATACAAGGAAGTGGAGCATCCACAAATATTGTTACCTTCAAAGTTTCCTAGAACCAATCCTTTATGTTTACCCAGAAATGATTATGCACATGAAACTTACAGAAAATAATTGTCTTTCCTAATTAATGAATAGTATACAATAGAATGTAAATAGCACTATTTTAAAATGCTGATATTTTATATCACATTTCTATGGTGAATCAGAGTAGAGGTTACATTAGATTGATTTTGATTAGATTAGGCTAATTCTAACAGGGGCACACCCATATCACTTGAGTTTTGATAAAAGCACTCCCATGCAGGTCCTACTACTTAATCAGCAGCACTAGCCAATCGTGTTCATCCATTTTGATAAATCCCACAGCTCTCTCTATTATAAAACTTTTGGGATTTGCCCAAGATTTCATTCTACCATAGCGTCATTCAACCTGTCCCAGGCCAGGGCACACTATTCCATGTTCTGGATGTGCCGAGCTGATCATCTTCTTCAGGAAAAGTAAAAGATCAAGTCATAGACTGTATAGATTTATAAGAAAATAAGATGAAGATTGAAATTTTCTGATACAAGTGAGTCTAGAGAACCTTTACCATGTATGGTTACTGGCGCCAAAGAAGCCTTAGTGATTCCTGGACAGAATCGCAGAATGACAATGAAGGAGAGAGCAGGTATGTTAGTGTGTGTTCACCTTGGGTTGCCAGGAGGTTGCCATGTGACTATGTGTGACTGTGTGCATTTGTGTGTGTGTGTGGTGTGAATGTGTGATAAAGGGTCAAACTAGGGCAGAGAAAGCACCCTGGCCTGCCATGACATTGAACGTTATAAATTTAGAACACCTGCCGGAGACATGAGACCCACAGTGGAGGCCATAGGATCCTGCCAGCATGGGGGGTTTCTGGACCTGTCAGGGGGCTCATCTCAGGTTTCCTCCCACTGTCGATCTATGTTCCCTCTCTAAATGAAAGTCACCTCTTGTGCGGAGACAGGTAAACTGTGGGCATGATCTAAATTTCTTCCCTGTGCTCATTAGAAAATGAAACATTTCCCATCATCTCTCACTCCATTCACACTGTAACTGCACAGACACGGTGCTCAGATACCTGAAATAACAACGTCTTCCCTGAAAATCCTCAGACCAAATTAGATGTCCCTTCTCAGATGGATGAGCTCCTGAGAAAGCAAACTGTTTCCTGTGGTCACCATCCCTTATCACACACATTCACCGATAGGAAAAGCCATTAGAAAAGTTGAGGGTGGGAGATGAGCATTAGGACTTACTGGATGCAGGTAGGATTTGGAGCCCAACACAAGTGCACTTGACTGAGGGACACAGAAAGAATGTGTGCTGGATGATAAATGGAGTTTTGGGCTTGTGAGAATTAGACTCTGTGTGGAAGACTAACGGATCCCTTTCTGTCCTGCAGCTTGGCTACCACGCAAATGAATCCACCCAAACGTCACCAAGTGGAGCAGGGTACCAGTATAGGTAAGGCAATTTCCCTGATATTTCTTAAGATCTCCCTGCCTGGAGGTCAGTGTCATGTCTCACAATCTTATAAAAGGAGAGGGTGCTTTCTGCAGGATGAGTGGAAAGTCATGCTTGATTGATGGGGGCTGGTGTCCTGAGGCTGGCCTGTGCTGGGTTGTGGATTTCTGAAGGTCATATTCTGAAATCCAAGAGACTCTTGCTGGAAGAGCCTTAACCTCCCTCACTGTGATCTCTCTGCAGGTGCAAAAACACCCTCAATTCCAGGAGCTCCACACTGAATTCAGGCCAGTCCCTGGAACCTCCCCAGGTAAGTTATTATGTCATTGCATGGCAAAGATTGCAAAACACCCTCAATTCCAGGAGCTCCACACCAGAATTCATGCCCGTCCCAGAAACCTCCCCAGGTAAGTTCGTATGTCCTTGTATGGCAAAGATTGGACAGTGCTGCACACTCTTCAAGCTCAAGAGACATCCAGTGGATGTACATTTAGGTGGGTCAGCATGAGAGTCAATTCTGGGAGGGAGTGTATTTTAAACTTGTAGCGGGTGAAGCTCCTGGCAACTCCCTCCGCATCAGCATCATTTGCAGCCTTTTTGGAGAATACTGACGGCCATCTTTTCACGGGAGCAGCAGGATTCCAGCAATGAGGAGCTCATCATAGTCCTAGAACAAGGGACAGAAGTGAGGTTGAGCCTGGAAGAGGTCATCCTCATCTTGGCCCCAGAGACAGCGCTGCAGCTGACCGTGGAGAACACAGTCCTTGTGATTGTTCCTGGCATATCCTGAGGTCACAAGATGGCCTGCAGTCCCCTGTGCAGATCCAGTACATCATGCCTTCCATTGATGACTTCAGCTTGGAGTGCCATGCTCAAGATGGAGACATCTCAGACATGAAAGGAGAGAATGTGCCTCTTTCACCTGCAGAAGAAGGGGAGGCAGCACCCCTATATCACCAGCCCTTGATGATATCCCCAGCAAACCACAAAGCTGGGATCAGCCCTTTTCTTCTAGTAACCCCATTGTGCATTCCATGCTGTCTGGCAGCCTTCCCCCAACGCTACCCTCTACCACCCACATCTAGTCCCATGGGACGCCCTAGACCAGCCAACTCCAGTTTCAGCCTGCATGGTATGGAGCTACTGTGCACCTCCTCCCTCAGCCGTATGCCCCCTTCACCAACTCCTGGTCCCCAGATCTATCACAGGGTTCACCATAGGCCTCCCAGCAGGGCACAGAGATGTCTCTTTAGGAAGTGATTTAACCAAGAGTCACCCCCTGCATTGATAGGTCAGAGATTGTCCAAGTCCTTAGTCAGTGCATTCCCTGAAATGTGGAGAGAAAGTAATTCCAAGGACCGCTTGCTTCCCCTTTGCTGTTTCCCATCAACACCCACTGTCTTCAACAGCAGAGGGCTCCAGATGCTGCAGGGAGGGGGAGAACCGCAGGGAGTTCAAATAAAACATTCACATTTCACTTCACACACAATGTCCCTTAGACTTTCTCTTCCTATTTAACCACATACATCCAACCACACTCAATCGAATCCCTGACTGCTCCATGTGAGAGTTCTGCTTCCAGCATGATGTGGCCTGAAAATTCATCTGAAGACAGCTGCTCACTCCCAGGGCTAACACCGCCCCTTGCATGCTGATGTCCTTGTAGTCATTGGTCTGATGCCACAATAAATAATTCCTAAGGCTGGTGCTCTATTTCTGCCCTGAGACTCTCCCCTTTTTCTCCAAGCTGTGCCCCATTCCTTGTTTTAGTCCAGGTTCCCTACACTCCCCAGGCCAATGCTTTTGAATAAATCTTGACGTCATTGAATGAAGTAGTGGTGACTGCTGTGCTTGCTTCCAACTGAGACAGTCTCCTGCTCTCACTCATCACGTTTCCATTCACACTTGCCTTTGTTTAGTTTTGTTTTCCATTGTTTGGGTTTATTATTCACGTGCTTATGAAATAACTGCCACATTTCTGACAGTTTTTTTGGCCAATTTGGGGCTTTTCCTGTGCTCCTCCTTCCAAGTCCTGAGTGGGGTCACTGTTTGCACCTCTGGGCCCTGGGATGGGTCTGGCTTAGCAAGTGATTGAACAGAGCTTGGCTCTGTGTGTTCGGATGGGCACCTGCGCTTGTTCACAGCTGCTCCCAGGCTCTCCCTGTCCTGCCTGGGTGTCCCTGTGTCTCTGGAGTGTCTAGGAAATCTAGCAGTCCCCTTGAGGGCCCAGCACCTCTTTGTTGGCCTGCATGTCCCAGCCTGTGCATCCATGGCCAGCTAGAGCTACCACCACCTTTTCCTAGTCAACCTGGGTCCTGGAGGCAGGGGAGATGCGGGGATAATGTCCTGGCCTCCCTGAGCCCAACCCCAGTAGGTGGGGAGTGCTCATGTCCCCGGGGGGAGTACGGGGCGTTTGCCCTTGACTTGCCTGACCCTCTAAAACCTCACATGTTCCCTGGAGGTGGGTGCAGCTTTCTCCTACTCTGGCCTTGCTGGCCTGGGAAGAGTGTCCTTGGTCCCCCGAGCCCTCACAGCGTTTTCTCTTCTACTGAGGTTTCAGGAACTGCCTTTCCCCTCTGGGAAGGAGGACAGGCACCTTTTCAGGTTTGATTCTCCTCAGAGTTTTGTATCTCGGCTGGGGCGGAAGCAGCCTTCGTCCACATGAGAGGCCCAGCCAGGGCGTCCTCACCAGCCCGGGCCTCCGGGGAGGTTTTGAGTCTGGGCGCTGGAGAGGCCCCTTCCTCTGCGAGAGCGAAGATGGCCGCCCCAGTGCAGGGGGCGCCTTTCTGCGCCCTTAGGGCGTCAGGATCCCCCTACGGACGGGAAGTCCCATTGGGCGTCTTTGGCCCCGCCCTCCCAGAGCCCTGCTGATGCGGAGGTGGCGCGGGGGCCCTGGACTCTGTCATGAGAGGTGGCAGCAGAGGCCAGGCAGGGCCCGGGCTCCGGGTCAAGGGAGTGTCTGGCCTGGGTGGGACTGGGTCCCATCCAGAAACTGGGATTCTAGGGTTCTGGTGCGGGTGGATCCGGGGCAGGCTCAGGACCAAGTCCCTCTTCTTCCACCTCAAGGACTCACCCCGGGGCTGGCGGGAGCTCCAGGCTCAGCAGCTGCTCCTCCTCCTCCTCCTCCTCCACTCCTCCCCTCCCCTTCCCTTCCCCCTCCTCTCGCCTTTCCCCTCCCCCTTCTCCTCCTCCTTCTCCAGGTGTTTTCTCTTCTTTTATTTCTGTGAGTTGAGAAATGGCGCCGTCCTTCACATCGGTGTATTTCTACCCTAATCCCCAGTACCTTGTTGAGTAAAGCAGTCAAACTCTGCAATATATTGAAGAGCCCTCAGGAGGTCCTCAGAACATGTGCCCAAGGTAGTAAGGGTGCAGCTTCGTTTACTTCGGGCCAATTGGTCTCCATAGGTATAACATCCTGACGAGGGTATAAATCAAGTGCAACAAATGCCTGGTGTTCTATATCTAAATTGTTACAGGATTTGTTAACAGTAGACACACCTATTTTTCACACCACTTGTATTGCACTATATACTGGTATGTGTTTGGGAGAGAAAACAATGTTCTTTAAAGGAGAAGTCATATGATTCTATACTTTCATTTTGTTGTCCTTTCCCACAGAAATGGCCCTTTCCCATATAACAAATGTTATGTGCTATGGGAGTGGATATTAGGGGCTAAGTTGGGGAAAATTAGGGTTCTAAGTGGACTGAGGGCATAACCATTCCCCTTTTCTGTTTTCACAATCTGAAAAGGAGATGGGACGCCATGTGTTATCATGAGCTGAAATAGTCCACCTATTTCCCCAGGGGAGTATTTCTGTATTGTTTACAATGCCTGCCAGTTGAACCACAGAATACCTTTGAGCCTCATTTAACTTTGGTGCCTATGCTCTGAGAATACCATGTTTAAGGTCACATTTACCATCCGAAATTTTCCATATGTTTGGGGGGCCGTGTATTTTCCACAGGTGTTTGGATTGTGCCTCGGCACAGATGAGTATAGGCCATTGCTTCATAGCCACCTTAGATTGTGTTTGTAATGAAATAGACATGAGCCCCTGTTGGGTTACAGAACATGCTCATTGCCACCTTCGGGTTTGAGAGTATGTTTTTATGTTTTGTTTGGTTTCTCCTATCCATTTGATGAGTGTTGCATTATTTTTTAAAGGAGCTTCCCATCCTTTTCCATCTTCCTGGAATAACATTCCTTCTATGTGGGCTATTTTTGACAGAAAACTTTTCTCTAAGAGATGCCTCTCCTCGTTAGCTATGAACTCAGCTTACACCAATATACCTAGGCCAGCTCCAACTTTTCCAGTGAGGTCAAGTTTTAATTTCTGGGTGGCGAATTTTGCTGGATTCATCAGGATTGCTGTTGCCATTGTATACTAATGGCATTAGCACAATTTGAAACTATATGTGCAATTTATACTTGGGAGTATTATACCAAGAGGCTTTGTCATAAGGCATCTTTATCCTATCAGTAAATATTTTCTTTTAAATCTATGAGAAGCAGAAAATTGTTTATGGTTGGGGTGGATGCAAAAGTGACACACTATAGTCTAGAAGGAAATGTCCCTTGTTTTGCCGGCTGTACCATCTTTGTACCCCTCCTTGATTTGGAGAGTTTGACATGGACCTAAGTTCATGCCCAAAACTAGCTCTTACAATCTCATGTGCCTGCCTCTTCCAAGACAGTCCCTGAGCCTAGAGAGAGGGTGCTTGTATAGTTTTAGCATCAGAAGATTCGCGGTGAAATACAGATCTGAACCCAGTGGGATGTCAGCTGAGGGGGATTCATATCTCTAGTCTTCAGAATACCGTAATTTTGGTTTCCTTGGAAGTAAAACAAGGAGAGGTAAATAACATTTATAGTTTCACAATCAAAAGATTATTTGTGTGTCAGAATGGAAAAAGGAACCTACTTCATTAGGGAACCAGCTAAAAATATGGAGATAAATTATGATCTGGTACTCTCTAGAGGATTATTATAGCAAAGAAATAATGATTTAATCTGCACTTAAAAAGAGTTAGGACTGAAATCTAGTACTAATCCTTAAGCTTTTCCTTTTAAACAATTGTTCTATCTGCATTTTTTTTAGAGATTATAGTAAGACCAGTTTGTGTGCCAAGTAAGTTTTAGTCTTATCATGGTTGGCCGGATTATTTGCTTAAAATGCAGCAAGAATTGATTGGCCACATAGATTCATTTTAAGTTGGCTTTGCTGGCACCTTACCTAAAAATATACCACTTTAGTTCAAGTCTCTAATTGTTTTAAAGACTCTTATTGAAACTTATGCAAACAACCATATTGTCATAAAATTAGGATCTGAATTTTGGAGAACTCAGAAAGATAATTTGCTTACAAAAACAAACTTCATCAAAATGAATTAAAGAAAAAGATTGTCTGGACCCTCCTTTAACAAGAGCAGTGGCTTTCACACAAGATGTTTGTTTATCATCTTGGAAATGTCATGCACAAGCCAAACCGCTCCTGAGAGCTGTCTATCAGGCACTATGCAATCTAGCAGCTCCTCACAGAGTTAGAATTAGTCCTAGGAATGAGGCTGCCTGCTTATTAGTATCTCCTCCTTATATCCCCATGTAGCAAGATTCTATGTAAACCATTTTTATTTTATCACGAAACTCTTTTGGGGCAACATTATTTCCACTATCATAGAAGTTGGTTCAGTTAGCATTCCATAGTAAGGTACTAAATGTCCCTGAGCTAGAAATTCCCTTGTTCTATCTTTGTCATCAGGAAGAACTCACAGTTTTTTTTTTTTTTTGCCATCAGCCCCAATAAATGTTACACAAAGGGCTATGAAGTGCAGGATTTGTCCCGACTAGCACTCCAGCTTCTACCCTATACTTTGTGGGCTTAGGCAGTCTTACTAGTTCCCATTTGGCATGTCCAATTAACATTTCTCAAAAGAGCAGATTTATATGCCTTCAGTTTTATACTACTAGAAAGGGGAAACCTCTCCCAGGTAGTAAAGGAGGTTACAACTACCTTACATAAAACCTGTTTAAACATTTTAAATTTCATAACTCTATTAACCTGTATGTTTATATGTTCTGGTCCCAGAATTTTTTTTTAATACCCCCAAATCATTTTACCTTTTCTATTGAAAAAGGGTTTGGTTTCTCAGCAGGGAGTTGCATCTGTAAGACCTCTAAGGGGCAGCAAATTTGATACGACTCCTCAAACACTCTCATGATTTTGTGGGAGGAGCATCCATGTAAAAGGGGCCCTCTTAGCACCCAAATTTAACATAACCTGGGTAACAGACAGTTTGGTGGGAGCATATCCCAGTCATTATTAAGCCAGTCCAACATGGTTCACATAAGAAGCATATTAACTGCTCCATCTGGGGTGTTTCACTTGGTATTTTATTGGGAGAGTTAGGTAGTCCCCTACTCAGAGAAAACAGACTTTATGGTGGCATTTTCTGGGTATATTATGATGATTATTCTCTTAGGAATAACCTCCTGGGTATTTGGATCACATGTTAGTGGTTGTTCAATAGTGAACTGTGGGTCCTGCATTAACCCAAACAAGCTCTTAAATCGTGTAACATTTAAAATTAAGAATCTTGTCCTTAAAGTGTTTTTTCTCAATCCATCATAGTAAGGATTTTTTAAAGAAGCTGATGATACTAAACTACAAAATGGAACAATTCTTTACAGTATACCCTCTGGTTCTAAATAGTTAGTTTTGCTCTTCCCCCACATTGATTGACTATCATTTTGGTAGCCACGGGTCTCAGAGTTAACTTTTGTTGCCCTAGCTTAATTACTCTTTTTATTTAGTTATATCCGTATAATTTTTCCTTTCATTTTAAAGCAACTCTTAAATAGTTTTCTAGCTAGAGGAAAAATATATTTTCTTTTTTAAGCAAAGTCAACATTTTTATGCTTTATAAAATTCACCAAAAACAAATTTTATGCTCTTGCTATTTTAACTTTCAGCAATCCAAATTTCCAGTGAAAAATAACCTAACCTGAGATTTTAACATGACTTGAAGCTTTTAAATTACTGGAGAGTTTTGAGATGGAATTTACCACATTAATTTTACCAAAGATTCTTAAGGTTATGAAAATTAAAAGGGCATTTGAGATAGCTTGTACCAGTCTAACAAGCAGCTATATTTCTTTAAGAAAAGTTACTTGTCTAGAGCTCTTTCATGTAGTTTGGGAGTTAAATACCACTTCCACATGACACATATAAAGATAGAGATATAACACTCATGCGGAATAAAAAGGCAGGTCCAAAGGATATTTCATTTGACTGTTTTTTTAAAAAAATTCCCTTTCTTACTTTAGATAATTAATAAAAGTTACAGGAGCCAACAAAAGGTGAAGGAGAGAGCTATCATCCATGGCCCTTTCAAAGAGGAAGAGCTGAAGTTTTGACCTATTTTATCTGAAGAATTTCAAAGAGACAGATTCTAGAATTTAAAATTTAATAACTTTTTGCATTAGTAATAAGTTAATATTTTTAATAAAAATCTTGTTTTAACCAATTATTTCAGTTTTACATTAGTGTATATTTTTAAATATCGAAGATCCATCCCTAGAAAGACTATTATAATTCCTTTTTAATGGTAGCCAACTGAATTATACAACCCCTTTAAAAAAATATATTTTTACTAACCCTGTTATGACTTACATAGACCACTCAAAACATGTTTAGACTTTCTGTTTTTTCCTAAATATTCCTCTTTCTTGAATGACCCAGTCATTTTATTCTAGGGCAAAAATTTACTACACAAGATTCTTTCTGATATAAAATTATTTTCCTTTATCCCTTCTCTATAAAAAGGTACCACTTTAAATTTTTTTACATTTCTTTTTTTCTGGTTCTTTTTATACATAACATTTAAGTAGGCTGTCAGTTACACAAAGATATTTACATTTTAATAAGAACACTTAAAAATTTTTTATAATTTTTAAGTTTTGAATTACCTGTATACTCAATATTTATGAATAACCTTAGATCCTAAATTATATGACAAGTTTGTTTACAAGCATTTATTCCATCACATTTCCCTGATTACATTATTCAATAGTTTACCTAGATTATTGACCAAAACTGTAACAGTCCTTCTGTAAGTTATTTCCCTGTTACCCTTTTTTATAGCTGTGCATTTTAGGTGTTTACTTACATAGGAAACCTAAAGTTAAATATAAGAGTATTTTTACAAATAATTTAGGATTTCATTAAAAGAATATTCCATGTCTTTCTTGTCTAAAATTACACAAGCAAAGATCATTTTGTCTTGGTCTGGCTTTCATAATTTTATAACCCTTATGGTTAATCTTATATTATTCTGCAGGATTAAGCATGGAATTACTTGATCAATAAACACAAAACAAAAATGCTAACAATTTTTACGACATTTCTAATTTTACTTTACCCATAATTTTAAAGCCAGCTCATTTATTAAATATTTTAAGTCAAGTGACCTTAAAAAGCATTTGTGTAGTCTTTTATTTGATTAAGTATCTGATTTATGTGCTTTTATTTTTAAAGCCAATTAGAGCTCTTGTATATATTTTTAATAGTGAAACATTGTGTACACAACACATAAATACATAGATGTATTAGGCATGCCAATAGATGTACATCTTATAGATTCATAAGATCCTATTTTTTCCTGTCTTAGGTTTTCAAATTCTTGATAACCTGTTTGACTACCTTAGGTAGCTGTCAGCTAAATAGCCTTACTCTGCATATCAAAGGAAACAATTCATAGGTGAAAATCAGATAGGAAACTTACATCTGAGGAACACAGCGAAATAGTCTGTTGTGCTAGACAGAAATTAAAATGGATGTAACTGCTACATAACATAAAATTATAGAAATCATAAAAGCCTTTTAAATATATACATGCACATATTTGCACAGAAAAGAAAATCCTGTAGCTTTTGGTTGAGAACTTTAGGAATGATATGAAACTGGCTTGAAAAACGAACAAACAGACAAACAAAACCCTGTTATATCCAAACAGTGGCTTTTATCTCAGTCATAATGTAACAGCTGATATAAAGCAGGCAGAAAAGAAAAGAGAGAAAAAGAGCCTTAGGAAATCTATAACTTGCAGGTCGACCTTAGGGCTTTTTTTTTTTTTTTTTTTTTTTTTAAATGTGCACAAAGACCACGTTACTTCCATTTTACATAAAGTCTGGCTAGTAGAGTTGTCGTAAAATCTAAGAAGTGCTTGAAAGTGGGTCATTCTCCTTGTTTTCTCCTAAGTTTTAGATTTTTTTCTCACCTTTTTTTTAAGGAGGAATTGAGCTGTGGAATAGAGCTTTTGTGGAGTGGGTCAAAGGGTGCTGCTTGTAGGCAGGACTCCAGAGTGTGTCACCACTGTGTCACTCCTGCCCTCTTACATGTCTCAATTTTTCTCTCCAGAGGTCTAAGCAACTCCTCAAGTTTTTTAAGAGAACAATACTTGCAAATATTGAAACAATATAGCCTGTTCCTGAAAAATGTAATATGTTGTACAAGATCTAGTTTTACTGATGCTGCTCTAACACTTAGAATTCCTTCTGCACTCTTTGGCATGTGGGCAGAAATTCCACCCCTTTCTTCGAGTCCCTGCCTTCTTCAAGAGTTTTTTATTTTTGCCGCACAGCCCATGTCCCCTAATTCTAACTTCCAACAAAAATATTTGTCTCCATCCATCCCTGGAGTTGTCAAAACAGGGATCTTCATGCCGGGTTTCTCAGTGAGCCATTACACAGATTTAGCAGGGAAATGGGAGTAATATCAAAGACACCTTGTATAAACCATTGGATGACCCCAGCCCTCGTCTCTGCCCATGAACAGCTCCCGGGGCAGAGAGTCAGGCAGCCCTGCTCTTGTATCCCTCAGAAAACTCTTGAGATTTTGTTCCTAAAGCCTCCCAAAGAGGGAAAAGGAATTCATCTCATGACATCCCACTTTTCATTCAAGTGAGTAATTGCGTTATGACACAGACAAGGACACAGCATTGCTCCCCTTACTATAGCCTAGCAGATAAAGCACCAGCAAACTAAAACACCCTAACTTCTCAGTCACCATGCAAGCCCTTTTATATCAAATGCAATGGACTTTTCCACAAGCAAAATGAATCTTCTGACCAGCAGGCATCCTCTGCTTTGACTCGGGCTTGGATACATATTGTGCTTCAACAAATCTCAGTACTGAATCTAAATATCAAGGAGAAGTGGTCCCAGGAAATATACTGAGAGGACTTTGAGCTTTTACCAAACTGCACAATCCCAAAATCATAGACTTTACTGAGGCCAATTAAATTGGCTAATTCATGGGTGAAAGTGAAACATCATAATGTTTACAAATCTGCCCAACTGTTTTTACGTTAAAGCCAGGGTTTATGTCAATTCCTGTGTGAGGATGAGGAGACATCAATTCAAGCCCATGACAATCTGGAAGGACAGGCAGAGGCTGTGTCCAGGCAGGCCTCACATTATTTATACTTTGACCTATTTAATTAAATATGTAATGTTCTCCAAATTTTAGATGTCATTTGCTGTAATCCTGACCCACTAAGATGTACTATTTGTGCTGTAAAATTGTATTGTATTTGACAAATGCATAGTGGCAGATCTCTGGCATTAAAGCATCACACAGAATGTTTCTCTTATTCGAGCTCCTCTTTCCTCCACATACAGGGAATCAACAGACTATTTTATACGGTCTTTGGACTTTGCTTCTTTATTTCCACCCTCTTTCATAAAAAAAAAAAGAAAAAGAAAAAAGATACCGTGCTCCATTTGCATTTGATCTTCCAAAAGGAAGGTACTGATAAAACCGGAATTTCAGCGATACAGACGCAGGTCAACCGCTAAACAGTGAAGGCCAAGAGTCCCGCGCTGCAAGCCCATAGCCGGCAGAGGGCAATGGAACTCGCTTTCTGGTCGTGCGGGGCGCATGCGCATTCTGCTTGCGGAAGCGGGGCCAGATCGCCAAGGAAGAAGGGAACTTCCCTTCCTCAGGCCAGGGAGGAGGAGGCGCCGCCCTGGCTTTGGGGCAAATGGGGCTGCATCCATCTTAAGGAAAACGCTGCTGTTCACAGCCCTACCTGCTGAGGAGTGAGATTCCCTGCGCGTCTCCCGGATATTTTTCTGAAACAGCACTAAAGACTTAATGTTCTGGGCTGTTCCTACGTGTTTTCTTCTGCACTGTCTGTTGGGATATATTAGCAAGAATTATTTTACAAATCTACGTATTCCTTAGGGATTTTCATTGATAACCATAGCAGGCCGTAATGTGCCTTCCTCGCAACCTCTGTCAGGATTCATTATGAGGAGAAACACAAGAAGAATTGTGAGGAAAATCTACAGAATACGGGGACCCTGCAGAGGAAGGAGTATGTGGCCGGGGCACGGCGGCGCACTGTCGCGCAGCTCGCGAGAAAGGGGCCCCTGCAGGGAAACCCCGCACTCTGCATCCCTGCATTTCCACATTGTGAGGGGCTCATCTTTCCTACAGTGCCAAATTCACTGAAAAATAGTGAGACAATGAAAGGGAGGGGCACTAATGCATCCTTTAATTGTTGCTATTAAAACGGCAAGAGCCACGTCTTTAATTTTACCCTAGCACTGCAGATTTAAAAGTGATTTTCATTACACATGCAAGGGGAAAGCTACACTTTTGTGAAAAATAGTTTCTACCCCAAATGAAAACATATTGCTTAAATATTTCTTCAAAAATAAGTTATTATTCTGTGCTGCAGGATATATCCTGAGACATTTATGCTGCAAATTTATTAATTTATCTATTAAAACATTTGGTTTATAATCAAAGCGATTATAAAGGTAGAATATATATTTGGCACGTCCCTCATATTTTTATTCTTGTACTGGTTTGCAGTCCATAGGTTTTCAGCTAGACGTGACACACAGAAACTCACCATGAGGAGCCTTTCTCTTTCTTGACTGTAAAATATACATACTCCAGAATCATCAATAGAGGCTATTTCTTGAATATCTCAACCTGAACCCCGCAGCCAGAAAGAATGTAGGCAATTAATCCAATTTTATAACTGCAGCTGATATTCAGCTAATTACCTGCTGTTCTCCTCAGAAATTATCAAAATCCCCAAAGCAGAGAGTTCTCTGGATAAAGGCACTAATGTTCCCCTTGGAGGCTTTTAAGACATTGGCAAAATTAAAGGAATCTTCCTGTTTTCCTTTTATTCATCTAAATGATTTATCTAACTGGAGAAGAAAGCTTCAGTGCAAAAGGCATCTGCTAATTAGATTCAATTTTTTTTTAACATTTAAGGGAAACAGGGTCTATACTTCACCTAATAAAACTGATGAAATTATCAGCTAAATGCAAAGAGAATCCACAAACAAATTTATACAAGTTCTAGAGAGAGGATGAAGCCCTGAGCTCAGGGGCCTGTTAGAGATGGCACGCTCAGTAATGGTGCACCCTCACAGATTTTCCTTCTAGTTCAGTTCTAGTGATTACTGGATTACTGTTTTCCCCCAATACCATCTATTATTCTTTATACTGTCAAATAATTTTTAATCTTAAAATGACTAATTCTGAGTTCAGGCATATGGTGTCTGGCCACCTGCAAGAAGTTTAGGTGACTTTGCCAATAAGAATGATGGATTTGTAATTAATAAGTAATGTTGAAAGCAAAACTTGCATTACAATTCTGAAATTAGTCCAGCGGGGATACAGGCAAGAAATAAATTAACAGACAGATTAATACACAGTGATATATTAGAAATTAAGTAAAGGTTCTTTTTGTATTTTCCCCAGCTTGTCTTATAGTATTCGCTTCTTCTGTTTGGATAACTTTCCCCAGGAGATTCATTTTAAAACTTAATTCACTTAAAATAACGTATTTTTTTTTATTTAAAAATACTGTCAGCCCTCCACATCCATAGGTTCCATATTCATGGATCCAACTAATCTTGAATAGAAAATATTCACAAAAGATTTGCACAAGTTTCTTCAGAGAAACTTTAAATTTTCCATGCATCACATTCTTTTTGAGTTCACATAAATGACGTGACGTCTGGGCATTGCATTAAGTATTGTAAGTAATCTAGAGATCATTTAAATTATATAAATTAATGTGATTATGTTATATTCAAATTCTACGCCGTTTTATACAAGGGACTTGAGTATATACAAATTGTGGCATATTTAAAGTTTCCTAGACCCAATCCTTTATGTTTACTAAGAAACGACGTACACATGAACTTTACAGAAAATAACTGTCCTACCAAATTAATGAACAGACTACAATAGAAAGTAAATATTGCTAGTTTAAAATACTGTTATTTTATGTCACAATTATATGGTGAATCAGAGTAGAGATCTTGAATTAATTTTGATTGAATTAGGCTAATTCTGACTGGGTCACACTCATATTGACTGAGTTTTGATAAAACCACTCCCATGCTGGCCCTTCATGTTGTTTAATCAGCACCACTAGCCAATCACATTCATCCATTTTGACAAATCCCATGGCTCCACCTCTTATAAGACCCTTGGAGGATTTCCCCAAGAGCTCACTCTACCAAAGCACCATTTGACCGGTCCCAGGCCAGGACACACTCTTCCATGCTCTGGCTGTGCTGTGCTAGAGGCTGATAATTTTTCTCCAGGTAGAGTAAAAGATCAAGGCACGAACTATATAGATTTACAGAAAATAGGCCAAAGATTGAGATTTTTTTGACACAAGCAAGTCCAGAGAACTTTTACCATGTATGGTTACCGGCGCTTAAGAAGCCCCAGAGATTCCCAGACAGAACCGCAGAATGACAATGAAGGAGAGACCAGGTATGTTGGAGTATGTGGCTACTTTGGGTTGCCAGGAGGTTGACATGTGACTGTGTGTGACTGTATGTGTGTGTGTGTGTGTGAATGTATGCTAAAGGGCCAAACTAGGGCAGAGAAGACACCCTGGCCTGCCATGACATTGAATGTTATAAATTTAGAACACATTGGGGAGACATGAGACCCACAGTGGAGGCCACAGGATGCAGCCAGCATGGGGGGTTTCTGCAGCCTGTCAGGGGGCTCATCTCATGTTTCTTCCCATTGTTAATCTCTGTCCTCTGGGTAAACAGAAGTTGCCTCTTGTGTGGAGACAGGTAAACTGTGGGCATGATCTAAATTTTTTCCTTGTGCTCACTAGAAAATGGAACATTTCATGTCATTTATCACTCCATTCACACTGTAACTGCATAGACACAGGGGTTAGATACCCGGAAAATCAGCATCTTCTCCTAAAGTCCTCGGGCCAAATTTGATGTCCCTCCTTCTCATGTGGATGAGCTCCTGAAAAAGCAAACTGTTTCCTGTGATCGCCATGTCTTATCACACACATGCACCGATAGGAAAAGCCTCTAGAAAAGGAGAGGGTGGGATATGAGTGTTAGGACTTTCTGGATGCAGGTAGGATTTGGAGCTGAACACAAGTGCATGTGATTTTGGGCCACAGCAGCAATGTGTGCCGGATGACTAATGAAGTTTGGGGCTTGTGAGAATTGGACTTTGTGTCACTATGTGGAAGATTGATGGGTCCCTTTCTGTCCTGCAGTTTGGCTACCACACAAATGAATCCACCCAAACGTCGCCAAGTGGAGCAGGGTCCCAGTACAGGTAAGGCACTTTCCCTAATATTTTTTAAGATTCCCATGCCTGGAAGTCAGTGTCATGTCTCATGATACCATAAATGGAGAGGGTGCTTTCTGCAGGGTGAGTGGAAAGTCGTGCTTGACTGTTGGGGGCTGGTGTCCTGAGGCTGGCCAGTGCTGGGTGGTGGATTTCTGAAGGTCACATTCTGAAATGCAAGAGACTCTTGCTGGAAGAGAGCCTTAACCTCCCTCACTGTGGTCTCTCTGCAGGTGCAAAAAAACCCTCAATTTCAGGAGCTCCACACCTGAATTCATACCAGTCCCTGGAACTTCCCCAGGTAAGTTCCTGTGTCCTTGCATAGCAAAGATTGGACAGTGCTGCACAATCTTCAGGTTCAAGGGACATCCAGTGGATGTATATTTAGGTGGATTGGCATGAGCACCAATTCTGGGAGGGAGTTTGTATTTTAAAGTTGTAAAGGGTGAAGCTCCTGGCATCTCCCTCCCCATGAGCATCATTTGCAGCCTTTTTGGAGGGCAGAATACTGAGGACTGTCTTTCCACAGAATCAGCAGGATTCTGGCACTGAGGAGCTCATGATAGTCCTGGAACAAGGGACAGAAGTGAGGTTGAGCCTGGAAGAGGTCATCCTCATCTTGGCCCCAGAGACAGTGCTGCAGCTGACCCTGGAGAACACAGTCCTTGTGATTGTCCCTGAGCATGTCCTGAGGTCAGAAGATGGCCTGCAGTCCCCTGTGCAGATCCAGTACATCATACCTTCCGTTGATGACTTCAGCTTGGAGTTCCATGCTCAAGATGGAGACATCTCAGACATGAGAAGAGAGAATGTGCCTTTTTCACCTGCAGAAGAAGGGAAGGCAGCACCCCTGTATCAGCAGCCCTTGATGATACCCCAAGCAAACCACATGGCTGGGATCAGCCCTTCTTTCCTAGTAACCCCATTGTGCATTCCACGCTGTCGGGCAGCCTTCCCCCAATGCTACCCTCTACCACCCACACCTAGTCCTGTGGGACGCCCTAGACCAGCCGACTCCAGTTTCAGCCTGCATGGTATGGAGCTCTTGTGCACCTCCTCCCTCAGACCTATGCCCCCTTCACCAAGTCCTGGTCCCCAGGTCTATCACAGGGTTCACCATAGGCCTCCCAGCAGGGCACGGAGATGTCTCTTTAGGAAGTGATTTAACCCAAGAGCCACCCCCTGCATTGATAGGTCAGAGATTGTCCAGATCCTTAGTCAGTGCATTCTCTGAAATGTGGAGAGAAAGTAATTTGACCACTTGCTTGCCCTTTGCTGTTCCCCATCATCAACCACTGTCTTCAACAGCGGAGGGTCCCAGATGCTGCAGGGAGGGGGAGAACTGCAGGGAGTTCAAATAAAACATTCACATTTCACTTCACACACACTGTCCCTTAGACTTTCTCTTCCTATTTAAGCACATACATCCAACCACACTCAATCAAATCCCTGACTGCTCCATGTGAGAGTTCTGCTTCCAGCATGACGTGGTCTGAAAGTTCATCTGAAGACAGCTGCTCACTCCCGGGGGCTAACACCGCCCCTTGCATGCTGATGTCCTTGTAGTCATTGGTCTGATGCCACAATAAATAATTCCTAAGGCTGATGCTCTATTTCTGCCCTGAGACTCTCCCCTTTTTCTCCAAGCTGTGCCCCATTCCTTGTCTTAGTCCAGGTTCCCTACACTCCCCAGGCCAATGCTTTTGAATAAATCTTGACGTCATTGAATGAAGTAGTGGTGACTGCTGTGCTTGCTTCCAACTGAGACACTCTCCTGCTCTCACTCATCACGTTTCCATTCACATTTGCCTTTGTTTAGTTTTGTTTTCCATTGTTTGGGTTTATTATTCATGTACTTATGAAATAACTGCCACATTTCTGACAGTTTTTTTGGCCAATTTGGGGCTTTTCCTGTGCTCCTCCTTCCAAGTCCTGAGTGGGGTCACTGTTTGCACCTCTGGGCCCTGGGATGGGTCTGGCTTAGCAAATGGTTGAACAGAGCTTAGCTCTGTGTGTTGGGACGGGCACCTGCACTTGCTCACAGCTGCTTCCAGGCTCTCCCTGTCCTGCCTGGACGTCTCTGTGTCTCTGGAGTGTCTAGGAAGTCTAGAAGTTCTCTTGAGGGCCCAGCACCTCTTTGTTGGCCTGCATGTCCCAGCCTGTATGTCCATGGCCAGCTAGAGCTACCACTAGCTTTTCCTGGCCAACCTGGGAGCTCAGGCCTGAGTCCTGGAGGCAGGGGAGATGCAGGGATAATGTCCTGGCCTTCTGGAGCCCAACTCCAGTAGGTGGGGAGTGCTCATGACCCTGCGGGGAGTACAGGGCGTTTGCCCTTGACTTGCCTGAGCCTCTAAAACCTCACATGTCCCCTGGAGGTGGGTGCAGCTTCCTCCTACTCTGGCCTTGCTGGCCTGGGAAGGGCGTCCTTGGTCCCTTGAACCCTCACAGCATTTTCTCTTCTACTGAGGTTTCAGGAACTGCGTTTCCCCTCTGGGAAGGAGGACAGGGACTCTTTCAGGTTTGATTCTCCTCGGGGTTTTAGACGTTGGCTGAGGTGGGAACTGCCTTCATCCACATGAAAGGCCCAGCCAGGGCATCCTCACCAGCCTGGGCCTCTGGGTAGGTTCTGAGTCTGGTCGCTGGAGAGGCCGCTTCTGTGAGCCCCAAGACAGCAGCCCCTGTGAAGGCCATTCTCCTCTGTTCCCTCAGGGTGTCAGGACCCGCCTGTGTCCAGGAAGTCCCCTCTGAGACTAGATTGTCCTTGGTGCAGCCCTCCCAGAGCCGTGCAGAGGCAGATGTGGTGCACTGGGCCTGGGCTCTGAGGAAGCAGTGGTAGCGGGGGCCAGGGAGGACCCAGGCTCTAGGGCAAGGGAGTGTCTAACCTGGGTAGAGCTGGGCCGCATTCAGGGAGTGGCACTCCAGGGTTCTGTTTCAGGTGGAGCAGGGGCCAACTCAGGATCAAGTACCTCTCCTTCCACCTCCAGGACTCACCCAGGGGCAGGCGGGAGCTCCAGGTTCTTCTCCTCCTCCTCCTCCTCCTCCTCCATGTGTTTTCTCTTGCTTTATTTCTCTGAGTCAAGAAATTGGGGCTGTCCTTCATATCGGTGAATTTTGACCCTAATCATCATGACCTTGTTGAGGAAAAGAGTCATACTCTGCAAAATATTTGGAGATATTTATTCTGAGCCAAATATGATTGACCATGTCGTGTGACCCAGCCCTCAGGAGGTTCTGAGAACGTGTGTCCAAGGTGATCAGGGTGCAGCTTGGTTTTATGCATTTTAGGGAGACATGACTTCAACTAAGTGCATTTAAGAAATACGTTGATTTGATCCAGAAAAGTGGGACAACTTGAAGGAGGGGGGCTTCCAGCTTATAGATAGATTTAAAAATTATCTGGTTGATAATTGGATGAGTTTATCTAAGACCAGGGATCTATTGAAAGGAAATGTTTAGGTTAAGATAAAGAGGTGGGGAGGCCAAGTTTTACTGTGCAGAGGAACCTTCAGATAGTAGACTTGAGAGGGAGTAGGTTGTAAAATGTTTCTTATTGGATTTAAAAGGGAGCCTGGTCTTTGTTGATTATCTCCTGTGTCTGGAAAGAAAGAAAGAAGAAAAAAAGGTGGGGAGCCTTAACCTCCCTCACTGTGGTCTCACCACAGATGCAGAAACACCCTTACTTCAAAGAATTCCTCACATGAATTCATTCCAGGCCTGGAATCACCCCAGGTAACTCCCTATGTTCATGGATAGCAAAGATTGGACTATGTTGCATAATCTCCAGGCCACAAGACACATCCAGTGGTGGTGCATTCAGCAGGGTCAGCATGACTGCCACTTCTAGGAGGAAATTTGTATTTTAAAGTTGTAGAGGGTGAAGCTGCTCCAGCTCCCTCCCCAGGAGCATCATTTGCAGTCTTTTTTGAAGGCAGTGGACTGAGGGCTGTCGTTCCACAGCAGCAGCAGAATTCCAGCACAGAGACGTTCATCATCGTGGTCCCGGAACAAGGGACAGAACTCACACTGAGACTGGAAGAGTATGTCCTCATCCTGTCCCCACAGACAGCCCTGCCCTGACCCTGGGTAACAGCGTATTTGTGGTTGTGCCTGAGCATGTCCTGAGGTCACTGGATGGCCTGCAGTTCCCTCTGCAGATCGATTACATCTAGCACTCTGTGGATGACTTCACCTTGGAGTTCCATGTTCAAGACAGAGACACCTCAGACATGAAAGAGACAATGTGCCGCGCTCACCTACAGAAGAGGGGGAGGCAGAACCCGTATGTCACCAGCCCTTGATGAGATCCGAAGAAAACCATGTTGCTTGGCTCAGCGCTTCTCTTTCAATAATCCTACTGCGCATTGCATACTTTCTCCTCTGTGCCCTACCCTTTACCAACCACACCTAGTCCAGTGGGATTCGCTAGACCAGCCAATCTCAGCTTCAGCCTGTATAGGATGGAGACTTTGCCCAACTCCTCCCTCAGACCTATGCACCCTTCACCAAGTCCAGCACTCAGGTCTGCCACAGGGTTCACCATAGTTCTCCAACCAGAGCACGAAGATGTGTTTTCAAGAAGGGATGTAGCCAAGATCCACCACTTACATTGATAGATCAGAGATTGGCCAAATCCTTAGTCAGTGCATGCCCTAAAATGTGGAGGGAGAGTAGTTCCAGGAACCTCTTGCTTCCCCTTCTCTGTTTCCCATCATGATCCATTGTGCTCACTAGCAGAGGATCCCAGATGCTGCAGGGAGACGAAGAACTGCAAGGTGTGTAAATAAAGTGCTCCCATTTCACTTGGCACACAGTGTCCCTTAGAATTTCTCTTCCATATTCAACCTCTTAAATGCAACCACACTCAATCAAATCCCTTACTCCTCAACGTGAGGGTTCTGCTTTCAGCATGCTTTCAGTGGCGTGAAAATTCACCTGAAGAACTCTGCTCACTCCCAGGGCTAACACAGCCCCTTGATTGCTGGTGTCCATGTAGTCATTGGTCTGATGTATAGATAATAATTCCTAAGCTTGACACTGTATGTATGCCCTGAGATTTTCACCATTTTCTCCGTGCTGTGACCCAGTCCTTGTCTTTGTTCAGGTTCCCCACACTCCCCAGGCCAATACTTTTCAATAAATACTGAAATTATAGGATGAAATAGTGGTGACTGCTGTGATTGCTTCCAAGTGAGACACGCTTCTGCTCTGGCTCATCAAGTTTACATTACCACTTGCCATTCCTAAGTTTTGTTTTCAATTTTTGGTTTGTATTTCATATACCTGTACACTAAATTTCATGATTTGGGCAGCATTTTTTTTATAAAGGCAGGGCCATAACTTTGAGGAGGACAGACAAGTTTCTATCTCCTTCGTGTAGAAAAAAAAAGGCAATCACAATGCTGATTTCAAACATGTTGGATAAAACAGTAACCAGGCATGTCCGGTGTGTAGAGTGAGATGCTACTGTGTTTTGAAACACAATGGAAAGGCTCTTGATTAATGTATCTTATGAGGAGAGGCCTAAATATAAATTTAAAAAATAGTTACAGTTGTGTATCACTGCATAAGTATCTAAAAAAAGAACGACAACTGGATAACACAAGTGAGGGTCTATGTTCCCTGAACCGGAAGAGACAGGCAGGAGTCGGAATGATGAACCAGCACACTGGGGCATTTTCTCATGTAGCCCAAGTGACCCCATGGTCTTCTCGAGCTTTGGAACCAGTCGCGTCCCCTTTGACACTGCACCCGGCTCCCAGTCTCTCAATCTTGTTGGCCCTCCGGCGATCTCCCGTTGGATGAATTGCTCCTGCTGAAACTCGAGTCCCCTTTGATTTGCGCTTCATTAATTATTCATGATTCAGGTTGGAAGGCCTGCTGACGACCCCCTGTGGCGGTTCTCTGAGCTTTCCTGTCACATCGTTTCCTTCCACGCTCTTTGGTTCCTTATGGTCCTGCTCCTTCTGCTGTCAGAGGAGCAGAGAGTTGATCTTATTCATTCTGGATACGGATACTTTCTAGGTGATCTGGATAATCAAGATAACGACCCTCAACAGCGGCGGAGAGGGAGCAGCCAGTTGGTGTGTCTCAGAAAATCCCACTGAGTTCCGAGGCCTCCTAGATGTGGAATCCTGCTGAGAGTTGTTCCCAGGTCAGAGAATGGAGAGAGCCTGTGCATGATGGGATATCCCTGCCTAGATCTTTCAGTGAGTCTCTACCTCAGCTACTCTTAGGATCAGGGGGAGAACCATGGTGTCAGACATCCGGAAAGAAGACGGGATGAATGTTTTACCTCTGAAGTACATCCCAAATGTGGGAGTTAACTTCAGTTTTGCTGGGGTCTATTTGGCCAGTGAAACGCTGCCTGGTTCATTCGCACATCCGGAAGCCACTTCACAGGGGGCCGTCGCAACTGGAACCACACACTTGGCATCGGCGGTTGAGCCAAATGGGGACTCGTGGTGCAAGCAACGCTCCCCACGTGTTAGCGTGCGTGAGATTCGGTTGGCGGAATTTTACTAGGTGCGTGTTGGTAGAGTGGGGCTGAGGTTTTCTTGCTCCTGTGGATGTATAGGAAGTCAAAGTCCTGCCCAGACCTGCGGTCCCATCAGTCAACTCTGTTTCGGAGACGTAACGATTTGGATTGCCAACAAGTCAAGAAATGTTCAAGCCCGTGGATGTAGGGTAAAGAAAGAGAGATCAGACTGTCACTGTGTCTATGTAGAAGGGGAAGACATAAGAGACTCCATTTTGAAAAAGACCTGTAGTTTAAACAATTGCTTTGCTGAGATGTTGATCATTTGTAGCTTTGCTGCAGCCCCTTCCTTTGACCCAACTTGGAGCTCACAAAAAACCTGTGTTGTAGAAAATCGAGGTTTAAGGGATCTAGGGCTGTGCAGGACGCGCCTTGTTAACCAAATGTTTAAGAGCAGTATACTTGGTAGAAGTCATTGCCATTCTCTAGTCTCAATAAACCAGGAGTGCAATGCACCGTGGAAAGCCACAGGGACCTCTGCCCTTGAAAGCAGGGTATTGTCCAAGGTTTCTCCCCATGTGACAGTCTGAAATATGGCCTCGTGGGATGGGAAAGACCTGACTGTCCCCCAGCCCGACACCCGCAATGGGTCTGTGCTGAGGTGGATTAGTCAAAGAGGAAAGCCTCTTGCAGTTCAGATGGAGGAAGGCCACTGTCTCCTGCTTGCCCCTGGGAACTGAATGTCTCGGTGTAAAGCCCGATCGTACATTTGTTCAACTCTGAGCTCGGAGAAAAGCAGCCCTGCGGCGGGAGGCGAGACATGTTGGCAGTAATGCTGCCTTGTTATTCTTTACTCCGCTGAGATGTTTGGGTGGAGAGAAACATAAATCTGGCCTACGTGCACGTCCAGGCATAGTACCTTCCCTTGAACTTAATAATGATATGGATTCTTTTGCTCACGTGTTTTTTTTTTTTTTTTTTTTTTTTTTTGTTGACCTTCCCCTTATTATCACCCTGCTCCCCTACTACATTCCTTTGTGCTGAAATAATGAACATCATAATCAATAAAAACTGCGGGAACTCAGAGGCCGGTGCCGGTGCAGGTCCTTGGTGTGCTGAGTGCCGGTCCCCTGGACCCACTGTTGTCTCCCTATACTTTGTCTCTGTGTCTGATTTCTTTTCTCCGTCTCTCATCCCACCCGACTAGAAACACCCACAGGTGTGGAGGGGCGGGCCACCCCTTCACTTGGAAAATCAGTTACACACAAACACGGAATGAGAGTCAAAAGACAATATGTCATCTTTTTGAGAATTTTATTCACTTCAAAACACATTAAACACACATATGTACAAAGGCATTCCAGAGCCCAGTTTTCGAGGCTGAGGAAAGACCCCGAGAGCGCTTCGCACAGCACGCTTCCCAGCGTCCGAAACACTGCTCTCAGGGCGGGGCACAGCGGAAGGGCTGCACCTCTCAGGGTTCCCTAACTTTTCCCTTATTCAGTCATCTAGACAGCAAATACACAGTAATTCCCCAGTTTCCTATTGACGTCCCAGCGGAAGTCTGACTCCTGCGCGTCACGCAGTTTCTGAGGCAACGAATCTCTGGCACGGAAGCTTTTCCTGGCGCGTTTCGGGAGAACCACGCCAACTACAACGTCCCTCACCAGAATTCAATGAGGCAGAGTCCCTGCATCTGCTCCCTGCCTGGCCTGGGCTCCCACATCCACAGAAGCGCCACAGCCGGGGAGCTTCGGAGTCACCGCACAGAGTGTGCTCTCTGCTCTGCGCTCCTCAGTCCCACAGTCCCCTCCAAGTCACGGGAGCTGGAGGCCAAGGAGCCCCTGCCACCTGCAGTCTCACTCCAGGTCAGAATCGCTGTCCTCTGAGGAGGAGGAAACCTGAAGGTCCTCATAGAGGACGCTCGGTGGGACACGAACACAGGGAGCCTCAGACTTCTCTGACACATGAGGGCTCTGAGCGAGGAAGGCTCCCGGCTTCTCAGGAGAGTGAAATGAGGGGGCGGCCAGGAGGCTGGAGCTCCAGCGTCCGTTTTCCAGTCTCCGGAAGAGCACTCTGAGAGGCTGGGCCCCATCATGGCCGGCCGCTGGGTGATGGGACATGGTGCAGGCCTGGGCAGTAGGCAGGCAAGGTGTGCTGTGCGGAGGCTGCCAGTCGACGCTGGGCACCTGGGCCGGTGTCCTCCTGCCCATCTGGGGCGACGTACTTGGTCCAAGTTCGGTTGCGGCTGGCGGAGGTTGGAGATTCTCCGGGGCCCCCAGCTCACCTCCCTGGATGGCGCTTTCGGGGATCTGGAAGGGACCCAGTCTCGGTTTCTTGGGGAAGTTCAGGCAAGCCTGAATCGGAGCCTGGGCAGGTCTCTTGGCTCCCGGCCCGAAGCTGAGATTGGAGCCTAGGCCCAAGCTGTGTGTGGCGGCTGGCGGGCAGGGCTGTGAGGTCACCGCAGGACGTTTGTCTTGTGCCTGGGGTCTGGCGGCCTGGAGCAGGCCGTGGGTTTTGGAGGCAGCCTGGGGAACTTCTCGGCAGCCACCCTCAGGGCTGCTGTGTGTCGGCTTCACCACGAGGAGAGGCTCGGGGCCCTGGTGCCTGAATGCAGGCTGAGGGATGTCGGCCGCAGCCCCTGTCTGTCTTTCCTTTGGTCCAAGACTTGAGGAGGAGCTCAGGCTGGCTTTTCTGAGGGGAGACAGTGAAGCCAAGACGGAGCCCCTGCCAGACATTTCGGTAGCTGAGCGATCAGCGAGGACAGGGTCCACGCGCGGCCTCTTACTGGTTGTGTGGACCGGCATTGGCCCGCTTGCAACCTGAAAGAGAGGAAACAACACAGGTTAGAAGTTCCACGGCATGGAGCCAACGTGAAAATCAAACATATCCAAAGACAAGGTGCACACGCCATGAAATTCTTAGTACAGTATCGACAGGCGGTCCTTGGAAGTAGGGACAGATCCCTCCACCTGAGTGCTGATCAGGACAAGACACATGAAAGGTGCGCTCTCGAGCTATGTGTAGCTGATCTAAGCACACCATTGTTCAAAAGATCGCGTCTTGGGCATTAACTGGATCAAAGCGCCTCCACTCAGCCTTCCATGAAGTGGAACGGACTAATGCCCTTCCCGAGGCAGGTTGGTGGCTCAAGGGTACTCGGGACGTCTTCTCTGAACACATGCATGTTCCTGGGTTTAGCCTTCTCCACGTTTGGGGCCTCTGAGGGACTAATTTCCTCATGCCGCTAGGAACGTGTTGTTGGCAGGCTTGCCATAATTGGACAGAAAGAAAGCAACAGGAAATACGGCATGTTCAGATGCCTTCGCCTGGAATCCAATTGACCTGGAAGGATTGTGGAGTCCCTGACCCCAAGAAGGCAAGAAAGAGGGGTTCCCCGATTTCCTCCCACAGACGGGAAGCTGAAAGGAAATCAACCAGGGTGACCTAGAGGAGAAAAGGACCAGGGGCCCGGGGTGACACTCACCCTCAGATGCTCAGAAGATTCCGTGGATCCTTTTCCATTCGGCAGCGGCTTCTCTGGAGGTTTCCCGGAAAACATGTGGAGGAGAGCCTTCCTCTGCGGGTCTTGTTGCCTGCAGAACAGAAAAAGGTCAGGCGGTGCCCCCTGGTTTTCCCCAGGAGACAGGGAGAACCCCGTCTGGGGCCCAGCCCCATTCCGTGTTTTGTGATACAGAAATGGACATCTGGTGCCCTTTCCGCCTCTGCACCTTCCCTCACGTGCCAACCTTCCCATCCTCCAGGTGGCCCTCTAGGCTTCCCGACTAAGGACTGTGATTTGGATTCCATCGCTTTTCCCGCTGTCGTGGGGAACCTGCACGAAGCGCCCCCGCCTCTCCCCGTCCCTGAATCTCCCAGAGCCCAAGGAGCTCCTGGGTGTGGAACCCCGGAGGACACGGAGCTCCGGCCTATTTCTCTGCAGCGCTCCTTCCCTGGCCCGGAGACGGAAAGGCACACGGTGTGCAGGTGCAGAGACACCATCTCCTTAGGAGGCAGCACCCTAAGAGTGGTGAAAACCCCTCCCACTGCTCACCTTGGTCTCTCTTCCTTCTCTCCCTTATCCTTGTTCAAGGGCCCCGGGTTGGCTTCACCCCGGGGCTTCCATGGTTTCAGGTTTTCCTTCCCTTCCTTTTTCCCCAAGGTCGCTGGAACCAGGGCTGCCTTCCAGCACTTCATGGGGCACGTGGTACTTCTGGCCGTGTGGCCAAAGGCCCCGCAGTTTTTGCACTTGAGCTGTGGGTGGAAAGGAAGTGATGTCAGTGAGTGAGCTGAAGCCACAGGCAGCGATCCCACGTCAACATTGGGACGGATTGTGAATTCAGAGCTGAATAAGGATTCCAAAGAGGGGACACCGGCATGGGGGCCGTTAAGTGCTGGGAGAGTTCGGATACGATGTTCCCTCGCAAAGCCCTTGTGACGGAGGAACTCTGAAAGGAAGGACTCAAGGTTCCAAGGGGCACGATGGTGAAGCCGATGTCAACAACGCAGCCAAACGTGGCTACACAGGACTCGAAGTAGAAAGGGAGGTTGCCCCCAAGAGTCTCTCAAGGGACCTATCGGGCCGGGGAGAAGGTCCCAAGCCACGCCCACCTTGGATGGGAAAAGCAACCTGGCTGGTGGTGACAGAACTCTTTGGAATCCAACCCAGTCTCTGAGGACCGTGGGACACCGCCTCCCCCCGTCCCCACCCCCACCCCGATACCCAAGAGATCCAGGGCTAGACTTACCCTGGGATCTTCTTCATCGGGCGGGGGAGCCCTTGGCCCAACTGGGGCCCTCCGCTGCTTCTGGAGGGTCTGGGCTCTCACCAGTCTCTTGGCCCAAGATTTGGGGTCCCGACGTGCCATCATCTTCGTCTCCTGGGGGTTTTATGACCGCCTTTTTCAGGGGTGGACTGTTGGGCCACCTGAAACACACACAAACACACACATGTCGATGGTTAAGCACGTTGGATATTCACACACCCACAGGAAGCCACCTGCTAACTCCCTGCCTGTGTGGTCATGAGGAGACCTCACCACCAGTCGGTCAAATCTGTAGAACACAATGTGCTGTGCGCATCCTCGGATATTGTGTGTTCCTCTGCCATGACTACCTAGTCCAAGAGTAAACCCCACCTGCCACAGGGCCCGTGGCCTAGGTATGGGGGGTTGAGCTTTCAACCCCAAACAAACAACTGATTCTGGAGACTGGACTTAGGTCTCTCACGATTCACTCCGGTAGAAGACACGGTGATTCTATCTCCCTTGACGGACAGAATGATCGAAGACACAGGGCATGGCGTGTGCCACCCTTTGGCAGGTCTGCTTGAAGTCACGGATAAGGGATGCTTCCTGTGACAACTTGAATCGCTACTCTTGCCATTTCATTAGGCAACTTCCAAGCACAAATTCATACAGAGAAGTTACCTTCCTCTCTACCGCACTAGCAGGTGAGGATCTTTCCTGTTCTATCTTTTAGCTTTAGCTCCAGCCCCTCTTTATTTATTTTCCTGGTATTTTACGCACACCACACGAATTCATCTGAACAAACGGGGAAGAAGTGCCGTATCGTATCGACGTCTTACACGGCTGAAGGGCAAACCCCCCTTTTTTCCAAAGTCTTTTTTCCATTTACCCACCAATTCAGCATGCTGCAGTACATTTCTTTTCCCATTCCCATCTTGGTCTTCTCCCACACGTGGAGACGGATATGTTGTCTCGTTTTCTGTTCCAAGAATTACTAGTAACGAGAACACATCCTACCCCACCAGCAAGCCCCAGTGTGATCGGTTTCTTTCGGCCTCCTTTGTCTCTTCCTCCCCCACACCCCCCGCAAATACCCCTCAGGGATTGCGTGAAACAAACAATTGTTCAGCGAAACTAACCTGAAATTACACGTCTACTTTCATTCCCAGGCTGGCGCTGAGATGGGCAGGTGCTGCAGCAGCCCGGCTGGAAGCGATGCAGCATCCAGGACGACGGAGGAAGGGGCAGAGAGGGACCTCCGCTTTCCAGGCTGCCTTTTATACTGCCTCTGGTCACCTGACATGGAACGTACCCTAACCTAATCAGTTACCTGTACCTTAATTGCAATTAACTTAATCCAATTACATGACCTGGAAAGGTCTATCTGCACAGCCCACTCTAAGATCATGTCCACTGCTGACAGACATTCTAAAACCTACTTGTACAGCTGCAAGCTTTGAACAATAGATGTTCCCCGTCAGACATGTAACACTGGTGCCTGTACCCCTGTCTTCTTTTCCATCTTTTTTGTTGTTTTGTTTTGTTTTGTTTTAAAAAATGTGGTAAAATAGACACCTTTTAATTGGACCACATTTTGTCTATCTCGACGTAGGCCTCAGTGTCATCAAGGAGACTCTCCTTGACATGCAGTCACGGCCATGATCCATCTTCAGAGCTTCTCTTTCTTCCCCAAGGTAAGTCTGTCAGCAGAGAACCCTGACCGCACCCTCATGTGTTTTCTCCCCCAGGAGGCGCTTGGAAACAACCGTGAATTGGACCGCACTGGGAAACACAGATGAGGAAAGTCAACAACGCTTTGTCCTTCAGTGCCTGGCTCCTTTTTCAGCTCCTCTTGCGACTCCAGGCATTATGCCTGAAAAGTCTCCCGGACGCCTGTGAGGCTGTAATTCCCTGGGTCCCATTGCCATGTCTCTGGATTTGCGAAGATCCACCGCACCTTCTGTGGAACTCCCGTGTCGGTGAACTTTTGTGCCACGGCCCCTAATTCTGCCCATGGTCATCCGCACCTGCACGACTTAGGGTCCATGTTCCTTGGACGGGAAGAGACAGGCAGGAGTCGGAATGATGAACCAGCACACTGGGGCGTTTTCTCATGTAGCCCAAGTGACCCCATGGTCTTCTCGAGCTTTGGAACCAGTCGCGTCCCCTTTGACACTGCACCCGGCTCCCAGTCACTCAATCTTGTTGGCCCTCCGGCGATCTCCCGTTGGATGAATTGCTCCTGCTGAAACTCGAGTCCCCTTTGATTTGCGCTTCATTAATTATTCATGATTCAGGTTGGAAGGCCTGCTGACGACCCCCTGTGGCCGTTCTCTGAGCTTTCCTGTCACATCGTTTCCTTCCACGCTCTTTGGTTCCTTACGGTCCTGCTCCTTCTGCTGTCAGAGGAGCAGAGAGTTGATCTTATTCATTCTGGATACGGATACTTTCTAGGTGATCTGGATAATCAAGATAACGACCCTCAACAGCGGCGGAGAGGGAGCAGCCAGTTGGTGTGTCTCAGAAAATCCCGCTGAGTTCCGAGGCCTCCTAGATGTGGAATCCTGCTGAGAGTTGTTCCCAGGTCAGAGAATGGAGAGAGCCTGTGCATGATGGGATATCCCCGCCTAGATCTTTCAGTGAGTCTCTGCCTCAGCTACTCTTAGGATCAGGGGGAGAACCATGGTGTCAGACATCCGGAAAGAAGACGGGATGAATGTTTTACCTCTGAAGTACATCCCAAATGTGGGAGTTAACTTCAGCTTTGCTGGGGTCTATTTGGCCAGTGAAACTCTGCCTGGTTCCTTCGCACATCCGGAAGCCACTTCACGGGGGGCCGTCGCAACTGGAACCACACACTTGGCATCGGCGGTTGAGCCAAATGGGGACTCGTGGTGCAAGCAACGCTCCCCACGTGTTAGCGTGCGTGAGATTCGGTTGGCGGAATTTTACTAGGTGCGTGTTGGTAGAGTGGGGCTGAGGTTTTCTTGCTCCTGTGGATGTATAGGAAGTCAAAGGTCCTGCCCAGCCCTGCGGTCCCCTCAGTCAACTCTGTTTCGGAGACGTAACGATTTGGATTGCCAACAAGTCAAGAAATGTTCAAGCCCTTGGATGTAGGGTAAAGAAAGAGAGATCAGACTGTCACTGTGTCTATGTAGAAGGGGAAGACATAAGAGACTCCATTTTGAAAAAGACCTGTAGTTTAAACAATTGCTTTGCTGAGATGTTGTTCATTTGTTGCCTTGCCGCAGCCCCTTCCTTTGACCCAACTTGGAGCTCACAAAAACCTGTGTTGTATAAAATCGAGGTTTAAGGGATCTAGGGCTGTGCAGGACGCGCCTTGTTAACCAAATGTTTACGAGCAGTATACTTGGTAGAAGTCATTGCCATTCTCTAGTCTCAATAAACCAGGGGTGCAATGCACCGTGGAAAGCCACAGGGACCTCTGCCCTTGAAAGCAGGGTATTGTCCAAGGTTTCTCCCCATGTGACAGTCTGAAATATGGCCTCGTGGGATGGGAAAGTCCTGAATGTCCCCTAGCCTGACACCCGCAATGGGTCTGTGCTGAGGTGGATTAGTCAAAGAGGAACGCCTCTTGCAGTTCAGATGGAGGAAGGCCACTGTCTCCTGCTTGCCCCTGGGAACTGAATGTCTCGGTGTAAAGCCCGATCGTACATTTGTTCAACTCTGAGCTCGGCGAAAAGCTGCCCTGTGGCGGGAGGCGAGACATGTTGGCAGTAATGCTGCCTTGTTATTCTTTACTCCGCTGAGATATTTGTGTGGAGAGAAACATAAATCTGGCCTACGTGCACGTCCAGGCATAGTACCTTCCCTTGAACTTAATAATGATATGGATTCTTTTGCTCACGTGTTTGTTTTGTGTTGTTTTTGTTGACCTTCCCCTTATTATCACCCTGCTCCCCTACTGCATTCCTTTGTGCTGAAATAATGAAAATCACAATCAATAAAAACTGCGGGAACTCAGAGGCCGGTGCCGGTGCAGGTCCTAGGTGTGCTGAGTGCCGGTCCCCTGGACCCACTGTTGTCTCCCTATACTTTGTCTCTGTGTCTTATTTCTTTTCTCCGTCTCTCATCCCACCCGACTAGAAACACCCACAGGTGTGGAGGGGCAGGCCACCCCTTCACTTGGAAAATCAGTTACACACAAACACGGAATGAGAGTCAAAAGACAATATGTCATCTTCTTGAGAATTTTATTCACTTCAAAACACATTAAACACACATATGTACAAAGGCATTCCAGAGCCCAGTTTTCGAGGCTGAGGAAAGACCCCGAGAGCGCTTCGCACAGCACGCTTCCCAGCGTCCGAAACACTGCTCTCAGGGCGGGGCACAGCGGAAGGGCTGCACCTCTCAGGGTTCCCTAACTTTTCCCTTATTCAGTCATCTAGAGAGCAAATACACAGTAATTCCCCAGTTTCCTATTGACGTCCCAGCGGAAGTCTGACTCCTGCGCGTCACGCAGTTTCTGAGGCAACGAATCTCTGGCACGGAAGCTTTTCCTGGCGCGTTTCCGGAGAACCACGCCAACTACAACGTCCCTCACCAGAATTCAATGAGGCAGAGTCCCTGCATCTGCTCCCTGCCTGGCCTGGGCTCCCACATCCACAGAAGCGCCACAGCCGGGGAGCTTCGGAGTCACCGCACAGAGTGTGCTCTCTGCTCTGCGCTCCTCAGTCCCACAGTCCCCTCCAAGTCACGGGAACTGGAGGCCAAGGAGCCCCTGCCACCTGCAGTCTCACTCCAGGTCAGAATCGCTGTCCTCTGAGGAGGAGGAAACCTGAAGGTCCTCATAGAGGACGCTCGGTGGGACACGAACACAGGGAGCCTCAGACTTCTCTGACACATGAGGGCTCTGAGCGAGGAAGGTTCCCGGCTTCTCAGGAGAGTGAAATGAGGGGGCCGCCAGGAGGCTGGAGCTCCAGCGTCCGTTTTCCAGTCTCCGGAAGAGCACTCTGAGAGGCTGGGCCCCATCATGGCTGGCCGCTGAGTGATGGGACATGGTGCAGGCCTGGGCAGTAGGCAGGCAAGGTGTGCTGTGCGGAGGCTGCCGGTCGACGCTGGGCACCTGGGCCGGTGTCCTCCTGCCCATCTGGGGCGACGTACTTGGTCCAAGTTCGGTTGCGGCTGGCGGAGGTTGGAGATTCTCCGGGGCCCCCAGCTCACCTCCCTGGATGGCGCTTTCGGGGATCTGGAAGGGACCCAGTCTCGGTTTCTTGGGGAAGTTCAGGCAAGCCTGAATCGGAGCCTGGGCAGGTCTCTTGGCTCCTGGCCCGAAGCTGAGATTGGAGCCTAGGCCCAAGCTGTGTGTGGCGGCTGGCGGGCAGGGCTGCGAGGTCACCGCAGGACGTTTGTCTTGTGCCTGGGGTCTGGCGGCCTGGAGCAGGCCGTGGGTTTTGGAGGCAGCCTGGGGAACTTCTCGGCAGCCACCCTCGGGGCTGCTGTGTGTCGGCTTCACCACGAGGAGAGGCTCGCGGCCCTGGTGCCTGACTGCAGGCTGAGGCATGTCGGCCGCAGCCCCTGTCTGTCTTTCCTTTGGTCCAAGACTTGAGGAGGAGCTCAGGCTGGCTTTTCTGAGGGGAGACAGTGAAGCCAAGACGGAGCCCCTGCCAGACATTTCGGCAGCTGAGCGATCAGCGAGGACAGGGTCCACGCGCGGCCTCTTACTGGTTGTGTGGACCGGCATTGGCCCGCTTGCAACCTGAAAGAGAGGAAACAACACAGGTTAGAAGTTCCTCAGCATGGAGCCAACGTGAAAATCAAGCACATCCAAAGACAAGGTGCACACGCCATGAAATTCTTAGTACAGTATCGACAGGCGGTCCTTGGAAGTAGGGACAGACCCTCCACCTGAGTGCTGATCAGGACAAGACACATGAAAGATGCGCTCTCGAGCTATGTGTAGCTGATCTAAGCACACCATTGTTCAAAAGATCGCGTCTTGGGCATTAACTGGATCAAAGCGCCTCCACTCAGCCTTCCATGAAGTGGAACGGACTAATGCCCTTCCCGAGGCAGGTTGCTGGCTCAAGGGTACTCGGGACGTCTTCTCTGAACACATGCATGTTCCTGGGTTTCGCCTTCTCCACGTTTGGGGCCTCTGAGGGACTAATTTCCTCATGCCGCTAGGAACGTGTTGTTGGCAGGCTTGCCATAATTGGACAGAAAGAAAGCCACAGGAAATACGGCATCTTCAGATGCCTTCGCCTGGAATCCAATTGACCTGGAAGGATCGTGGAGTCCCTGACCCCAAGAAGGCAAGAAAGAGGGGTTCCCCGATTTCCTCCCGCAGACGGGAAGCTGAAAGGAAATCAACCAGGGTGACCTAGAGGAGAAAAGGACCAGGGGCCCGGGGTGACACTCACCCTCAGATGATCAGAAGACTCCGTGGATCCTTTTCCATTCGGCAGCGGCTTCTCTGGAGGTTTCCCGGAAAACATGTGGAGGAGAGCCTTCCTCTGCGGGTCTTGTTGCCTGCAGAACAGAAAAAGGTCAGGCCGTGCCCCCTGGTTTTCCCCAGGAGACAGGGAGAGCCCCGTCTGGGGCCCAGCCCCATTCCGTGTTTTGTGATACAGAAATGGACATCTGGTGCCCTTTCCGCCTCTGCACCTTCCCTCACGTGCCAACCTTCCCATCCTCCAGGTGGCCCTCTAGGCTTCCGAACTAAGGACTGTGATTTGGATTCCATCGCTTTTCCCCCTGTCGTGGGGAACCTGCACGAAGCGCCCCCGCCTCTCCCCGTCCCTGAATCTCCCAGAGCCCAAGGAGCTCCTGGGTGTGGAACCCCGGAGGACACGGAGCTCCGGCCTATTTCTCTGCAGCGCTCCTTCCCTGGCCCGGAGACGGAAAGGCACACGGTGTGCAGGTGCAGAGACACCATGTCCTTAGGAGGCAGCATCCTAAGAGTGGTGAAAACCCCTCCCACTGCTCACCTTGGTCTCTCTTCCTTCTCTCCCTTATCCTTGTTCAAGGGCCCCGGGTTGGCTTCAACCCGGGGCTTCCATGGTTTCAGGTTTTCCTTCCCTTCCTTTTTCCCCAAGGTCGCTGGAACCAGGGCTGCCTTCCAGCACTTCATGGGGCACCTGGTACTTCTGGCCGTGTGGCCAAAGGCCCCGCAGTTTTTGCACTTGAGCTGTGGGTGGAAAGGAAGTGATGTCAGTGAGTGAGCTGAAGCCACAGGCAGCGATCCCACGTCAACATTGGGACGGATTGTGAATTCAGAGCTGAATAAGGATTCCAAAGAGGGGACACCGGCATGGGGGCCGTTAAGTGCCGGGAGAGTTCGGGTACGATGTTCCCTCGCAAAGCCCATGGGACGGAGGAACTCTGAAAGGAAGGACTCAAGGTTCCAAGGGGCACGATGGTGAAGCCGATGTCAACAACGCAGCCAAACGTGGCTACACAGGACTCTAAGTAGAAAGGGAGGTTGCCCCCAAGAGTCTCTCAAGGGACCTATCGGGCCGGGGAGAAGGTCCCAAGCCACGCCCACCTTGGATGGGAAAAGCAACCTGGCTGGTGGTGACAGAACTCTTTGGAATCCAACCCAGTCTCTGAGGACCGTGGGACACCCCCTCCCCCCGTCCCCACCCCCACCCCGATACCCAAGAGATCCAGGGCTAGACTTACCCTGGGATCTTCTTCATCGGGCGGGGGAGCCCTTGGCCCAACTGGGGCCCTCCGCTGCTTCTGGAGGGTCTGGGCTCTCACCAGTCTCTTGGCCCAAGATTTGGGGTCCCGACGTGCCATCATCTTCGTCTCCTGGGGGTTTTATGACCGCCTTTTTCAGGGGTGGACTGTTGGGCCACCTGAAACACACACAAACACACACATGTCGATGGTTAAGCACGTTGGATATTCACACACCCACAGGAAGCCACCTGCTAACTCCCTGCCTGTGTGGTCATGAGGAGACCTCACCACCAGTGGGTCAAATCTGTAGAACACAATGTGCTGTGCGCATCCTCGGATATTGTGTGTTCCTCTGCCATGACTACCTAGTCCAAGAGTAAACCCCACCTGCCACAGGGCCCGTGGCCTAGGTATGGGGGGTTGAGCTTTCAACCCCAAACAAACAACTGATTCTGGAGACTGGACTTAGGTCTCTCACGGTTCACTCCGGTAGAAGACACGGTGATTCTATCTCCCTTGACGGACAGAATGATCGAAGACACAGGGCATGGCGTGTGCCACCCTTTGGCAGGTCTGCTTGAAGTCACGGATAAGGGATGCTTCCTGTGATAACTTGAATCGCTACTCTTGCCATTTCATTAGGCAACTTCCAAACACAAATTCATACAGAGAAGTTACCTTCCTCTCTACCGCACTAGCAGGTGATGATCTTTCCTGTTCTATCTTTTGGCTTTAGCTCCAGCCCCTCTTTATTTATTTTCCTGGTATTTTACGCATACCACACGAATTCATCTGAACAAACGGGGAAGAAGTGCCGTATCGTATCGACGTCTTACACGGCTGAAGGGCAAACCCCCCTTTTTTCCAAAGTCCTTTTTCCATTTACCCACCAACTCAGCATGCTGCAGTACATTTCTTTTCGCATTCCCATCTTGGTCTTCTCCCACACGTGGAGACGGATATGTTGTCTCGTTTTCTGTTCCAAGAATTACTAGTAACGAGAACACATCCTACCCCACCAGCAAGCCCCAGTGTGATCGGTTTCTTTCGGACTCCTTTGTCTCTTCCTCCCCCCGCCCCTCCCCGCCAAAACCACTCAGGGATTGCGTGAAACAAACAATTGTTCAGCGAAACTAACCTGAAATTACACGTCTACTTTCTTTCCCAGGCTGGCGCTGAGATGGGCAGGTGCTGCAGCAGCCCCGCTGGAAGCGATGCAGCATCCAGGACGACGGAGGAAGGGGCGGAGAGGGACCTCTGCTTTCCAGGCTGCCTTTTATACTGCCTCTGGTCACCTGACATGGAACGTACCCTAACCTAATCAGTTACCTGTACCTTAATTGCAATTAACTTAATCCAATTACATGACCTGGAAAGGTCTATCTGCACAGCCCACTCTAAGATCATGTCCACTGCTGACAGACATTCTAAAACCTACTTGTACAGCTGCAAGCTTTGAACAATAGATGTTCCCCGTCAGACATGTAACACTGGTGCCTGTACCCCTGTCTTCTTTTCCATCTTTTCTGTTGTTTTGTTTTGTTTTGTTTTAAAAAATGTGGTAAAATAGACACCTTTTAATTGGACCACATTTTGTCTATCTCGACGTAGGCCTCAGTGTCATCAAGGAGACTCTGCTTGACATGCAGTCACGGCCATGATCCATCTTCAGAGCTTCTCTTTCTTCCCCAAGGTAAGTCTGTCAGCAGAGAACCCTGACCGCACCCTCATGTGTTTTCTCCCCCAGGAGGCGCTTGGAAACCACCGTGAATTGGACCGCACTGGGAAACACAGATGAGGAAAGTCAACAACGCTTTGTCCTTCAGTGCCTGGCTCCTTTTTCAGCTCGTCTTGCGACTCCAGGCATTATGCCTGAAAAGTCTCCCGGACGCCTGTGAGGCTGTAATTCCCTGGGTCCCATTGCCATGTCTCTGGATTTGCGAAGATCCACCGCACCTTCTGTGGAACTCCCGTGTCGGTGAACTTTTGTGCCACGGCCCCTAATTCTGCCCATGGTCATCCGCACCTGCACGACTTAGGGTCCATGTTCCTTGGACGGGAAGAGACAGGCAGGAGTCGGAATGATGAACCAGCACACTGGGGCGTTTTCTCATGTAGCCCAAGTGACCCCATGGTCTTCTCGAGCTTTGGAACCAGTCGCGTCCCCTTTGACACTGCACCCGGCTCCCAGTCTCTCAATCTTGTTGGCCCTCCGGCGATCTCCCGTTGGATGGATTGCTCCTGCTGAAACTCGAGTCCCCTTTGATTTGCGCTTCATTAATTATTCATGATTCAGGTTCGAAGGCCTGCTGACGACCCCCTGTGGCCGTTCTCTGAGCTTTCCTGTCACATCGTTTCCTTCCACGCTCTTTGGTTCCTTATGGTCCTGCTCCTTCTGCTGTCAGAGGAGCAGAGAGTTGATCTTATTCATTCTGGATACGGATACTTTCTAGGTGATCTGGATAATCAAGATAACGACCCTCAACAGCGGCGGAGAGGGAGCAGCCAGTTGGTGTGTCTCAGAAAATCCCGCTGAGTTCCGAGGCCTCCTAGATGTGGAATCCTGCTGAGAGTTGTTCCCAGGTCAGAGAATGGAGAGAGCCTGTGCATGATGGGATATCCCCGCCTAGATCTTTCAGTGAGTCTCTGCCTCAGCTACTCTTAGGATCAGGGGGAGAACCATGGTGTCAGACATCCGGAAAGAAGACGGGATGAATGTTTTACCTCTGAAGTACATCCCAAATGTGGGAGTTAACTTCAGCTTTGCTGGGGTCTATTTGGCCAGTGAAACTCTGCCTGGTTCCTTCGCACATCCGGAAGCCACTTCACGGGGGGCCGTCGCAACTGGAACCACACACTTGGCATCGGCGGTTGAGCCAAATGGGGACTCGTGGTGCAAGCAACGCTCCCCACGTGTTAGCGTGCGTGAGATTCGGTTGGCGGAATTTTACTAGGTGCGTGTTGGTAGAGTGGGGCTGAGGTTTTCTTGCTCCTGTGGATGTATAGGAAGTCAAAGGTCCTGCCCAGCCCTGCGGTCCCCTCAGTCAACTCTGTTTCGGAGACGTAACGATTTGGATTGCCAACAAGTCAAGAAATGTTCAAGCCCTTGGATGTAGGGTAAAGAAAGAGAGATCAGACTGTCACTGTGTCTATGTAGAAGGGGAAGACATAAGAGACTCCATTTTGAAAAAGACCTGTAGTTTAAACAATTGCTTTGCTGAGATGTTGATCATTTGTAGCTTTCCCGCAGCCCCTTCCTTTGACCCAACTTGGAGCTCACAAAAACCTGTGTTGTATAAAATCGAGGTTTAAGGGATCTAGGGCTGTGCAGGACGCGCCTTGTTTACCAAATGTTTACGAGCAGTATCCTTGGTAGGAGTCATTGCCATTCCCTAGTCTCAATAAACCAGGGGTGCAATGCACCGTGGAAAGCCACAGGGACCTCTGCCCTTGAAAGCAGGGTATTGTCCAAGGTTTCTCCCCATGTGACAGTCTGAAATATGGCCTCGTGGGATGGAAAAGACCGGACTGTCCCCCAGCCTGACACCCGCAATGGGTCTGTGCTGAGGTGGATTAGTCAAAGAGGAACGCCTCTTGCAGTTCAGATGGAGGAAGGCCACTGTCTCCTGCTTGCCCCTGGGAACTGAATGTCTCGGTGTAAAGCCCGATCGTACATTTGTTCAACTCTGAGCTCGGCGAAAAGCTGCCCTGTGGCGGGAGGCGAGACATGCTGGCAGTAATGCTGCCTTGTTATTCTTTACTCCGCTGAGATATTTGTGTGGAGAGAAACATAAATCTGGCCTACGTGCACGTCCAGGCATAGTACCTTCCCTTGAACTTAATAATGATATGGATTCTTTTGCTCACGTGTTTGTTTTTTGTTGTTGTTTTGACCTTCCCCTTATTATCACCCTGCTCCCCTACTGCATTCCTTTGTGCTGAAATAATGAAAATCATAATCAATAAAAACTGAGGGAACTCAGAGGCCGGTGCCGGTGCAGGTCCTAGGTGTGCTGAGTGCCGGTCCCCTGGACCCACTGTTGTCTCCCTATACTTTGTCTCTGTGTCTTATTTCTTTTCTCCGTCTCTCATCCCACCCGACTAGAAACACCCACAGGTGTGGAGGGGCAGGCCACCCCTTCACTTGGAAAATCAGTTACACACAAACACGGAATGAGAGTCAAAAGACAATATGTCATCTTTTTGAGAATTTTATTCACTTCAAAACCCATTAAACACACATATGTACAAAGGCATTCCAGAGCCCAGTTTTCGAGGCTGAGGAAAGACCCCGAGAGCGCTTCGCACAGCACGCTTCCCAGCGTCCGAAACACTGCTCTCAGGGCGGGGCACAGCGGAAGGGCTGCACCTCTCAGGGTTCCCTAACTTTTCCCTTATTCAGTCATCTAGAGAGCAAATACACAGTAATTCCCCAGTTTCCTATTGACGTCCCAGCGGAAGTCTGACTCCTGCGCGTCACGCAGTTTCTGAGGCAACGAATCTCTGGCACGGAAGCTTTTCCTGGCGCGTTTCCGGAGAACCACGCCAACTACAACGTCCCTCACCAGAATTCAATGAGGCAGAGTCCCTGCATCTGCTCCCTGCCTGGCCTGGGCTCCCACATCCACAGAAGCGCCACAGCCGGGGAGCTTCGGAGTCACCGCACAGAGTGTGCTCTCTGCTCTGCGCTCCTCAGTCCCACAGTCCCCTCCAAGTCACGGGAGCTGGAGGCCAAGGAGCCCCTGCCACCTGCAGTCTCACTCCAGGTCAGAATCGCTGTCCTCTGAGGAGGAGGAAACCTGAAGGTCCTCATAGAGGACGCTCGGTGGGACACGAACACAGGGAGCCTCAGACTTCTCTGACACATGAGGGCTCTGAGCGAGGAAGGCTCCCGGCTTCTCAGGAGAGTGAAATGAGGGGGCCGCCAGGAGGCTGGAGCTCCAGCGTCCGTTTTCCAGTCTCCGGAAGAGCACTCTGAGAGGCTGGGCCCCATCATGGCTGGCCGCTGAGTGATGGGACATGGTGCAGGCCTGGGCAGTAGGCAGGCAAGGTGTGCTGTGCGGAGGCTGCCAGTCGACGCTGGGCACCTGGGCCGGTGTCCTCCTGCCCATCTGGGGCGACGTACTTGGTCCAAGTTCGGTTGCGGCTGGCGGAGGTTGGAGATTCCCCGGGGCCCCCAGCTCACCTCCCTGGATGGCGCTTTCGGGGATCTGGAAGGGACCCAGTCTCGGTTTCTTGGGGAATTTCAGGCAAGCCTGAATCGGAGCCTGGGCAGGTCTCTTGGCTCCTGGCCCGAAGCTGAGATTGGAGCCTAGGCCCAAGCTGTGTGTGGCGGCTGGCGGGCAGGGCTGCGAGGTCACCGCAGGACGTTTGTCTTGTGCCTGGGGTCTGGCGGCCTGGAGCAGGCCGTGGGTTTTGGAGGCAGCCTGGGGAACTTCTCGGCAGCCACCCTCGGGGCTGCTGTGTGTCGGCTTCACCACGAGGAGAGGCTCGCGGCCCTGGTGCCTGACTGCAGGCTGAGGCATGTCGGCCGCAGCCCCTGTCTGTCTTTCCTTTGGTCCAAGACTTGAGGAGGAGCTCAGGCTGGCTTTTCTGAGGGGAGACAGTGAAGCCAAGACGGAGCCCCTGCCAGACATTTCGGCAGCTGAGCGATCAGCGAGGACAGGGTCCACGCGCGGCCTCTTACTGGTTGTGTGGACCGGCATTGGCCCGCTTGCAACCTGAAAGAGAGGAAACAACACAGGTTAGAAGTTCCTCAGCATGGAGCCAACGTGAAAATCAAGCACATCCAAAGACAAGGTGCACACGCCATGAAATTCTTAGTACAGTATCGACAGGCGGTCCTTGGAAGTAGGGACAGACCCTCCACCTGAGTGCTGATCAGGACAAGACACATGAAAGATGCGCTCTCGAGCTATGTGTAGCTGATCTAAGCACACCATTGTTCAAAAGATCGCGTCTTGGGCATTAACTGGATCAAAGCGCCTCCACTCAGCCTTCCATGAAGTGGAACGGACTAATGCCCTTCCCGAGGCAGGTTGCTGGCTCAAGGGTACTCGGGACGTCTTCTCTGAACACATGCATGTTCCTGGGTTTCGCCTTCTCCACGTTTGGGGCCTCTGAGGGACTAATTTCCTCATGCCGCTAGGAACGTGTTGTTGGCAGGCTTGCCATAATTGGACAGAAAGAAAGCCACAGGAAATACGGCATCTTCAGATGCCTTCGCCTGGAATCCAATTGACCTGGAAGGATCGTGGAGTCCCTGACCCCAAGAAGGCAAGAAAGAGGGGTTCCCCGATTTCCTCCCGCAGACGGGAAGCTGAAAGGAAATCAACCAGGGTGACCTAGAGGAGAAAAGGACCAGGGGCCCGGGGTGACACTCACCCTCAGATGATCAGAAGACTCCGTGGATCCTTTTCCATTCGGCAGCGGCTTCTCTGGAGGTTTCCCGGAAAACATGTGGAGGAGAGCCTTCCTCTGCGGGTCTTGTTGCCTGCAGAACAGAAAAAGGTCAGGCCGTGCCCCCTGGTTTTCCCCAGGAGACAGGGAGAGCCCCGTCTGGGGCCCAGCCCCATTCCGTGTTTTGTGATACAGAAATGGACATCTGGTGCCCTTTCCGCCTCTGCACCTTCCCTCACGTGCCAACCTTCCCATCCTCCAGGTGGCCCTCTAGGCTTCCGAACTAAGGACTGTGATTTGGATTCCATCGCTTTTCCCCCTGTCGTGGGGAACCTGCACGAAGCGCCCCCGCCTCTCCCCGTCCCTGAATCTCCCAGAGCCCAAGGAGCTCCTGGGTGTGGAACCCCGGAGGACACGGAGCTCCGGCCTATTTCTCTGCAGCGCTCCTTCCCTGGCCCGGAGACGGAAAGGCACACGGTGTGCAGGTGCAGAGACACCATGTCCTTAGGAGGCAGCATCCTAAGAGTGGTGAAAACCCCTCCCACTGCTCACCTTGGTCTCTCTTCCTTCTCTCCCTTATCCTTGTTCAAGGGCCCCGGGTTGGCTTCAACCCGGGGCTTCCATGGTTTCAGGTTTTCCTTCCCTTCCTTTTTCCCCAAGGTCGCTGGAACCAGGGCTGCCTTCCAGCACTTCATGGGGCACCTGGTACTTCTGGCCGTGTGGCCAAAGGCCCCGCAGTTTTTGCACTTGAGCTGTGGGTGGAAAGGAAGTGATGTCAGTGAGTGAGCTGAAGCCACAGGCAGCGATCCCACGTCAACATTGGGACGGATTGTGAATTCAGAGCTGAATAAGGATTCCAAAGAGGGGACACCGGCATGGGGGCCGTTAAGTGCCGGGAGAGTTCGGGTACGATGTTCCCTCGCAAAGCCCATGGGACGGAGGAACTCTGAAAGGAAGGACTCAAGGTTCCAAGGGGCACGATGGTGAAGCCGATGTCAACAACGCAGCCAAACGTGGCTACACAGGACTCTAAGTAGAAAGGGAGGTTGCCCCCAAGAGTCTCTCAAGGGACCTATCGGGCCGGGGAGAAGGTCCCAAGCCACGCCCACCTTGGATGGGAAAAGCAACCTGGCTGGTGGTGACAGAACTCTTTGGAATCCAACCCAGTCTCTGAGGACCGTGGGACACCCCCTCCCCCCGTCCCCACCCCCACCCCGATACCCAAGAGATCCAGGGCTAGACTTACCCTGGGATCTTCTTCATCGGGCGGGGGAGCCCTTGGCCCAACTGGGGCCCTCCGCTGCTTCTGGAGGGTCTGGGCTCTCACCAGTCTCTTGGCCCAAGATTTGGGGTCCCGACGTGCCATCATCTTCGTCTCCTGGGGGTTTTATGACCGCCTTTTTCAGGGGTGGACTGTTGGGCCACCTGAAACACACACAAACACACACATGTCGATGGTTAAGCACGTTGGATATTCACACACCCACAGGAAGCCACCTGCTAACTCCCTGCCTGTGTGGTCATGAGGAGACCTCACCACCAGTGGGTCAAATCTGTAGAACACAATGTGCTGTGCGCATCCTCGGATATTGTGTGTTCCTCTGCCATGACTACCTAGTCCAAGAGTAAACCCCACCTGCCACAGGGCCCGTGGCCTAGGTATGGGGGGTTGAGCTTTCAACCCCAAACAAACAACTGATTCTGGAGACTGGACTTAGGTCTCTCACGGTTCACTCCGGTAGAAGACACGGTGATTCTATCTCCCTTGACGGACAGAATGATCGAAGACACAGGGCATGGCGTGTGCCACCCTTTGGCAGGTCTGCTTGAAGTCACGGATAAGGGATGCTTCCTGTGATAACTTGAATCGCTACTCTTGCCATTTCATTAGGCAACTTCCAAACACAAATTCATACAGAGAAGTTACCTTCCTCTCTACCGCACTAGCAGGTGATGATCTTTCCTGTTCTATCTTTTGGCTTTAGCTCCAGCCCCTCTTTATTTATTTTCCTGGTATTTTACGCATACCACACGAATTCATCTGAACAAACGGGGAAGAAGTGCCGTATCGTATCGACGTCTTACACGGCTGAAGGGCAAACCCCCCTTTTTTCCAAAGTCCTTTTTCCATTTACCCACCAACTCAGCATGCTGCAGTACATTTCTTTTCGCATTCCCATCTTGGTCTTCTCCCACACGTGGAGACGGATATGTTGTCTCGTTTTCTGTTCCAAGAATTACTAGTAACGAGAACACATCCTACCCCACCAGCAAGCCCCAGTGTGATCGGTTTCTTTCGGCCTCCTTTGTCTCTTCCTCCCCCCGCCCCTCCCCGCCAAAACCACTCAGGGATTGCGTGAAACAAACAATTGTTCAGCGAAACTAACCTGAAATTACACGTCTACTTTCTTTCCCAGGCTGGCGCTGAGATGGGCAGGTGCTGCAGCAGCCCCGCTGGAAGCGATGCAGCATCCAGGACGACGGAGGAAGGGGCGGAGAGGGACCTCTGCTTTCCAGGCTGCCTTTTATACTGCCTCTGGTCACCTGACATGGAACGTACCCTAACCTAATCAGTTACCTGTACCTTAATTGCAATTAACTTAATCCAATTACATGACCTGGAAAGGTCTATCTGCACAGCCCACTCTAAGATCATGTCCACTGCTGACAGACATTCTAAAACCTACTTGTACAGCTGCAAGCTTTGAACAATAGATGTTCCCCGTCAGACATGTAACACTGGTGCCTGTACCCCTGTCTTCTTTTCCATCTTTTCTGTTGTTTTGTTTTGTTTTGTTTTAAAAAATGTGGTAAAATAGACACCTTTTAATTGGACCACATTTTGTCTATCTCGACGTAGGCCTCAGTGTCATCAAGGAGACTCTGCTTGACATGCAGTCACGGCCATGATCCATCTTCAGAGCTTCTCTTTCTTCCCCAAGGTAAGTCTGTCAGCAGAGAACCCTGACCGCACCCTCATGTGTTTTCTCCCCCAGGAGGCGCTTGGAAACCACCGTGAATTGGACCGCACTGGGAAACACAGATGAGGAAAGTCAACAACGCTTTGTCCTTCAGTGCCTGGCTCCTTTTTCAGCTCGTCTTGCGACTCCAGGCATTATGCCTGAAAAGTCTCCCGGACGCCTGTGAGGCTGTAATTCCCTGGGTCCCATTGCCATGTCTCTGGATTTGCGAAGATCCACCGCACCTTCTGTGGAACTCCCGTGTCGGTGAACTTTTGTGCCACGGCCCCTAATTCTGCCCATGGTCATCCGCACCTGCACGACTTAGGGTCCATGTTCCTTGGACGGGAAGAGACAGGCAGGAGTCGGAATGATGAACCAGCACACTGGGGCGTTTTCTCATGTAGCCCAAGTGACCCCATGGTCTTCTCGAGCTTTGGAACCAGTCGCGTCCCCTTTGACACTGCACCCGGCTCCCAGTCTCTCAATCTTGTTGGCCCTCCGGCGATCTCCCGTTGGATGGATTGCTCCTGCTGAAACTCGAGTCCCCTTTGATTTGCGCTTCATTAATTATTCATGATTCAGGTTCGAAGGCCTGCTGACGACCCCCTGTGGCCGTTCTCTGAGCTTTCCTGTCACATCGTTTCCTTCCACGCTCTTTGGTTCCTTATGGTCCTGCTCCTTCTGCTGTCAGAGGAGCAGAGAGTTGATCTTATTCATTCTGGATACGGATACTTTCTAGTTGATCTGGATAATCAAGATAACGACCCTCAACAGCGGCGGAGAGGGAGCAGCCAGTTGGTGTGTCTCAGAAAATCCCGCTGAGTTCCGAGGCCTCCTAGATGTGGAATCCTGCTGAGAGTTGTTCCCAGGTCAGAGAATGGAGAGAGCCTGTGCATGATGGGATATCCCCGCCTAGATCTTTCAGTGAGTCTCTGCCTCAGCTACTCTTAGGATCAGGGGGAGAACCATGGTGTCAGACATCCGGAAAGAAGACGGGATGAATGTTTTACCTCTGAAGTACATCCCAAATGTGGGAGTTAACTTCAGCTTTGCTGGGGTCTATTTGGCCAGTGAAACTCTGCCTGGTTCCTTCGCACATCCGGAAGCCACTTCACGGGGGGCCGTCGCAACTGGAACCACACACTTGGCATCGGCGGTTGAGCCAAATGGGGACTCGTGGTGCAAGCAACGCTCCCCACGTGTTAGCGTGCGTGAGATTCGGTTGGCGGAATTTTACTAGGTGCGTGTTGGTAGAGTGGGGCTGAGGTTTTCTTGCTCCTGTGGATGTATAGGAAGTCAAAGGTCCTGCCCAGCCCTGCGGTCCCCTCAGTCAACTCTGTTTCGGAGACGTAACGATTTGGATTGCCAACAAGTCAAGAAATGTTCAAGCCCTTGGATGTAGGGTAAAGAAAGAGAGATCAGACTGTCACTGTGTCTATGTAGAAGGGGAAGACATAAGAGACTCCATTTTGAAAAAGACCTGTAGTTTAAACAATTGCTTTGCTGAGATGTTGATCATTTGTAGCTTTCCCGCAGCCCCTTCCTTTGACCCAACTTGGAGCTCACAAAAACCTGTGTTGTATAAAATCGAGGTTTAAGGGATCTAGGGCTGTGCAGGACGCGCCTTGTTTACCAAATGTTTACGAGCAGTATCCTTGGTAGGAGTCATTGCCATTCCCTAGTCTCAATAAACCAGGGGTGCAATGCACCGTGGAAAGCCACAGGGACCTCTGCCCTTGAAAGCAGGGTATTGTCCAAGGTTTCTCCCCATGTGACAGTCTGAAATATGGCCTCGTGGGATGGAAAAGACCGGACTGTCCCCCAGCCTGACACCCGCAATGGGTCTGTGCTGAGGTGGATTAGTCAAAGAGGAACGCCTCTTGCAGTTCAGATGGAGGAAGGCCACTGTCTCCTGCTTGCCCCTGGGAACTGAATGTCTCGGTGTAAAGCCCGATCGTACATTTGTTCAACTCTGAGCTCGGCGAAAAGCTGCCCTGTGGCGGGAGGCGAGACATGCTGGCAGTAATGCTGCCTTGTTATTCTTTACTCCGCTGAGATATTTGTGTGGAGAGAAACATAAATCTGGCCTACGTGCACGTCCAGGCATAGTACCTTCCCTTGAACTTAATAATGATATGGATTCTTTTGCTCACGTGTTTGTTTTTTGTTGTTGTTTTGACCTTCCCCTTATTATCACCCTGCTCCCCTACTGCATTCCTTTGTGCTGAAATAATGAAAATCATAATCAATAAAAACTGAGGGAACTCAGAGGCCGGTGCCGGTGCAGGTCCTAGGTGTGCTGAGTGCCGGTCCCCTGGACCCACTGTTGTCTCCCTATACTTTGTCTCTGTGTCTTATTTCTTTTCTCCGTCTCTCATCCCACCCGACTAGAAACACCCACAGGTGTGGAGGGGCAGGCCACCCCTTCACTTGGAAAATCAGTTACACACAAACACGGAATGAGAGTCAAAAGACAATATGTCATCTTTTTGAGAATTTTATTCACTTCAAAACCCATTAAACACACATATGTACAAAGGCATTCCAGAGCCCAGTTTTCGAGGCTGAGGAAAGACCCCGAGAGCGCTTCGCACAGCACGCTTCCCAGCGTCCGAAACACTGCTCTCAGGGCGGGGCACAGCGGAAGGGCTGCACCTCTCAGGGTTCCCTAACTTTTCCCTTATTCAGTCATCTAGAGAGCAAATACACAGTAATTCCCCAGTTTCCTATTGACGTCCCAGCGGAAGTCTGACTCCTGCGCGTCACGCAGTTTCTGAGGCAACGAATCTCTGGCACGGAAGCTTTTCCTGGCGCGTTTCCGGAGAACCACGCCAACTACAACGTCCCTCACCAGAATTCAATGAGGCAGAGTCCCTGCATCTGCTCCCTGCCTGGCCTGGGCTCCCACATCCACAGAAGCGCCACAGCCGGGGAGCTTCGGAGTCACCGCACAGAGTGTGCTCTCTGCTCTGCGCTCCTCAGTCCCACAGTCCCCTCCAAGTCACGGGAGCTGGAGGCCAAGGAGCCCCTGCCACCTGCAGTCTCACTCCAGGTCAGAATCGCTGTCCTCTGAGGAGGAGGAAACCTGAAGGTCCTCATAGAGGACGCTCGGTGGGACACGAACACAGGGAGCCTCAGACTTCTCTGACACATGAGGGCTCTGAGCGAGGAAGGCTCCCGGCTTCTCAGGAGAGTGAAATGAGGGGGCCGCCAGGAGGCTGGAGCTCCAGCGTCCGTTTTCCAGTCTCCGGAAGAGCACTCTGAGAGGCTGGGCCCCATCATGGCTGGCCGCTGAGTGATGGGACATGGTGCAGGCCTGGGCAGTAGGCAGGCAAGGTGTGCTGTGCGGAGGCTGCCGGTCGACGCTGGGCACCTGGGCCGGTGTCCTCCTGCCCATCTGGGGCGACGTACTTGGTCCAAGTTCGGTTGCGGCTGGCGGAGGTTGGAGATTCTCCGGGGCCCCCAGCTCACCTCCCTGGATGGCGCTTTCGGGGATCTGGAAGGGACCCAGTCTCGGTTTCTTGGGGAAGTTCAGGCAAGCCTGAATCGGAGCCTGGGCAGGTCTCTTGGCTCCTGGCCCGAAGCTGAGATTGGAGCCTAGGCCCAAGCTGTGTGTGGCGGCTGGCGGGCAGGGCTGCGAGGTCACCGCAGGACGTTTGTCTTGTGCCTGGGGTCTGGCGGCCTGGAGCAGGCCGTGGGTTTTGGAGGCAGCCTGGGGAACTTCTCGGCAGCCACCCTCGGGGCGGCTGTGTGTCGGCTTCACCACGAGGAGAGGCTCGCGGCCCTGGTGCCTGACTGCAGGCTGAGGGATGTCGGCCGCAGCCCCTGTCTGTCTTTCCTTTGGTCCAAGACTTGAGGAGGAGCTCAGGCTGGCTTTTCTGAGGGGAGACAGTGAAGCCAAGACGGAGCCCCTGCCAGACATTTCGGCAGCTGAGCGATCAGCGAGGACAGGGTCCACGCGCGGCCTCTTACTGGTTGTGTGGACCGGCATTGGCCCGCTTGCAACCTGAAAGAGAGGAAACAACACAGGTTAGAAGTTCCTCAGCATGGAGCCAACGTGAAAATCAAGCACATCCAAAGACAAGGTGCACACGCCATGAAATTCTTAGTACAGTATCGACAGGCGGTCCTTGGAAGTAGGGACAGACCCTCCACCTGAGTGCTGATCAGGACAAGACACATGAAAGATGCGCTCTCGAGCTATGTGTAGCTGATCTAAGCACACCATTGTTCAAAAGATCGCGTCTTGGGCATTAACTGGATCAAAGCGCCTCCACTCAGCCTTCCATGAAGTGGAACGGACTAATGCCCTTCCCGAGGCAGGTTGCTGGCTCAAGGGTACTCGGGACGTCTTCTCTGAACACATGCATGTTCCTGGGTTTCGCCTTCTCCACGTTTGGGGCCTCTGAGGGACTAATTTCCTCATGCCGCTAGGAACGTGTTGTTGGCAGGCTTGCCATAATTGGACAGAAAGAAAGCCACAGGAAATACGGCATCTTCAGATGCCTTCGCCTGGAATCCAATTGACCTGGAAGGATCGTGGAGTCCCTGACCCCAAGAAGGCAAGAAAGAGGGGTTCCCCGATTTCCTCCCGCAGACGGGAAGCTGAAAGGAAATCAACCAGGGTGACCTAGAGGAGAAAAGGACCAGGGGCCCGGGGTGACACTCACCCTCAGATGATCAGAAGACTCCGTGGATCCTTTTCCATTCGGCAGCGGCTTCTCTGGAGGTTTCCCGGAAAACATGTGGAGGAGAGCCTTCCTCTGCGGGTCTTGTTGCCTGCAGAACAGAAAAAGGTCAGGCCGTGCCCCCTGGTTTTCCCCAGGAGACAGGGAGAGCCCCGTCTGGGGCCCAGCCCCATTCCGTGTTTTGTGATACAGAAATGGACATCTGGTGCCCTTTCCGCCTCTGCACCTTCCCTCACGTGCCAACCTTCCCATCCTCCAGGTGGCCCTCTAGGCTTCCGAACTAAGGACTGTGATTTGGATTCCATCGCTTTTCCCCCTGTCGTGGGGAACCTGCACGAAGCGCCCCCGCCTCTCCCCGTCCCTGAATCTCCCAGAGCCCAAGGAGCTCCTGGGTGTGGAACCCCGGAGGACACGGAGCTCCGGCCTATTTCTCTGCAGCGCTCCTTCCCTGGCCCGGAGACGGAAAGGCACACGGTGTGCAGGTGCAGAGACACCATGTCCTTAGGAGGCAGCATCCTAAGAGTGGTGAAAACCCCTCCCACTGCTCACCTTGGTCTCTCTTCCTTCTCTCCCTTATCCTTGTTCAAGGGCCCCGGGTTGGCTTCAACCCGGGGCTTCCATGGTTTCAGGTTTTCCTTCCCTTCCTTTTTCCCCAAGGTCGCTGGAACCAGGGCTGCCTTCCAGCACTTCATGGGGCACCTGGTACTTCTGGCCGTGTGGCCAAAGGCCCCGCAGTTTTTGCACTTGAGCTGTGGGTGGAAAGGAAGTGATGTCAGTGAGTGAGCTGAAGCCACAGGCAGCGATCCCACGTCAACATTGGGACGGATTGTGAATTCAGAGCTGAATAAGGATTCCAAAGAGGGGACACCGGCATGGGGGCCGTTAAGTGCCGGGAGAGTTCGGGTACGATGTTCCCTCGCAAAGCCCATGGGACGGAGGAACTCTGAAAGGAAGGACTCAAGGTTCCAAGGGGCACGATGGTGAAGCCGATGTCAACAACGCAGCCAAACGTGGCTACACAGGACTCTAAGTAGAAAGGGAGGTTGCCCCCAAGAGTCTCTCAAGGGACCTATCGGGCCGGGGAGAAGGTCCCAAGCCACGCCCACCTTGGATGGGAAAAGCAACCTGGCTGGTGGTGACAGAACTCTTTGGAATCCAACCCAGTCTCTGAGGACCGTGGGACACCCCCTCCCCCCGTCCCCACCCCCACCCCGATACCCAAGAGATCCAGGGCTAGACTTACCCTGGGATCTTCTTCATCGGGCGGGGGAGCCCTTGGCCCAACTGGGGCCCTCCGCTGCTTCTGGAGGGTCTGGGCTCTCACCAGTCTCTTGGCCCAAGATTTGGGGTCCCGACGTGCCATCATCTTCGTCTCCTGGGGGTTTTATGACCGCCTTTTTCAGGGGTGGACTGTTGGGCCACCTGAAACACACACAAACACACACATGTCGATGGTTAAGCACGTTGGATATTCACACACCCACAGGAAGCCACCTGCTAACTCCCTGCCTGTGTGGTCATGAGGAGACCTCACCACCAGTGGGTCAAATCTGTAGAACACAATGTGCTGTGCGCATCCTCGGATATTGTGTGTTCCTCTGCCATGACTACCTAGTCCAAGAGTAAACCCCACCTGCCACAGGGCCCGTGGCCTAGGTATGGGGGGTTGAGCTTTCAACCCCAAACAAACAACTGATTCTGGAGACTGGACTTAGGTCTCTCACGGTTCACTCCGGTAGAAGACACGGTGATTCTATCTCCCTTGACGGACAGAATGATCGAAGACACAGGGCATGGCGTGTGCCACCCTTTGGCAGGTCTGCTTGAAGTCACGGATAAGGGATGCTTCCTGTGATAACTTGAATCGCTACTCTTGCCATTTCATTAGGCAACTTCCAAACACAAATTCATACAGAGAAGTTACCTTCCTCTCTACCGCACTAGCAGGTGATGATCTTTCCTGTTCTATCTTTTGGCTTTAGCTCCAGCCCCTCTTTATTTATTTTCCTGGTATTTTACGCATACCACACGAATTCATCTGAACAAACGGGGAAGAAGTGCCGTATCGTATCGACGTCTTACACGGCTGAAGGGCAAACCCCCCTTTTTTCCAAAGTCCTTTTTCCATTTACCCACCAACTCAGCATGCTGCAGTACATTTCTTTTCGCATTCCCATCTTGGTCTTCTCCCACACGTGGAGACGGATATGTTGTCTCGTTTTCTGTTCCAAGAATTACTAGTAACGAGAACACATCTTACCCCACCAGCAAGCCCCAGTGTGATCGGTTTCTTTCGGACTCCTTTGTATATTCCTCCCCCCGCCCCTCCCCGCCAAAACCACTCAGGGATTGCGTGAAACAAACAATTGTTCAGCGAAACTAACCTGAAATTACACGTCTACTTTCTTTCCCAGGCTGGCGCTGAGATGGGCAGGTGCTGCAGCAGCCCCGCTGGAAGCGATGCAGCATCCAGGACGACGGAGGAAGGGGCGGAGAGGGACCTCTGCTTTCCAGGCTGCCTTTTATACTGCCTCTGGTCACCTGACATGGAACGTACCCTAACCTAATCAGTTACCTGTACCTTAATTGCAATTAACTTAATCCAATTACATGACCTGGAAAGGTCTATCTGCACAGCCCACTCTAAGATCATGTCCACTGCTGACAGACATTCTAAAACCTACTTGTACAGCTGCAAGCTTTGAACAATAGATGTTCCCCGTCAGACATGTAACACTGGTGCCTGTACCCCTGTCTTCTTTTCCATCTTTTCTGTTGTTTTGTTTTGTTTTGTTTTAAAAAATGTGGTAAAATAGACACCTTTTAATTGGACCACATTTTGTCTATCTCGACGTAGGCCTCAGTGTCATCAAGGAGACTCTGCTTGACATGCAGTCACGGCCATGATCCATCTTCAGAGCTTCTCTTTCTTCCCCAAGGTAAGTCTGTCAGCAGAGAACCCTGACCGCACCCTCATGTGTTTTCTCCCCCAGGAGGCGCTTGGAAACCACCGTGAATTGGACCGCACTGGGAAACACAGATGAGGAAAGTCAACAACGCTTTGTCCTTCAGTGCCTGGCTCCTTTTTCAGCTCGTCTTGCGACTCCAGGCATTATGCCTGAAAAGTCTCCCGGACGCCTGTGAGGCTGTAATTCCCTGGGTCCCATTGCCATGTCTCTGGATTTGCGAAGATCCACCGCACCTTCTGTGGAACTCCCGTGTCGGTGAACTTTTGTGCCACGGCCCCTAATTCTGCCCATGGTCATCCGCACCTGCACGACTTAGGGTCCATGTTCCTTGGACGGGAAGAGACAGGCAGGAGTCGGAATGATGAACCAGCACACTGGGGCGTTTTCTCATGTAGCCCAAGTGACCCCATGGTCTTCTCGAGCTTTGGAACCAGTCGCGTCCCCTTTGACACTGCACCCGGCTCCCAGTCTCTCAATCTTGTTGGCCCTCCGGCGATCTCCCGTTGGATGGATTGCTCCTGCTGAAACTCGAGTCCCCTTTGATTTGCGCTTCATTAATTATTCATGATTCAGGTTCGAAGGCCTGCTGACGACCCCCTGTGGCCGTTCTCTGAGCTTTCCTGTCACATCGTTTCCTTCCACGCTCTTTGGTTCCTTATGGTCCTGCTCCTTCTGCTGTCAGAGGAGCAGAGAGTTGATCTTATTCATTCTGGATACGGATACTTTCTAGGTGATCTGGATAATCAAGATAACGACCCTCAACAGCGGCGGAGAGGGAGCAGCCAGTTGGTGTGTCTCAGAAAATCCCGCTGAGTTCCGAGGCCTCCTAGATGTGGAATCCTGCTGAGAGTTGTTCCCAGGTCAGAGAATGGAGAGAGCCTGTGCATGATGGGATATCCCCGCCTAGATCTTTCAGTGAGTCTCTGCCTCAGCTACTCTTAGGATCAGGGGGAGAACCATGGTGTCAGACATCCGGAAAGAAGACGGGATGAATGTTTTACCTCTGAAGTACATCCCAAATGTGGGAGTTAACTTCAGCTTTGCTGGGGTCTATTTGGCCAGTGAAACTCTGCCTGGTTCCTTCGCACATCCGGAAGCCACTTCACGGGGGGCCGTCGCAACTGGAACCACACACTTGGCATCGGCGGTTGAGCCAAATGGGGACTCGTGGTGCAAGCAACGCTCCCCACGTGTTAGCGTGCGTGAGATTCGGTTGGCGGAATTTTACTAGGTGCGTGTTGGTAGAGTGGGGCTGAGGTTTTCTTGCTCCTGTGGATGTATAGGAAGTCAAAGGTCCTGCCCAGCCCTGCGGTCCCCTCAGTCAACTCTGTTTCGGAGACGTAACGATTTGGATTGCCAACAAGTCAAGAAATGTTCAAGCCCTTGGATGTAGGGTAAAGAAAGAGAGATCAGACTGTCACTGTGTCTATGTAGAAGGGGAAGACATAAGAGACTCCATTTTGAAAAAGACCTGTAGTTTAAACAATTGCTTTGCTGAGATGTTGATCATTTGTAGCTTTCCCGCAGCCCCTTCCTTTGACCCAACTTGGAGCTCACAAAAACCTGTGTTGTATAAAATCGAGGTTTAAGGGATCTAGGGCTGTGCAGGACGCGCCTTGTTTACCAAATGTTTACGAGCAGTATCCTTGGTAGGAGTCATTGCCATTCCCTAGTCTCAATAAACCAGGGGTGCAATGCACCGTGGAAAGCCACAGGGACCTCTGCCCTTGAAAGCAGGGTATTGTCCAAGGTTTCTCCCCATGTGACAGTCTGAAATATGGCCTCGTGGGATGGAAAAGACCGGACTGTCCCCCAGCCTGACACCCGCAATGGGTCTGTGCTGAGGTGGATTAGTCAAAGAGGAACGCCTCTTGCAGTTCAGATGGAGGAAGGCCACTGTCTCCTGCTTGCCCCTGGGAACTGAATGTCTCGGTGTAAAGCCCGATCGTACATTTGTTCAACTCTGAGCTCGGCGAAAAGCTGCCCTGTGGCGGGAGGCGAGACATGCTGGCAGTAATGCTGCCTTGTTATTCTTTACTCCGCTGAGATATTTGTGTGGAGAGAAACATAAATCTGGCCTACGTGCACGTCCAGGCATAGTACCTTCCCTTGAACTTAATAATGATATGGATTCTTTTGCTCACGTGTTTGTTTTTTGTTGTTGTTTTGACCTTCCCCTTATTATCACCCTGCTCCCCTACTGCATTCCTTTGTGCTGAAATAATGAAAATCATAATCAATAAAAACTGAGGGAACTCAGAGGCCGGTGCCGGTGCAGGTCCTAGGTGTGCTGAGTGCCGGTCCCCTGGACCCACTGTTGTCTCCCTATACTTTGTCTCTGTGTCTTATTTCTTTTCTCCGTCTCTCATCCCACCCGACTAGAAACACCCACAGGTGTGGAGGGGCAGGCCACCCCTTCACTTGGAAAATCAGTTACACACAAACACGGAATGAGAGTCAAAAGACAATATGTCATCTTTTTGAGAATTTTATTCACTTCAAAACACATTAAACACACATATGTACAAAGGCATTCCAGAGCCCAGTTTTCGAGGCTGAGGAAAGACCCCGAGAGCGCTTCGCACAGCACGCTTCCCAGCGTCCGAAACTCTGCTCTCAGGGCGGGGCACAGCGGAAGGGCTGCACCTCTCAGGGTTCCCTAACTTTTCCCTTATTCAGTCATCTAGAGAGCAAATACACAGTAATTCCCCAGTTTCCTATTGACGTCCCAGCGGAAGTCTGACTCCTGCGCGTCACGCAGTTTCTGAGGCAACGAATCTCTGGCACGGAAGCTTTTCCTGGCGCGTTTCCGGAGAACCACGCCAACTACAACGTCCCTCACCAGAATTCAATGAGGCAGAGTCCCTGCATCTGCTCCCTGCCTGGCCTGGGCTCCCACATCCACAGAAGCGCCACAGCCGGGGAGCTTCGGAGTCACCGCACAGAGTGTGCTCTCTGCTCTGCGCTCCTCAGTCCCACAGTCCCCTCCAAGTCACGGGAGCTGGAGGCCAAGGAGCCCCTGCCACCTGCAGTCTCACTCCAGGTCAGAATCGCTGTCCTCTGAGGAGGAGGAAACCTGAAGGTCCTCATAGAGGACGCTCGGTGGGACACGAACACAGGGAGCCTCAGACTTCTCTGACACATGAGGGCTCTGAGCGAGGAAGGCTCCCGGCTTCTCAGGAGAGTGAAATGAGGGGGCCGCCAGGAGGCTGGAGCTCCAGCGTCCGTTTTCCAGTCTCCGGAAGAGCACTCTGAGAGGCTGGGCCCCATCATGGCTGGCCGCTGAGTGATGGGACATGGTGCAGGCCTGGGCAGTAGGCAGGCAAGGTGTGCTGTGCGGAGGCTGCCGGTCGATGCTGGGCACCTGGGCCGGTGTCCTCCTGCCCATCTGGGGCGACGTACTTGGTCCAAGTTCGGTTGCGGCTGGCGGAGGTTGGAGATTCTCCGGGGCCCCCAGCTCACCTCCCTGGATGGCGCTTTCGGGGATCTGGAAGGGACCCAGTCTCGGTTTCTTGGGGAAGTTCAGGCAAGCCTGAATCGGAGCCTGGGCAGGTCTCTTGGCTCCTGGCCCGAAGCTGAGATTGGAGCCTAGGCCCAAGCTGTGTGTGGCGGCTGGCGGGCAGGGCTGCGAGGTCACCGCAGGACGTTTGTCTTGTGCCTGGGGTCTGGCGGCCTGGAGCAGGCCGTGGGTTTTGGAGGCAGCCTGGGGAACTTCTCGGCAGCCACCCTCGGGGCGGCTGTGTGTCGGCTTCACCACGAGGAGAGGCTCGCGGCCCTGGTGCCTGACTGCAGGCTGAGGGATGTCGGCCGCAGCCCCTGTCTGTCTTTCCTTTGGTCCAAGACTTGAGGAGGAGCTCAGGCTGGCTTTTCTGAGGGGAGACAGTGAAGCCAAGACGGAGCCCCTGCCAGACATTTCGGCAGCTGAGCGATCAGCGAGGACAGGGTCCACGCGCGGCCTCTTACTGGTTGTGTGGACCGGCATTGGCCCGCTTGCAACCTGAAAGAGAGGAAACAACACAGGTTAGAAGTTCCTCAGCATGGAGCCAACGTGAAAATCAAGCACATCCAAAGACAAGGTGCACACGCCATGAAATTCTTAGTACAGTATCGACAGGCGGTCCTTGGAAGTAGGGACAGACCCTCCACCTGAGTGCTGATCAGGACAAGACACATGAAAGATGCGCTCTCGAGCTATGTGTAGCTGATCTAAGCACACCATTGTTCAAAAGATCGCGTCTTGGGCATTAACTGGATCAAAGCGCCTCCACTCAGCCTTCCATGAAGTGGAACGGACTAATGCCCTTCCCGAGGCAGGTTGCTGGCTCAAGGGTACTCGGGACGTCTTCTCTGAACACATGCATGTTCCTGGGTTTCGCCTTCTCCACGTTTGGGGCCTCTGAGGGACTAATTTCCTCATGCCGCTAGGAACGTGTTGTTGGCAGGCTTGCCATAATTGGACAGAAAGAAAGCCACAGGAAATACGGCATCTTCAGATGCCTTCGCCTGGAATCCAATTGACCTGGAAGGATCGTGGAGTCCCTGACCCCAAGAAGGCAAGAAAGAGGGGTTCCCCGATTTCCTCCCGCAGACGGGAAGCTGAAAGGAAATCAACCAGGGTGACCTAGAGGAGAAAAGGACCAGGGGCCCGGGGTGACACTCACCCTCAGATGATCAGAAGACTCCGTGGATCCTTTTCCATTCGGCAGCGGCTTCTCTGGAGGTTTCCCGGAAAACATGTGGAGGAGAGCCTTCCTCTGCGGGTCTTGTTGCCTGCAGAACAGAAAAAGGTCAGGCCGTGCCCCCTGGTTTTCCCCAGGAGACAGGGAGACCCCGTCTGGGGCCCAGCCCCATTCCGTGTTTTGTGATACAGAAATGGACATCTGGTGCCCTTTCCGCCTCTGCACCTTCCCTCACGTGCCAACCTTCCCATCCTCCAGGTGGCCCTCTAGGCTTCCGAACTAAGGACTGTGATTTGGATTCCATCGCTTTTCCCCCTGTCGTGGGGAACCTGCACGAAGCGCCCCCGCCTCTCCCCGTCCCTGAATCTCCCAGAGCCCAAGGAGCTCCTGGGTGTGGAACCCCGGAGGACACGGAGCTCCGGCCTATTTCTCTGCAGCGCTCCTTCCCTGGCCCGGAGACGGAAAGGCACACGGTGTGCAGGTGCAGAGACACCATGTCCTTAGGAGGCAGCACCCTAAGAGTGGTGAAAACCCCTCCCACTGCTCACCTTGGTCTCTCTTCCTTCTCTCCCTTATCCTTGTTCAAGGGCCCCGGGTTGGCTTCACCCCGGGGCTTCCATGGTTTCAGGTTTTCCTTCCCTTCCTTTTTCCCCAAGGTCGCTGGAACCAGGGCTGCCTTCCAGCACTTCATGGGGCACCTGGTACTTCTGGCCGTGTGGCCAAAGGCCCCGCAGTTTTTGCACTTGAGCTGTGGGTGGAAAGGAAGTGATGTCAGTGAGTGAGCTGAAGCCACAGGCAGCGATCCCACGTCAACATTGGGACGGATTGTGAATTCAGAGCTGAATAAGGATTCCAAAGAGGGGACACCGGCATGGGGGCCGTTAAGTGCCGGGAGAGTTCGGGTACGATGTTCCCTCGCAAAGCCCATGGGACGGAGGAACTCTGAAAGGAAGGACTCAAGGTTCCAAGGGGCACGATGGTGAAGCCGATGTCAACAACGCAGCCAAACGTGGCTACACAGGACTCTAAGTAGAAAGGGAGGTTGCCCCCAAGAGTCTCTCAAGGGACCTATCGGGCCGGGGAGAAGGTCCCAAGCCACGCCCACCTTGGATGGGAAAAGCAACCTGGCTGGTGGTGACAGAACTCTTTGGAATCCAACCCAGTCTCTGAGGACCGTGGGACACCCCCTCCCCCCGTCCCCACCCCCACCCCGATACCCAAGAGATCCAGGGCTAGACTTACCCTGGGATCTTCTTCATCGGGCGGGGGAGCGCTTGGCCCAACTGGGGCCCTCCGCTGCTTCTGGAGGGTCTGGGCTCTCACCAGTCTCTTGGCCCAAGATTTGGGGTCCCGACGTGCCATCATCTTCGTCTCCTGGGGGTTTTATGACCGCCTTTTTCAGGGGTGGACTGTTGGGCCACCTGAAACACACACAAACACACACATGTCGATGGTTAAGCACGTTGGATATTCACACACCCACAGGAAGCCACCTGCTAACTCCCTGCCTGTGTGGTCATGAGGAGACCTCACCACCAGTGGGTCAAATCTGTAGAACACAATGTGCTGTGCGCATCCTCGGATATTGTGTGTTCCTCTGCCATGACTACCTAGTCCAAGAGTAAACCCCACCTGCCACAGGGCCCGTGGCCTAGGTATGGGGGGTTGAGCTTTCAACCCCAAACAAACAACTGATTCTGGAGACTGGACTTAGGTCTCTCACGGTTCACTCCGGTAGAAGACACGGTGATTCTATCTCCCTTGACGGACAGAATGATCGAAGACACAGGGCATGGCGTGTGCCACCCTTTGGCAGGTCTGCTTGAAGTCACGGATAAGGGATGCTTCCTGTGATAACTTGAATCGCTACTCTTGCCATTTCATTAGGCAACTTCCAAACACAAATTCATACAGAGAAGTTACCTTCCTCTCTACCGCACTAGCAGGTGATGATCTTTCCTGTTCTATCTTTTGGCTTTAGCTCCAGCCCCTCTTTATTTATTTTCCTGGTATTTTACGCATACCACACGAATTCATCTGAACAAACGGGGAAGAAGTGCCGTATCGTATCGACGTCTTACACGGCTGAAGGGCAAACCCCCCTTTTTTCCAAAGTCCTTTTTCCATTTACCCACCAACTCAGCATGCTGCAGTACATTTCTTTTCGCATTCCCATCTTGGTCTTCTCCCACACGTGGAGACGGATATGTTGTCTCGTTTTCTGTTCCAAGAATTACTAGTAACGAGAACACATCCTACCCCACCAGCAAGCCCCAGTGTGATCGGTTTCTTTCGGACTCCTTTGTCTCTTCCTCCCCCCGCCCCTCCCCGCCAAAACCACTCAGGGATTGCGTGAAACAAACAATTGTTCAGCGAAACTAACCTGAAATTACACGTCTACTTTCTTTCCCAGGCTGGCGCTGAGATGGGCAGGTGCTGCAGCAGCCCCGCTGGAAGCGATGCAGCATCCAGGACGACGGAGGAAGGGGCGGAGAGGGACCTCTGCTTTCCAGGCTGCCTTTTATACTGCCTCTGGTCACCTGACATGGAACGTACCCTAACCTAATCAGTTACCTGTACCTTAATTGCAATTAACTTAATCCAATTACATGACCTGGAAAGGTCTATCTGCACAGCCCACTCTAAGATCATGTCCACTGCTGACAGACATTCTAAAACCTACTTGTACAGCTGCAAGCTTTGAACAATAGATGTTCCCCGTCAGACATGTAACACTGGTGCCTGTACCCCTGTCTTCTTTTCCATCTTTTCTGTTGTTTTGTTTTGTTTTGTTTTAAAAAATGTGGTAAAATAGACACCTTTTAATTGGACCACATTTTGTCTATCTCGACGTAGGCCTCAGTGTCATCAAGGAGACTCTGCTTGACATGCAGTCAAGGCCATGATCCATCTTCAGAGCTTCTCTTTCTTCCCCAAGGTAAGTCTGTCAGCAGAGAACCCTGACCGCACCCTCATGTGTTTTCTCCCCCAGGAGGCGCTTGGAAACCACCGTGAATTGGACCGCACTGGGAAACACAGATGAGGAAAGTCAACAACGCTTTGTCCTTCAGTGCCTGGCTCCTTTTTCAGCTCGTCTTGCGACTCCAGGCATTATGCCTGAAAAGTCTCCCGGACGCCTGTGAGGCTGTAATTCCCTGGGTCCCATTGCCATGTCTCTGGATTTGCGAAGATCCACCGCACCTTCTGTGGAACTCCCGTGTCGGTGAACTTTTGTGCCACGGCCCCTAATTCTGCCCATGGTCATCCGCACCTGCACGACTTAGGGTCCATGTTCCTTGGACGGGAAGAGACAGGCAGGAGTCGGAATGATGAACCAGCACACTGGGGCGTTTTCTCATGTAGCCCAAGTGACCCCATGGTCTTCTCGAGCTTTGGAACCAGTCGCGTCCCCTTTGACACTGCACCCGGCTCCCAGTCTCTCAATCTTGTTGGCCCTCCGGCGATCTCCCGTTGGATGGATTGCTCCTGCTGAAACTCGAGTCCCCTTTGATTTGCGCTTCATTAATTATTCATGATTCAGGTTCGAAGGCCTGCTGACGACCCCCTGTGGCCGTTCTCTGAGCTTTCCTGTCACATCGTTTCCTTCCACGCTCTTTGGTTCCTTATGGTCCTGCTCCTTCTGCTGTCAGAGGAGCAGAGAGTTGATCTTATTCATTCTGGATACGGATACTTTCTAGTTGATCTGGATAATCAAGATAACGACCCTCAACAGCGGCGGAGAGGGAGCAGCCAGTTGGTGTGTCTCAGAAAATCCCGCTGAGTTCCGAGGCCTCCTAGATGTGGAATCCTGCTGAGAGTTGTTCCCAGGTCAGAGAATGGAGAGAGCCTGTGCATGATGGGATATCCCCGCCTAGATCTTTCAGTGAGTCTCTGCCTCAGCTACTCTTAGGATCAGGGGGAGAACCATGGTGTCAGACATCCGGAAAGAAGACGGGATGAATGTTTTACCTCTGAAGTACATCCCAAATGTGGGAGTTAACTTCAGCTTTGCTGGGGTCTATTTGGCCAGTGAAACTCTGCCTGGTTCCTTCGCACATCCGGAAGCCACTTCACGGGGGGCCGTCGCAACTGGAACCACACACTTGGCATCGGCGGTTGAGCCAAATGGGGACTCGTGGTGCAAGCAACGCTCCCCACGTGTTAGCGTGCGTGAGATTCGGTTGGCGGAATTTTACTAGGTGCGTGTTGGTAGAGTGGGGCTGAGGTTTTCTTGCTCCTGTGGATGTATAGGAAGTCAAAGGTCCTGCCCAGCCCTGCGGTCCCCTCAGTCAACTCTGTTTCGGAGACGTAACGATTTGGATTGCCAACAAGTCAAGAAATGTTCAAGCCCTTGGATGTAGGGTAAAGAAAGAGAGATCAGACTGTCACTGTGTCTATGTAGAAGGGGAAGACATAAGAGACTCCATTTTGAAAAAGACCTGTAGTTTAAACAATTGCTTTGCTGAGATGTTGATCATTTGTAGCTTTCCCGCAGCCCCTTCCTTTGACCCAACTTGGAGCTCACAAAAACCTGTGTTGTATAAAATCGAGGTTTAAGGGATCTAGGGCTGTGCAGGACGCGCCTTGTTTACCAAATGTTTACGAGCAGTATCCTTGGTAGGAGTCATTGCCATTCCCTAGTCTCAATAAACCAGGGGTGCAATGCACCGTGGAAAGCCACAGGGACCTCTGCCCTTGAAAGCAGGGTATTGTCCAAGGTTTCTCCCCATGTGACAGTCTGAAATATGGCCTCGTGGGATGGAAAAGACCGGACTGTCCCCCAGCCTGACACCCGCAATGGGTCTGTGCTGAGGTGGATTAGTCAAAGAGGAACGCCTCTTGCAGTTCAGATGGAGGAAGGCCACTGTCTCCTGCTTGCCCCTGGGAACTGAATGTCTCGGTGTAAAGCCCGATCGTACATTTGTTCAACTCTGAGCTCGGCGAAAAGCTGCCCTGTGGCGGGAGGCGAGACATGCTGGCAGTAATGCTGCCTTGTTATTCTTTACTCCGCTGAGATATTTGTGTGGAGAGAAACATAAATCTGGCCTACGTGCACGTCCAGGCATAGTACCTTCCCTTGAACTTAATAATGATATGGATTCTTTTGCTCACGTGTTTGTTTTTTGTTGTTGTTTTGACCTTCCCCTTATTATCACCCTGCTCCCCTACTGCATTCCTTTGTGCTGAAATAATGAAAATCATAATCAATAAAAACTGAGGGAACTCAGAGGCCGGTGCCGGTGCAGGTCCTAGGTGTGCTGAGTGCCGGTCCCCTGGACCCACTGTTGTCTCCCTATACTTTGTCTCTGTGTCTTATTTCTTTTCTCCGTCTCTCATCCCACCCGACTAGAAACACCCACAGGTGTGGAGGGGCAGGCCACCCCTTCACTTGGAAAATCAGTTACACACAAACACGGAATGAGAGTCAAAAGACAATATGTCATCTTTTTGAGAATTTTATTCACTTCAAAACCCATTAAACACACATATGTACAAAGGCATTCCAGAGCCCAGTTTTCGAGGCTGAGGAAAGACCCCGAGAGCGCTTCGCACAGCACGCTTCCCAGCGTCCGAAACACTGCTCTCAGGGCGGGGCACAGCGGAAGGGCTGCACCTCTCAGGGTTCCCTAACTTTTCCCTTATTCAGTCATCTAGAGAGCAAATACACAGTAATTCCCCAGTTTCCTATTGACGTCCCAGCGGAAGTCTGACTCCTGCGCGTCACGCAGTTTCTGAGGCAACGAATCTCTGGCACGGAAGCTTTTCCTGGCGCGTTTCCGGAGAACCACGCCAACTACAACGTCCCTCACCAGAATTCAATGAGGCAGAGTCCCTGCATCTGCTCCCTGCCTGGCCTGGGCTCCCACATCCACAGAAGCGCCACAGCCGGGGAGCTTCGGAGTCACCGCACAGAGTGTGCTCTCTGCTCTGCGCTCCTCAGTCCCACAGTCCCCTCCAAGTCACGGGAGCTGGAGGCCAAGGAGCCCCTGCCACCTGCAGTCTCACTCCAGGTCAGAATCGCTGTCCTCTGAGGAGGAGGAAACCTGAAGGTCCTCATAGAGGACGCTCGGTGGGACACGAACACAGGGAGCCTCAGACTTCTCTGACACATGAGGGCTCTGAGCGAGGAAGGCTCCCGGCTTCTCAGGAGAGTGAAATGAGGGGGCCGCCAGGAGGCTGGAGCTCCAGCGTCCGTTTTCCAGTCTCCGGAAGAGCACTCTGAGAGGCTGGGCCCCATCATGGCTGGCCGCTGAGTGATGGGACATGGTGCAGGCCTGGGCAGTAGGCAGGCAAGGTGTGCTGTGCGGAGGCTGCCGGTCGACGCTGGGCACCTGGGCCGGTGTCCTCCTGCCCATCTGGGGCGACGTACTTGGTCCAAGTTCGGTTGCGGCTGGCGGAGGTTGGAGATTCTCCGGGGCCCCCAGCTCACCTCCCTGGATGGCGCTTTCGGGGATCTGGAAGGGACCCAGTCTCGGTTTCTTGGGGAAGTTCAGGCAAGCCTGAATCGGAGCCTGGGCAGGTCTCTTGGCTCCTGGCCCGAAGCTGAGATTGGAGCCTAGGCCCAAGCTGTGTGTGGCGGCTGGCGGGCAGGGCTGCGAGGTCACCGCAGGACGTTTGTCTTGTGCCTGGGGTCTGGCGGCCTGGAGCAGGCCGTGGGTTTTGGAGGCAGCCTGGGGAACTTCTCGGCAGCCACCCTCGGGGCGGCTGTGTGTCGGCTTCACCACGAGGAGAGGCTCGCGGCCCTGGTGCCTGACTGCAGGCTGAGGGATGTCGGCCGCAGCCCCTGTCTGTCTTTCCTTTGGTCCAAGACTTGAGGAGGAGCTCAGGCTGGCTTTTCTGAGGGGAGACAGTGAAGCCAAGACGGAGCCCCTGCCAGACATTTCGGCAGCTGAGCGATCAGCGAGGACAGGGTCCACGCGCGGCCTCTTACTGGTTGTGTGGACCGGCATTGGCCCGCTTGCAACCTGAAAGAGAGGAAACAACACAGGTTAGAAGTTCCTCAGCATGGAGCCAACGTGAAAATCAAGCACATCCAAAGACAAGGTGCACACGCCATGAAATTCTTAGTACAGTATCGACAGGCGGTCCTTGGAAGTAGGGACAGACCCTCCACCTGAGTGCTGATCAGGACAAGACACATGAAAGATGCGCTCTCGAGCTATGTGTAGCTGATCTAAGCACACCATTGTTCAAAAGATCGCGTCTTGGGCATTAACTGGATCAAAGCGCCTCCACTCAGCCTTCCATGAAGTGGAACGGACTAATGCCCTTCCCGAGGCAGGTTGCTGGCTCAAGGGTACTCGGGACGTCTTCTCTGAACACATGCATGTTCCTGGGTTTCGCCTTCTCCACGTTTGGGGCCTCTGAGGGACTAATTTCCTCATGCCGCTAGGAACGTGTTGTTGGCAGGCTTGCCATAATTGGACAGAAAGAAAGCCACAGGAAATACGGCATCTTCAGATGCCTTCGCCTGGAATCCAATTGACCTGGAAGGATCGTGGAGTCCCTGACCCCAAGAAGGCAAGAAAGAGGGGTTCCCCGATTTCCTCCCGCAGACGGGAAGCTGAAAGGAAATCAACCAGGGTGACCTAGAGGAGAAAAGGACCAGGGGCCCGGGGTGACACTCACCCTCAGATGATCAGAAGACTCCGTGGATCCTTTTCCATTCGGCAGCGGCTTCTCTGGAGGTTTCCCGGAAAACATGTGGAGGAGAGCCTTCCTCTGCGGGTCTTGTTGCCTGCAGAACAGAAAAAGGTCAGGCCGTGCCCCCTGGTTTTCCCCAGGAGACAGGGAGAGCCCCGTCTGGGGCCCAGCCCCATTCCGTGTTTTGTGATACAGAAATGGACATCTGGTGCCCTTTCCGCCTCTGCACCTTCCCTCACGTGCCAACCTTCCCATCCTCCAGGTGGCCCTCTAGGCTTCCGAACTAAGGACTGTGATTTGGATTCCATCGCTTTTCCCCCTGTCGTGGGGAACCTGCACGAAGCGCCCCCGCCTCTCCCCGTCCCTGAATCTCCCAGAGCCCAAGGAGCTCCTGGGTGTGGAACCCCGGAGGACACGGAGCTCCGGCCTATTTCTCTGCAGCGCTCCTTCCCTGGCCCGGAGACGGAAAGGCACACGGTGTGCAGGTGCAGAGACACCATGTCCTTAGGAGGCAGCATCCTAAGAGTGGTGAAAACCCCTCCCACTGCTCACCTTGGTCTCTCTTCCTTCTCTCCCTTATCCTTGTTCAAGGGCCCCGGGTTGGCTTCAACCCGGGGCTTCCATGGTTTCAGGTTTTCCTTCCCTTCCTTTTTCCCCAAGGTCGCTGGAACCAGGGCTGCCTTCCAGCACTTCATGGGGCACCTGGTACTTCTGGCCGTGTGGCCAAAGGCCCCGCAGTTTTTGCACTTGAGCTGTGGGTGGAAAGGAAGTGATGTCAGTGAGTGAGCTGAAGCCACAGGCAGCGATCCCACGTCAACATTGGGACGGATTGTGAATTCAGAGCTGAATAAGGATTCCAAAGAGGGGACACCGGCATGGGGGCCGTTAAGTGCCGGGAGAGTTCGGGTACGATGTTCCCTCGCAAAGCCCATGGGACGGAGGAACTCTGAAAGGAAGGACTCAAGGTTCCAAGGGGCACGATGGTGAAGCCGATGTCAACAACGCAGCCAAACGTGGCTACACAGGACTCTAAGTAGAAAGGGAGGTTGCCCCCAAGAGTCTCTCAAGGGACCTATCGGGCCGGGGAGAAGGTCCCAAGCCACGCCCACCTTGGATGGGAAAAGCAACCTGGCTGGTGGTGACAGAACTCTTTGGAATCCAACCCAGTCTCTGAGGACCGTGGGACACCCCCTCCCCCCGTCCCCACCCCCACCCCGATACCCAAGAGATCCAGGGCTAGACTTACCCTGGGATCTTCTTCATCGGGCGGGGGAGCCCTTGGCCCAACTGGGGCCCTCCGCTGCTTCTGGAGGGTCTGGGCTCTCACCAGTCTCTTGGCCCAAGATTTGGGGTCCCGACGTGCCATCATCTTCGTCTCCTGGGGGTTTTATGACCGCCTTTTTCAGGGGTGGACTGTTGGGCCACCTGAAACACACACAAACACACACATGTCGATGGTTAAGCACGTTGGATATTCACACACCCACAGGAAGCCACCTGCTAACTCCCTGCCTGTGTGGTCATGAGGAGACCTCACCACCAGTGGGTCAAATCTGTAGAACACAATGTGCTGTGCGCATCCTCGGATATTGTGTGTTCCTCTGCCATGACTACCTAGTCCAAGAGTAAACCCCACCTGCCACAGGGCCCGTGGCCTAGGTATGGGGGGTTGAGCTTTCAACCCCAAACAAACAACTGATTCTGGAGACTGGACTTAGGTCTCTCACGGTTCACTCCGGTAGAAGACACGGTGATTCTATCTCCCTTGACGGACAGAATGATCGAAGACACAGGGCATGGCGTGTGCCACCCTTTGGCAGGTCTGCTTGAAGTCACGGATAAGGGATGCTTCCTGTGATAACTTGAATCGCTACTCTTGCCATTTCATTAGGCAACTTCCAAACACAAATTCATACAGAGAAGTTACCTTCCTCTCTACCGCACTAGCAGGTGATGATCTTTCCTGTTCTATCTTTTGGCTTTAGCTCCAGCCCCTCTTTATTTATTTTCCTGGTATTTTACGCATACCACACGAATTCATCTGAACAAACGGGGAAGAAGTGCCGTATCGTATCGACGTCTTACACGGCTGAAGGGCAAACCCCCCTTTTTTCCAAAGTCCTTTTTCCATTTACCCACCAACTCAGCATGCTGCAGTACATTTCTTTTCGCATTCCCATCTTGGTCTTCTCCCACACGTGGAGACGGATATGTTGTCTCGTTTTCTGTTCCAAGAATTACTAGTAACGAGAACACATCCTACCCCACCAGCAAGCCCCAGTGTGATCGGTTTCTTTCGGACTCCTTTGTCTCTTCCTCCCCCCGCCCCTCCCCGCCAAAACCACTCAGGGATTGCGTGAAACAAACAATTGTTCAGCGAAACTAACCTGAAATTACACGTCTACTTTCTTTCCCAGGCTGGCGCTGAGATGGGCAGGTGCTGCAGCAGCCCCGCTGGAAGCGATGCAGCATCCAGGACGACGGAGGAAGGGGCGGAGAGGGACCTCTGCTTTCCAGGCTGCCTTTTATACTGCCTCTGGTCACCTGACATGGAACGTACCCTAACCTAATCAGTTACCTGTACCTTAATTGCAATTAACTTAATCCAATTACATGACCTGGAAAGGTCTATCTGCACAGCCCACTCTAAGATCATGTCCACTGCTGACAGACATTCTAAAACCTACTTGTACAGCTGCAAGCTTTGAACAATAGATGTTCCCCGTCAGACATGTAACACTGGTGCCTGTACCCCTGTCTTCTTTTCCATCTTTTCTGTTGTTTTGTTTTGTTTTGTTTTAAAAAATGTGGTAAAATAGACACCTTTTAATTGGACCACATTTTGTCTATCTCGACGTAGGCCTCAGTGTCATCAAGGAGACTCTGCTTGACATGCAGTCAAGGCCATGATCCATCTTCAGAGCTTCTCTTTCTTCCCCAAGGTAAGTCTGTCAGCAGAGAACCCTGACCGCACCCTCATGTGTTTTCTCCCCCAGGAGGCGCTTGGAAACCACCGTGAATTGGACCGCACTGGGAAACACAGATGAGGAAAGTCAACAACGCTTTGTCCTTCAGTGCCTGGCTCCTTTTTCAGCTCGTCTTGCGACTCCAGGCATTATGCCTGAAAAGTCTCCCGGACGCCTGTGAGGCTGTAATTCCCTGGGTCCCATTGCCATGTCTCTGGATTTGCGAAGATCCACCGCACCTTCTGTGGAACTCCCGTGTCGGTGAACTTTTGTGCCACGGCCCCTAATTCTGCCCATGGTCATCCGCACCTGCACGACTTAGGGTCCATGTTCCTTGGACGGGAAGAGACAGGCAGGAGTCGGAATGATGAACCAGCACACTGGGGCGTTTTCTCATGTAGCCCAAGTGACCCCATGGTCTTCTCGAGCTTTGGAACCAGTCGCGTCCCCTTTGACACTGCACCCGGCTCCCAGTCTCTCAATCTTGTTGGCCCTCCGGCGATCTCCCGTTGGATGGATTGCTCCTGCTGAAACTCGAGTCCCCTTTGATTTGCGCTTCATTAATTATTCATGATTCAGGTTCGAAGGCCTGCTGACGACCCCCTGTGGCCGTTCTCTGAGCTTTCCTGTCACATCGTTTCCTTCCACGCTCTTTGGTTCCTTATGGTCCTGCTCCTTCTGCTGTCAGAGGAGCAGAGAGTTGATCTTATTCATTCTGGATACGGATACTTTCTAGTTGATCTGGATAATCAAGATAACGACCCTCAACAGCGGCGGAGAGGGAGCAGCCAGTTGGTGTGTCTCAGAAAATCCCGCTGAGTTCCGAGGCCTCCTAGATGTGGAATCCTGCTGAGAGTTGTTCCCAGGTCAGAGAATGGAGAGAGCCTGTGCATGATGGGATATCCCCGCCTAGATCTTTCAGTGAGTCTCTGCCTCAGCTACTCTTAGGATCAGGGGGAGAACCATGGTGTCAGACATCCGGAAAGAAGACGGGATGAATGTTTTACCTCTGAAGTACATCCCAAATGTGGGAGTTAACTTCAGCTTTGCTGGGGTCTATTTGGCCAGTGAAACTCTGCCTGGTTCATTCGCACATCCGGAAGCCACTTCACGGGGGGCCGTCGCAACTGGAACCACACACTTGGCATCGGCGGTTGAGCCAAATGGGGACTCGTGGTGCAAGCAACGCTCCCCACGTGTTAGCGTGCGTGAGATTCGGTTGGCGGAATTTTACTAGGTGCGTGTTGGTAGAGTGGGGCTGAGGTTTTCTTGCTCCTGTGGATGTATAGGAAGTCAAAGGTCCTGCCCAGCCCTGCGGTCCCCTCAGTCAACTCTGTTTCGGAGACGTAACGATTTGGATTGCCAACAAGTCAAGAAATGTTCAAGCCCTTGGATGTAGGGTAAAGAAAGAGAGATCAGACTGTCACTGTGTCTATGTAGAAGGGGAAGACATAAGAGACTCCATTTTGAAAAAGACCTGTAGTTTAAACAATTGCTTTGCTGAGATGTTGATCATTTGTAGCTTTCCCGCAGCCCCTTCCTTTGACCCAACTTGGAGCTCACAAAAACCTGTGTTGTATAAAATCGAGGTTTAAGGGATCTAGGGCTGTGCAGGACGCGCCTTGTTTACCAAATGTTTACGAGCAGTATCCTTGGTAGGAGTCATTGCCATTCCCTAGTCTCAATAAACCAGGGGTGCAATGCACCGTGGAAAGCCACAGGGACCTCTGCCCTTGAAAGCAGGGTATTGTCCAAGGTTTCTCCCCATGTGACAGTCTGAAATATGGCCTCGTGGGATGGAAAAGACCGGACTGTCCCCCAGCCTGACACCCGCAATGGGTCTGTGCTGAGGTGGATTAGTCAAAGAGGAACGCCTCTTGCAGTTCAGATGGAGGAAGGCCACTGTCTCCTGCTTGCCCCTGGGAACTGAATGTCTCGGTGTAAAGCCCGATCGTACATTTGTTCAACTCTGAGCTCGGCGAAAAGCTGCCCTGTGGCGGGAGGCGAGACATGCTGGCAGTAATGCTGCCTTGTTATTCTTTACTCCGCTGAGATATTTGTGTGGAGAGAAACATAAATCTGGCCTACGTGCACGTCCAGGCATAGTACCTTCCCTTGAACTTAATAATGATATGGATTCTTTTGCTCACGTGTTTGTTTTTTGTTGTTGTTTTGACCTTCCCCTTATTATCACCCTGCTCCCCTACTGCATTCCTTTGTGCTGAAATAATGAAAATCATAATCAATAAAAACTGAGGGAACTCAGAGGCCGGTGCCGGTGCAGGTCCTAGGTGTGCTGAGTGCCGGTCCCCTGGACCCACTGTTGTCTCCCTATACTTTGTCTCTGTGTCTTATTTCTTTTCTCCGTCTCTCATCCCACCCGACTAGAAACACCCACAGGTGTGGAGGGGCAGGCCACCCCTTCACTTGGAAAATCAGTTACACACAAACACGGAATGAGAGTCAAAAGACAATATGTCATCTTTTTGAGAATTTTATTCACTTCAAAACCCATTAAACACACATATGTACAAAGGCATTCCAGAGCCCAGTTTTCGAGGCTGAGGAAAGACCCCGAGAGCGCTTCGCACAGCACGCTTCCCAGCGTCCGAAACACTGCTCTCAGGGCGGGGCACAGCGGAAGGGCTGCACCTCTCAGGGTTCCCTAACTTTTCCCTTATTCAGTCATCTAGAGAGCAAATACACAGTAATTCCCCAGTTTCCTATTGACGTCCCAGCGGAAGTCTGACTCCTGCGCGTCACGCAGTTTCTGAGGCAACGAATCTCTGGCACGGAAGCTTTTCCTGGCGCGTTTCCGGAGAACCACGCCAACTACAACGTCCCTCACCAGAATTCAATGAGGCAGAGTCCCTGCATCTGCTCCCTGCCTGGCCTGGGCTCCCACATCCACAGAAGCGCCACAGCCGGGGAGCTTCGGAGTCACCGCACAGAGTGTGCTCTCTGCTCTGCGCTCCTCAGTCCCACAGTCCCCTCCAAGTCACGGGAGCTGGAGGCCAAGGAGCCCCTGCCACCTGCAGTCTCACTCCAGGTCAGAATCGCTGTCCTCTGAGGAGGAGGAAACCTGAAGGTCCTCATAGAGGACGCTCGGTGGGACACGAACACAGGGAGCCTCAGACTTCTCTGACACATGAGGGCTCTGAGCGAGGAAGGCTCCCGGCTTCTCAGGAGAGTGAAATGAGGGGGCCGCCAGGAGGCTGGAGCTCCAGCGTCCGTTTTCCAGTCTCCGGAAGAGCACTCTGAGAGGCTGGGCCCCATCATGGCTGGCCGCTGAGTGATGGGACATGGTGCAGGCCTGGGCAGTAGGCAGGCAAGGTGTGCTGTGCGGAGGCTGCCAGTCGACGCTGGGCACCTGGGCCGGTGTCCTCCTGCCCATCTGGGGCGACGTACTTGGTCCAAGTTCGGTTGCGGCTGGCGGAGGTTGGAGATTCCCCGGGGCCCCCAGCTCACCTCCCTGGATGGCGCTTTCGGGGATCTGGAAGGGACCCAGTCTCGGTTTCTTGGGGAATTTCAGGCAAGCCTGAATCGGAGCCTGGGCAGGTCTCTTGGCTCCTGGCCCGAAGCTGAGATTGGAGCCTAGGCCCAAGCTGTGTGTGGCGGCTGGCGGGCAGGGCTGCGAGGTCACCGCAGGACGTTTGTCTTGTGCCTGGGGTCTGGCGGCCTGGAGCAGGCCGTGGGTTTTGGAGGCAGCCTGGGGAACTTCTCGGCAGCCACCCTCGGGGCTGCTGTGTGTCGGCTTCACCACGAGGAGAGGCTCGCGGCCCTGGTGCCTGACTGCAGGCTGAGGCATGTCGGCCGCAGCCCCTGTCTGTCTTTCCTTTGGTCCAAGACTTGAGGAGGAGCTCAGGCTGGCTTTTCTGAGGGGAGACAGTGAAGCCAAGACGGAGCCCCTGCCAGACATTTCGGCAGCTGAGCGATCAGCGAGGACAGGGTCCACGCGCGGCCTCTTACTGGTTGTGTGGACCGGCATTGGCCCGCTTGCAACCTGAAAGAGAGGAAACAACACAGGTTAGAAGTTCCTCAGCATGGAGCCAACGTGAAAATCAAGCACATCCAAAGACAAGGTGCACACGCCATGAAATTCTTAGTACAGTATCGACAGGCGGTCCTTGGAAGTAGGGACAGACCCTCCACCTGAGTGCTGATCAGGACAAGACACATGAAAGATGCGCTCTCGAGCTATGTGTAGCTGATCTAAGCACACCATTGTTCAAAAGATCGCGTCTTGGGCATTAACTGGATCAAAGCGCCTCCACTCAGCCTTCCATGAAGTGGAACGGACTAATGCCCTTCCCGAGGCAGGTTGCTGGCTCAAGGGTACTCGGGACGTCTTCTCTGAACACATGCATGTTCCTGGGTTTCGCCTTCTCCACGTTTGGGGCCTCTGAGGGACTAATTTCCTCATGCCGCTAGGAACGTGTTGTTGGCAGGCTTGCCATAATTGGACAGAAAGAAAGCCACAGGAAATACGGCATCTTCAGATGCCTTCGCCTGGAATCCAATTGACCTGGAAGGATCGTGGAGTCCCTGACCCCAAGAAGGCAAGAAAGAGGGGTTCCCCGATTTCCTCCCGCAGACGGGAAGCTGAAAGGAAATCAACCAGGGTGACCTAGAGGAGAAAAGGACCAGGGGCCCGGGGTGACACTCACCCTCAGATGATCAGAAGACTCCGTGGATCCTTTTCCATTCGGCAGCGGCTTCTCTGGAGGTTTCCCGGAAAACATGTGGAGGAGAGCCTTCCTCTGCGGGTCTTGTTGCCTGCAGAACAGAAAAAGGTCAGGCCGTGCCCCCTGGTTTTCCCCAGGAGACAGGGAGAGCCCCGTCTGGGGCCCAGCCCCATTCCGTGTTTTGTGATACAGAAATGGACATCTGGTGCCCTTTCCGCCTCTGCACCTTCCCTCACGTGCCAACCTTCCCATCCTCCAGGTGGCCCTCTAGGCTTCCGAACTAAGGACTGTGATTTGGATTCCATCGCTTTTCCCCCTGTCGTGGGGAACCTGCACGAAGCGCCCCCGCCTCTCCCCGTCCCTGAATCTCCCAGAGCCCAAGGAGCTCCTGGGTGTGGAACCCCGGAGGACACGGAGCTCCGGCCTATTTCTCTGCAGCGCTCCTTCCCTGGCCCGGAGACGGAAAGGCACACGGTGTGCAGGTGCAGAGACACCATGTCCTTAGGAGGCAGCATCCTAAGAGTGGTGAAAACCCCTCCCACTGCTCACCTTGGTCTCTCTTCCTTCTCTCCCTTATCCTTGTTCAAGGGCCCCGGGTTGGCTTCAACCCGGGGCTTCCATGGTTTCAGGTTTTCCTTCCCTTCCTTTTTCCCCAAGGTCGCTGGAACCAGGGCTGCCTTCCAGCACTTCATGGGGCACCTGGTACTTCTGGCCGTGTGGCCAAAGGCCCCGCAGTTTTTGCACTTGAGCTGTGGGTGGAAAGGAAGTGATGTCAGTGAGTGAGCTGAAGCCACAGGCAGCGATCCCACGTCAACATTGGGACGGATTGTGAATTCAGAGCTGAATAAGGATTCCAAAGAGGGGACACCGGCATGGGGGCCGTTAAGTGCCGGGAGAGTTCGGGTACGATGTTCCCTCGCAAAGCCCATGGGACGGAGGAACTCTGAAAGGAAGGACTCAAGGTTCCAAGGGGCACGATGGTGAAGCCGATGTCAACAACGCAGCCAAACGTGGCTACACAGGACTCTAAGTAGAAAGGGAGGTTGCCCCCAAGAGTCTCTCAAGGGACCTATCGGGCCGGGGAGAAGGTCCCAAGCCACGCCCACCTTGGATGGGAAAAGCAACCTGGCTGGTGGTGACAGAACTCTTTGGAATCCAACCCAGTCTCTGAGGACCGTGGGACACCCCCTCCCCCCGTCCCCACCCCCACCCCGATACCCAAGAGATCCAGGGCTAGACTTACCCTGGGATCTTCTTCATCGGGCGGGGGAGCCCTTGGCCCAACTGGGGCCCTCCGCTGCTTCTGGAGGGTCTGGGCTCTCACCAGTCTCTTGGCCCAAGATTTGGGGTCCCGACGTGCCATCATCTTCGTCTCCTGGGGGTTTTATGACCGCCTTTTTCAGGGGTGGACTGTTGGGCCACCTGAAACACACACAAACACACACATGTCGATGGTTAAGCACGTTGGATATTCACACACCCACAGGAAGCCACCTGCTAACTCCCTGCCTGTGTGGTCATGAGGAGACCTCACCACCAGTGGGTCAAATCTGTAGAACACAATGTGCTGTGCGCATCCTCGGATATTGTGTGTTCCTCTGCCATGACTACCTAGTCCAAGAGTAAACCCCACCTGCCACAGGGCCCGTGGCCTAGGTATGGGGGGTTGAGCTTTCAACCCCAAACAAACAACTGATTCTGGAGACTGGACTTAGGTCTCTCACGGTTCACTCCGGTAGAAGACACGGTGATTCTATCTCCCTTGACGGACAGAATGATCGAAGACACAGGGCATGGCGTGTGCCACCCTTTGGCAGGTCTGCTTGAAGTCACGGATAAGGGATGCTTCCTGTGATAACTTGAATCGCTACTCTTGCCATTTCATTAGGCAACTTCCAAACACAAATTCATACAGAGAAGTTACCTTCCTCTCTACCGCACTAGCAGGTGATGATCTTTCCTGTTCTATCTTTTGGCTTTAGCTCCAGCCCCTCTTTATTTATTTTCCTGGTATTTTACGCATACCACACGAATTCATCTGAACAAACGGGGAAGAAGTGCCGTATCGTATCGACGTCTTACACGGCTGAAGGGCAAACCCCCCTTTTTTCCAAAGTCCTTTTTCCATTTACCCACCAACTCAGCATGCTGCAGTACATTTCTTTTCGCATTCCCATCTTGGTCTTCTCCCACACGTGGAGACGGATATGTTGTCTCGTTTTCTGTTCCAAGAATTACTAGTAACGAGAACACATCCTACCCCACCAGCAAGCCCCAGTGTGATCGGTTTCTTTCGGACTCCTTTGTCTCTTCCTCCCCCCGCCCCTCCCCGCCAAAACCACTCAGGGATTGCGTGAAACAAACAATTGTTCAGCGAAACTAACCTGAAATTACACGTCTACTTTCTTTCCCAGGCTGGCGCTGAGATGGGCAGGTGCTGCAGCAGCCCCGCTGGAAGCGATGCAGCATCCAGGACGACGGAGGAAGGGGCGGAGAGGGACCTCTGCTTTCCAGGCTGCCTTTTATACTGCCTCTGGTCACCTGACATGGAACGTACCCTAACCTAATCAGTTACCTGTACCTTAATTGCAATTAACTTAATCCAATTACATGACCTGGAAAGGTCTATCTGCACAGCCCACTCTAAGATCATGTCCACTGCTGACAGACATTCTAAAACCTACTTGTACAGCTGCAAGCTTTGAACAATAGATGTTCCCCGTCAGACATGTAACACTGGTGCCTGTACCCCTGTCTTCTTTTCCATCTTTTCTGTTGTTTTGTTTTGTTTTGTTTTAAAAAATGTGGTAAAATAGACACCTTTTAATTGGACCACATTTTGTCTATCTCGACGTAGGCCTCAGTGTCATCAAGGAGACTCTGCTTGACATGCAGTCAAGGCCATGATCCATCTTCAGAGCTTCTCTTTCTTCCCCAAGGTAAGTCTGTCAGCAGAGAACCCTGACCGCACCCTCATGTGTTTTCTCCCCCAGGAGGCGCTTGGAAACCACCGTGAATTGGACCGCACTGGGAAACACAGATGAGGAAAGTCAACAACGCTTTGTCCTTCAGTGCCTGGCTCCTTTTTCAGCTCGTCTTGCGACTCCAGGCATTATGCCTGAAAAGTCTCCCGGACGCCTGTGAGGCTGTAATTCCCTGGGTCCCATTGCCATGTCTCTGGATTTGCGAAGATCCACCGCACCTTCTGTGGAACTCCCGTGTCGGTGAACTTTTGTGCCACGGCCCCTAATTCTGCCCATGGTCATCCGCACCTGCACGACTTAGGGTCCATGTTCCTTGGACGGGAAGAGACAGGCAGGAGTCGGAATGATGAACCAGCACACTGGGGCGTTTTCTCATGTAGCCCAAGTGACCCCATGGTCTTCTCGAGCTTTGGAACCAGTCGCGTCCCCTTTGACACTGCACCCGGCTCCCAGTCTCTCAATCTTGTTGGCCCTCCGGCGATCTCCCGTTGGATGAATTGCTCCTGCTGAAACTCCAGTCCCCTTTGATTTGCGCTTCATTAATTATTCATGATTCAGGTTGGAAGGCCTGCTGACGACCCCCTGTGGCCGTTCTCTGAGCTTTCCTGTCACATCGTTTCCTTCCACGCTCTTTGGTTCCTTATGGTCCTGCTCCCTCTGCTGTCAGAGGAGCAGAGAGTTGATCTTATTCATTCTGGATACGGATACTTTCTAGGTGATCTGGATAATCAAGATAACGACCCTCAACAGCGGCGGAGAGGGAGCAGCCAGTTGGTGTGTCTCAGAAAATCCCACTGAGTTCCGAGGCCTCCTAGATGTGGAATCCTGCTGAGAGTTGTTCCCAGGTCAGAGAATGGAGAGAGCCTGTGCATGATGGGATATCCCCGCCTAGATCTTTCAGTGAGTCTCTACCTCAGCTACTCTTAGGATCAGGGGGAGAACCATGGTGTCAGACATCCGGAAAGAAGACGGGATGAATGTTTTACCTCTGAAGTACATCCCAAATGTGGGAGTTAACTTCAGCTTTGCTGGGGTCTATTTGGCCAGTGAAACTCTGCCTGGTTCCTTCGCACATCCGGAAGCCACTTCACGGGGGGCCGTCGCAACTGGAACCACACACTTGGCATCGGCGGTTGAGCCAAATGGGGACTCGTGGTGCAAGCAACGCTCCCCACGTGTTAGCGTGCGTGAGATGCGGTTGGCGGGATTTTACTAGGTGCGTGTTGGTAGAGTGGGGCTGAGGTTTTCTTGCTCCTGTGGATGTATAGCAAGTCAAAGGTCCTGCCCAGCCCTGCGGTCCCCTCAGTCAACTCTGTTTCGGAGACGTAACGATTTGGATTGCCAACAAGTCAAGAAATGTTCAAGCCCTTGGATGTAGGGTAAAGAAAGAGAGATCAGACTGTCACTGTGTCTATGTAGAAGGGGAAGACATAAGAGACTCCATTTTGAAAAAGACCTGTAGTTTAAACAATTGCTTTGCTGAGATGTTGATCATTTGTAGCTTTGCCGCAGCCCCTTCCTTTGACCCAACTTGGAGCTCACAAAAACCTGTGTTGTATAAAATCGAGGTTTAAGGGATCTAGGGCTGTGCAGGACGCGCCTTGTTAACCAAATGTTTACGAGCAGTATACTTGGTAGGAGTCATTGCCATTCCCTAGTCTCAATAAACCAGGGGCGCAATGCACCGTGGAAAGCCACAGGGACCTCTGCCCTTGAAAGCAGGGTATTGTCCAAGGTTTCTCCCCATGTGACAGTCTGAAATATGGCCTCGTGGGATGGGAAAGACCTGACTGTCCCCCAGCCTGACACCCGCAATGGGTCTGTGCTGAGGTGGATTAGTCAAAGAGGAAAGCCTCTTGCAGTTCAGATGGAGGAAGGCCACTGTCTCCTGCTTGCCCCTGGGAACTGAATGTCTCGGTGTAAAGCCCGATCGTACATTTGTTCAACTCTGAGCTCGGAGAAAAGCTGCCCTGTGGCGGGAGGCGAGACATGTTGGCAGTAATGCTGCCTTGTTATTCTTTACTCCGCTGAGATATTTGTGTGGAGAGAAACATAAATCTGGCCTACGTGCACGTCCAGGCATAGTACCTTCCCTTGAACTTAATAATGATATGGATTCTTTTGCTCACGTGTTTGTTTTTGTTGTTGCTGTTGAACTTCCCCTTATTATCACCCTGCTCCCCTACTGCATTCCTTTGTGCTGTAATAATGATAATCATAATCAATAAAAACTGAGGGAACTCAGAGGCCGGTGCCGGTGCAGGTCCTAGGTGTGCTGAGTGCCGGTCCCCTGGACCCACTGTTGTCTCCCTATACTTTGTCTCTGTGTCTTATTTCTATTCTCCATCTCTCATCCCACCCGACTAGAAACACCCACAGGTGTGGAGGGGCAGGCCACCCCTTCACTTGGAAAATCAGTTACACACAAACACGGAATGAGAGTCAAAAGACAATATGTCATCTTTTTGAGAATTTTATTCACTTCAAAACCAATTAAACACACATATGTACAAAGGCATTCCAGAGCCCAGTTTTCGAGGCTGAGGAAAGACCCCGAGAGCGCTTCACACAGCACGCTTCCCAGCGTCCGAAACTCTGCTCTCAGGGCGGGGCACAGAGGAAGGGCTGCACCTCTCAGGGTTCCCTAACTTTTCCCTTATTCAGTCATCTAGAGAGCAAATACACAGTAATTCCCCAGTTTCCTATTGACGTCCCAGCGGAAGTCTGACTCCTGCGCGTCACGCAGTTTCTGAGGCAACGAATCTCTGGCACGGAAGCTTTTCCTGGCGCGTTTCGGGAGAACCACGCCAACTACAACGTCCCTCACCAGAATTCAATGAGGCAGAGTCCCTGCATCTGCTCCCTGCCTGGCCTGGGCTCCCACATCCACAGAAGCGCCACAGCCGGGGAGCTTCGGAGTCACCGCACAGAGTCTGCTCTCTGCTCTGCGCTCCTCAGTCCCACAGTCCCCTCCAAGTCACGGGAGCTGGAGGCCAAGGAGCCCCTGCCACCTGCAGTCTCACTCCAGGTCAGAATCGCTGTCCTCTGAGGAGGAGGAAACCTGAAGGTCCTCATAGAGGACGCTCGGTGGGACACGAACACAGGGAGCCTCAGACTTCTCTGACACATGAGGGCTCTGAGCGAGGAAGGCTCCCGGCTTCTCAGGAGAGTGAAATGAGGGGGCCGCCAGGAGGCTGGAGCTCCAGCGTCCGTTTTCCAGTCTCCGGAAGAGCACTCTGAGAGGCTGGGCCCCATCATGGCTGGCCGCTGGGTGATGGGACATGGTGCAGGCCTGGGCAGTGGGCAGGCAAGGTCTGCTGTGCGGAGGCTGCCGGTCGACGCTGGGCACCTGGGCCGGTGTCCTCCTGCCCATCTGGGGCGACGTACTTGGTCCAAGTTCGGTTGCGGCTGGCGGAGGTTGGAGATTCTCCGGGGCCCCCAGCTCACCTCCCTGGATGGCGCTTTCGGGGATCTGGAAGGGACCCAGTCTCGGTTTCTTGGGGAAGTTCAGGCAAGCCTGAATCGGAGCCTGGGCAGGTCTCTTGGCTCCTGGCCCGAAGCTGAGATTGGAGCCTAGGCCCAAGCTGTGTGTGGCGGCTGGCGGGCAGGGCTGTGAGGTCACCGCAGGACGTTTGTCTTGTGCCTGGGGTCTGGCGGCCTGGAGCAGGCCGTGGGTTTTGGAGGCAGCCTGGGGAACTTCTCGGCAGTCACCCTCGGGGCGGCTGTGTGTCGGCTTCACCACGAGGAGAGGCTCGCGGCCCTGGTGCCTGACTGCAGGCTGAGGCATGTCGGCCGCAGCCCCTGTCTGTCTTTCCTTTGGTCCAAGACTTGAGGAGGAGCTCAGGCTGGCTTTTCTGAGGGGAGACAGTGAAGCCAAGACGGAGCCCCTGCCAGACATTTCGGTAGCTGAGCGATCAGCGAGGACAGGGTCCAAGCGCGGCCTCTTACTGGTTGTGTGGACCGGCATTGGCCCGCTTGCAACCTGAAAGAGAGGAAACAACACAGGTTAGAAGTTCCTCAGCATGGAGCCAACGTGAAAATCAAGCACATCCAAAGACAAGGTGCACACGCCATGAAATTCTTAGTACAGTATCGACAGGCGGTCCTTGGAAGTAGGGACAGACCCTCCACCTGAGTGCTGATCAGGACAAGACACATGAAAGATGCGCTCTCGAGCTATGTGTAGCTGATCTAAGCACACCATTGTTCAAAAGATCGCGTCTTGGGCATTAACTGGATCAAAGCGCCTCCACTCAGCCTTCCATGAAGTGGAACGGACTAATGCCCTTCCCAAGGCAGGTTGCTGGCTCAAGGGTACTCGGGACGTCTTCTCTGAACACATGCATGTTCCTGGGTTTCGCCTTCTCCACGTTTGGGGCCTCTGAGGGACTAATTTCCTCATGCCGCTAGGAACGTGTTGTTGGCAGGCTTGCCATAATTGGACAGAAAGAAAGCAACAGGAAATACGGCATGTTCAGATGCCTTCGCCTGGAATCCAATTGACCTGGAAGGATCGTGGAGTCCCTGACCCCAAGAAGGCAAGAAAGAGGGGTTCCCCGATTTCCTCCCGCAGACGGGAAGCTGAAAGGAAATCAACCAGGGTGACCTAGAGGAGAAAAAGACCAGGGGCCCGGGGTGACACTCGCCCTCAGATAATCAGAAGGTTCCGTGGATCCTTTTCCATTCGGCAGCGGCTTCTCTGGAGGTTTCCCGGAAAACATGTGGAGGAGAGCCTTCCTCTGCGGGTCTTGTTGCCTGCAGAACAGAAAAAGGTCAGGCCGTGCCCCCTGGTTTTCCCCAGGAGACAGGGAGAACCCCGTCTGGGGCCCAGCCCCATTCCGTGTTTTGTGATACAGAAATGGACATCTGGTGCCCTTTCCGCCTCTGCACCTTCCCTCACGTGCCAACCTTCCCATCCTCCAGGTGGCCCTCTAGGCTTCCGAACTAAGGACTGTGATTTGGATTCCATCGCTTTTCCCCCTGTCGTGGGGAACCTGCACGAAGCGCCCCCGCCTCTCCCCGTCCCTGAATCTCCCAGAGCCCAAGGAGCTCCTGGGTGTGGAACCCCGGAGGACACGGAGCTCCGGCCTATTTCTCTGCAGCGCTCCTTCCCTGGCCCGGAGACGGAAAGGCACACGGTGTGCAGGTGCAGAGACACCATGTCCTTAGGAGGCAGCATCCTAAGAGTGGTGAAAACCCCTCCCACTGCTCACCTTGGTCTCTCTTCCTTCTCTCCCTTATCCTTGTTCAAGGGCCCCGGGTTGGCTTCAACCCGGGGCTTCCATGGTTTCAGGTTTTCCTTCCCTTCCTTTTTCCCCAAGGTCGCTGGAACCAGGGCTGCCTTCCAGCACTTCATGGGGCACCTGGTACTTCTGGCCGTGTGGCCAAAGGCCCCGCAGTTTTTGCACTTGAGCTGTGGGTGGAAAGGAAGTGATGTCAGTGAGTGAGCTGAAGCCACAGGCAGCGATCCCACGTCAACATTGGGACGGATTGTGAATTCAGAGCTGAATAAGGATTCCAAAGAGGGGACACCGGCATGGGGGCCGTTAAGTGCTGGGAGAGTTCGGATACGATGTTCCCTCGCAAAGCCCGTGTGACGGAGGAACTCTGAAAGGAAGGACTCAAGGTTCCAAGGGGCACGATGGTGAAGCCGATGTCAACAACGCAGCCAAACGTGGCTACACAGGACTCTAAGTAGAAAGGGAGGTTGCCCCCAAGAGTCTCTCAAGGGACCTATCGGGCCGGGGAGAAGGTCCCAAGCCACGCCCACCTTGGATGGGAAAAGCAACCTGGCTGGTGGTGACAGAACTCTTTGGAATCCAACCCAGTCTCTGAGGACCGTGGGACACCCCCTCCCCCCGTCCCCACCCCCACCCCGATACCCAAGAGATCCAGGGCTAGACTTACCCTGGGATCTTCTTCATCGGGCGGGGGAGCCCTTGGCCCAACTGGGGCCCTCCGCTGCTTCTGGAGGGTCTGGGCTCTCACCAGTCTCTTGGCCCAAGATGTGGGGTCCCGACGTGCCATCATCTTCGTCTCCTGGGGGTTTTATGACCGCCTTTTTCAGGGGTGGACTGTTGGGCCACCTGAAACACACACAAACACACACATGTCGATGGTTAAGCACGTTGGATATTCACACACCCACAGGAAGCCACCTGCTAACTCCCTGCCTGTGTGGTCATGAGGAGACCTCACCACCAGTCGGTCAAATCTGTAGAACACAATGTGCTGTGCGCATTCTCGGATATTGTGTGTTCCTCTGCCATGACTACCTAGTCCAAGAGTAAACCCCACCTGCCACAGGGCCCGTGGCCTAGGTATGGGGGGTTGAGCTTTCAACCCCAAACAAACAACTGATTCTGGAGACTGGACTTAGGTCTCTCACGATTCACTCCGGTAGAAGACACGGTGATTCTATCTCCCTTGACGGACAGAATGATCGAAGACACAGGGCATGGCGTGTGCCACCCTTTGGCAGGTCTGCTTGAAGTCAGGGATAAGGGATGCTTCCTGTGACAACTTGAATCGCTACTCTTGCCATTTCATTAGGCAACTTCCAAACACAAATTCATACAGAGAAGTTACCTTCCTCTCTACCGCACTAGCAGGTGATGGTCTTTCCTGTTCTATCTTTTGGCTTTAGCTCCAGCCCCTCTTTATTTATTTTCCTGGTATTTTACGCATACCACACGAATTCATCTGAACAAACGGGGAAGAAGTGCCATATCGTATCGACGTCTTACACGGCTCAAGGGCCAACCACCCTTTTTTCCAAAGTCCTTTTGCCGTTTACCCACCAATTCAGCATGCTGCAGTACATTTCTTTTCGCATTCCCATCTTGGTCTTCTCCCACACGTGGAGACGGATATGTTTTCTCGTTTTCTGTTCCAGGAATTACTAGTAACGAGAACACATCCTACCCCACCAGCAAGCCCCAGTGTGATCGGTTTCTTTCGGCCTCCTTTGTCTCTTCCTCCCCCCCACCCCCCGCAAAAACCCCCCAGGGATTGCGTGAAAGAAACAATTGTTCAGCGAAACCAACCTGAAATTACACGTCTACTTTCTTTCCCAGGCTGGCGCTGAGATGGGCAGGTGCTGCAGCAGCCCCGCTGGAAGCGATGCAGCATCCAGGACGACGGAGGAAGGGGCGGAGAGGGACCTCTGCTTTCCAGGCTGCCTTTTATACTGCCTCTGGTCACCTGACATGGAACGTACCCTAACCTAATCAGTTACCTGTACCTTAATTGCAATTAACTTAATCCAATTACATGACCTGGAAAGGTCTATCTGCACAGCCCACTCTAAGATCCTGTCCACTGCTGACAGACATTCTAAAACCTACTTGTACAGCTGCAAGCTTTGAACAATAGATGTTCCCCGTCAGACATGTAACACTGGTGCCTGTATCCCTGTCTTCTTTTCCATCTTTTTTGTTGTTTTGTTTTGTTTCGTTTTAAAAAATGTGGTAAAATAGACACCTTTTAATTGGACCACATTTTGTCTCTCTCGACGTAGGCCTCAGTGTCATCAAGGAGACTCTCCTTGACATGCAGTCACGGCCATGATCCATCTTCAGAGCTTCTCTTTCTTCCCCAAGGTAAGTCTGTCAGCAGAGAACCCTGACCGCACCCTCATGTGTTTTCTCCCCCAGGAGGCGCTTGGAAACCACCGTGAATTGGACCGCACTGGGAAACACAGATGAGGAAAGTCAACAACGCTTTGTCCTTCAGTGCCTGCCTCCTTTTTCAGCTCGTCTTGCGACTCCCGGACGCCTGTGAGGCTGTAATTCCCTGGGTCCCATTGCCATGTCTCTGGATTTGCGAAGATCCACCGCACCTTCTGTGGAACTCCCGTGTCGGTGAACTTTTGTGCCACGGCCCCTAATTCTGCCCATGGTCATCCGCACCTGCACGACTTAGGGTCCATGTTCCTTGGACGGGAAGAGACAGGCAGGAGTCGGAATGATGAACCAGCACACTGGGGCGTTTTCTCATGTAGCCCAAGTGACCCCATGGTCTTCTCGAGCTTTGGAACCAGTCGCGTCCCCTTTGACACTGCACCCGGCTCCCAGTCTCTCAATCTTGTTGGCCCTCCGGCGATCTCCCGTTGGATGAATTGCTCCTGCTGAAACTCCAGTCCCCTTTGATTTGCGCTTCATTAATTATTCATGATTCAGGTTGGAAGGCCTGCTGACGACCCCCTGTGGCCGTTCTCTGAGCTTTCCTGTCACATCGTTTCCTTCCACGCTCTTTGGTTCCTTATGGTCCTGCTCCCTCTGCTGTCAGAGGAGCAGAGAGTTGATCTTATTCATTCTGGATACGGATACTTTCTAGGTGATCTGGATAATCAAGATAACGACCCTCAACAGCGGCGGAGAGGGAGCAGCCAGTTGGTGTGTCTCAGAAAATCCCACTGAGTTCCGAGGCCTCCTAGATGTGGAATCCTGCTGAGAGTTGTTCCCAGGTCAGAGAATGGAGAGAGCCTGTGCATGATGGGATATCCCTGCCTAGATCTTTCAGTGAGTCTCTACCTCAGCTACTCTTAGGATCAGGGGGAGAACCATGGTGTCAGACATCCGGAAAGAAGACGGGATGAATGTTTTACCTCTGAAGTACATCCCAAATGTGGGAGTTAACTTCAGCTTTGCTGGGGTCTATTTGGCCAGTGAAACTCTGCCTGGTTCCTTCGCACATCCGGAAGCCACTTCACGGGGGGCCGTCGCAACTGGAACCACACACTTGGCATCGGCGGTTGAGCCAAATGGGGACTCGTGGTGCAAGCAACGCTCCCCACGTGTTAGCGTGCGTGAGATGCGGTTGGCGGGATTTTACTAGGTGCGTGTTGGTAGAGTGGGGCTGAGGTTTTCTTGCTCCTGTGGATGTATAGCAAGTCAAAGGTCCTGCCCAGCCCTGCGGTCCCCTCAGTCAACTCTGTTTCGGAGACGTAACGATTTGGATTGCCAACAAGTCAAGAAATGTTCAAGCCCTTGGATGTAGGGTAAAGAAAGAGAGATCAGACTGTCACTGTGTCTATGTAGAAGGGGAAGACATAAGAGACTCCATTTTGAAAAAGACCTGTAGTTTAAACAATTGCTTTGCTGAGATGTTGTTCATTTGTTGCCTTGCCTCATCCACTTTGCCCCAGCCCCTTTGACCCAACTTGGAGCTCACAAAAACCTGTGTTGTATAAAATCGAGGTTTAGGGGATCTAGGGCTGTGCAGGATGTGCTTTGTTAACCAAATGTTTACAAGCAGTATACTTGGTAAAAGTCATTGCCATTCTCTAGTTTCAATAAACCAGGGGCACTATGCACCGTGGAAAGCCGCAGCGACCTCTACCCTTGAAAGCAGGTTATTGTCCAAGGTTTCTCCCCATGTAACAGTCTGAAATATGGCCCTGTGGGATGGGGAATACCTGACTGTCCCCCAGCCTGAGACCCGTAAAGGGTCTGTGCCGAGGTGGATTAGTCAAAGAGGAAAGCCTCTTGCAATTTAGATGGAGGACAGCCACTGTCTCCCGCATCCCCCCTTGCCTCCCTGGCTTTTAGGACCCGCATCGCAGGTTGTGAGGCACTCCCCCCGTTTCGGGTTGTAAGAGCCAAACCCTCTTGCCCCCCTGGCTCTTAGTTTCCCCCATCGCAGCGGGGTTAGTCACGTCCTGCTATGCTTGGGGTAAGAGCCAGCCCCTCTTGCCCCCCTGGCTCTCAGGACCCCCATCGCAGTGGTGTGAGGCACGCCCCTTGATGCGGGTATTAAGAGCCTTCCCATCTTACCTCCTGGCTCTTAGGACCCCCATCGCAGGGGGTGAGGCACGCCCCGCCATGCGCAGAGGAAGAGCTAACCCCTCTTGCCCCCCTGGTTTTTAGGATCCGCGGTGGACTCACAGCCTGTTTATCATATTGTGAGTAATATCGTCTCCCGCTCTGGAGATTGTGAACTGTTTCACCCACCAGTGTTCACCCCGGCGTACAGAGGTTGTACAACCGTCTGTATTGGGAGTCATATCATCCTCTCCCTCTCTGAATATTAAGAACAGTATCACAGGGGTGTTTCTACTCCCTCGGATATCGCGTGTCATATCCTCCTCTCCCACGTTGCAATTACAAACAATATCAGTGGGGGCGTGTCCAACTTCTGTGATACTGAAAGCAATATCATCCTCTTCCCTCCAGGATCGTGGGAACAATATCCTTGGGGGTGTCCACTTTCTGCCATATGTGTAGTCATATCACCCCCTCCGCCTTGGAATATTATTAAGAACCACGTCACACGGGGGTGTACACTTCCTACGATGTTGGGAGTAATAGCATTCTCTTCTTCCATGAATATTAGGAACAAAATCACCGGGTGGATGCACACCCAGTGCTATATTGGGAGTAATGTCATACTCCACCCCCTGGAGATTATATTCGGATCAATATCACCGGCTGGGTGTGCACCTGCTGCGATATTGAACGTAATATCATGCTCTCTCCCTCCCTGAACATTAGGAACAATATCACAGGTGGGTGTACACCCACTGAGGTATTAGGGCATACTATTAGTATGAATTATTCCTTGTTTTTTATTAACATGAATATGAATGGCCGATATTAATATTAATATTAAGAAGTAATTGCTAATAAAAAGTTCTCAGATTATTAATATTAATATTAATTATTAGGAGCTAATATTACTATTTTCTAAAGAATAAGATCAGTATCAGTTATTAATATCAGGCGTCATAATCATCAATATTAATCATGTATTGTTATTGTTAGTATAACTATTTAATATTAATTATCATTAGTATCCGTATTGATTTTTAAAATTATATTATGGGTTATTAATATTGATAATTATTAGTGTCAGTTAATAATTGAGATTATTAATTGCGGTAAGTCGCATTGCGCCATTCCACCCCTTCCTCGGCAGCTCGTTTACGACCCAAAACGGGGACACAAATGCCCCTGAGAGAGCAGCGGTATACTGGGATAGATGAAAATGCTCATGTAGTGGAGAGACGTGTTTTTGGGTACCAGCCCTTCACCTGCGTCGACCTTCTCAACTGGAAAAACAATACATCGCCCTATACCGAAAAGCCACAAGCCCTAATTGATTTGCTCCAAACTGTTATCCAGACCCACAACCACACCTGGACCGATTGGCACCAGTTGCTCATTTTCCTCTTTAACAGTGAAGAAAGGCAGAGAGTCCTCCAAGCAGCAACTAAGTGGCTAGAGGAACATGCACCAGCTGATTATCAAAACCCCGAACAGTATGGAAGGACCCAGTTGCCAGGAACCGACCCCCAGTTGGACCCACATGAAAGAGAGGAGATGCAAAGGCTAAACCGAGACAGGGAAGCTCTCTTGGAAGGATTAATGAGGGGAGCTCAGAAGGCCACAAACGTTAACAAGCTCTCTGAGGTCATTCAGGGAAAAGAAGAAAGTCCAGCACAATTCTACGAGAGACTGTATGAGGCCTATCATATGTATACTCCCTTTGATCCCGATAGCCCTGAAAATCAGCGCATGATTCACATGGCTTTAGTCCATCAAAGTGCAGAAGACATGAGAAGAAAACTGCAGAAACAGACTGGGCTTGCAGGGAAGAATCCATCCCAATTACTAGAAATAGCTAGCCAGGTGTTTGTAAACAGGTATGCAGTAAGCCGTAAGGAAAACGGCAAAGAGAATGGAGGTCAGGCCCGGCCACACGCCGACCTGTTTGTCAGCTGCAGCAATCAGAGGGGCCCCCGCAAAGAGGCAAGGGAAAGGGGGCCCTGGGAAAGAAACTCAGCTTGGCTGTCAGAGTTTGCAGCGTAACCAGTGTGCTGATTGTAAAGAAATAGGACAGTGGAAGAACAAATGCCCTCAGCTCAAAAGAAAAGAAGGTGACTCAGAGCCGGAGGCCCCGGACAAGGAGGAAGGGGCCCTGCTCAACCTGGCGGAAGGGTTCTTGGACTGAGGGAGACCGGGCTCAAGCATCCCCATTCTGACATCTGTTCAGAATGACAGTCAGGGGTGGAGACATTAACTTTCTTGTAGATAGCGGTGCTGAACATTCGCTAGTAACCGCCCCGGTCGTCCCCTTACCGAAAAAGACTACTGACGTCATCGGAGCCACGGGGGTTTCAGCAAAGCAAGCTTTCTGCTTGCCTTGGACTTGTCCTGTAGGAGGACATAAAGTCATTCATCAGTTTTGTTACATGCCTGACAGTCTCTTGAACTTTTCAGGAAGGGACTTGCTCAGCAAGCTGAGAGCCACTGCCTCTTTCACAGAGCACGGCTCTTTGCTGCTAAAGTTACCCGGAATGGGAGTCATTATGACGCTTATGGTCCCCCGAGAGGAGGAATGGAGACTTTTCTGAACTGACCCGGGCAAAGAGAAAAGACCAGCTCTGGCTAAGCGCTGGCCAAGAGTTCGGGCAGAAGAGAACCCTCCAGGATTGGCCAGTTAAGACTGGGGCCCAGCCGGTGAGGCAAAAACAGGACTCGGTCCCCAGAGAAGCCCTTCAAGGTATCCAGGTCCATCTCAAGCACCTAAGAACGTTTGGAATGATTGTTCCTTGTCAGTCTCCATGGAACACTCCCCTCCTGCCTGTTCCCAAGCCACGGACCAAGGACTACCGGCCGGTACAGGATTTGCGCTTGCTTCATCAAGCCACACTGACTTTACATCCAACAGTACCTAACCCGTCCACATTGTTGGGGTTGCCGCCAGCTGAGGACAGCTGGTTCACCTGCTTGGACCTAAAAGACGCTTTCCTTCCTATCAGATTAGCCCCTGAGAGGCAGAAGCTGTTTGCCTTTCAGTGGGAAGATCCGGAGTCAGGTGTCACTACTTAGTACACTTGGACCGGGCTTCCCCAAAGGTTCAAGAACTCCCCCACCATCTTCGGGGAGGCATGGGATCGAGACCTCCAGAAGTTTCCTAGCAGAGACCTAGGCTGCTTGTTGCTCCAGTAGGTTGATGACCTTCTGCTGGGACACCCCACGGCAGTCGGGTGTGCCAAGGGAACAGATGCCCTACACCGCACCTGGAGGACTGTGGGTAGAAGGTGTCCAAGAAGAAAGCTCAGATCTGCCGACAGCAGGTACGTTACTTGGGATTTACTATCCGACAGGGGTCGGAACGCAGCCCGAGATCAGAAAGAAAGCAGGTCATTTGCCATCTAGCGGAGCCTAAGAGCAGAAGGCAGGTAGGAGAATTCTTAGGAGCTGTGGGGTTTTGTAGACTGTGGATCCCAAACTTTGCAGTATTAGCCAAGTTTTTGTATGAGGTCACAAGGGGGACGGGGACGGGGAATCTTTGGAATGAGGATCCCAACAACAGCAAGTATTTCATGAGTTAAAGGAAAAACTTCTGGCAGCACCAGCCCTGAGGCTACCCGATCTGACAAAGCCTTTTCCATTGTATGCATCAGAGAGAGAAAGGATGGCAGCTGGACTTTGAACCCAAACTGTGGGGCCCTGGCTGAGGCTGGTGGCCTACCTCTGTAAACCACTAGACGGAGTTTCTAAAGGATGGCCCCCCTGTTGGAGGGCCTTGGCAGCAACTGCCCTGCTAGTACAAGAAGCAAATAAGCTGACTCTTGGGCGAAACCTGAACATAAAGGCCTCCCGTGCTGTGGTGATGAATACTAAAGGACGTCATTGGCTAACGAATGCCAGGCTCACCAAGTACCAAACTTTGGTCTGTGAAAATCCCCGTATAACCATTGAAGTTTGTAACACCCTACACCCCGCCACCTTGCTGCCGGTATCAGGGAGCCCTGTCGAGCCTGATTGTGTAGAAGTGTTGGACTCAATTGACTCTAGCAGACCTGAGCTCCGGGACCAGACTTGGGCATCAGTAGACTGGGAGCCACACGTGGATGGGAGCAGCTTCTTCAACCCCCAAGGAGAGAGAGGTGCAGGGTATGCAGTGATAACTCTGGACACTGTTGTTGAAACCAGGTCGTTGCCCCAGGCCACTTCAGCCCAGAAAGCTGAACTCAATGCTTTCATTTGGGCCTTAGAACTCAGTGAGGGTGAGACTGTCAACACTTACACTGATTCTCAGTATGTCTTTTTAACCCTTCAAGTGCATGGAGTGTGATAGAAAGAAAAGGGCCTATTGAATTCTGGGGGGAAAGACAGAAAATATCCACAAGAAATCTTGCAATGATTAGAAGCAGTATGGAAACCCCACAAGGTGGCAGTTAGGCATTGCAGAGGACACCAGCGAGCTTCCACCTTGCTGTGTTTGGGGAATTCCCGCGCTGAGTCAGAGGCTCGAAAAGCAGCAACTGCCCCCTTCTGGGCATCAGTGCTCCCTCAAGCACCTGATCTTGGACCTGCTTCTTCTAAAGAAGAAAGGACTTTCTCCAGGTAGAGGGAAGGACAAGTGATGGAGGAAGGATGGATTCAGTTACCAGATAGGAGAGTAGCTGTGCCACAGCTGCTAGGAGCTGCAGTTGTACTGGCTGTGCAAGAAAACACCCATCGAGGTCAGGAGTCACTGGAAAAGTTGTTAGGCCGGTATTTCTACATCTCGCCTTTGTCAACCCTTGCCAAAACGGTGAGGCAGCGGTGTGTTACCTGCTGACAGCAAGATGGGAGTCAAGGTCCAGCCGTTCCGCCCGGCATACGAGCTTGTGGAGCAGCCCCCTTTGAAGGTCTCCAGGTGGACTTCACGGAGATGCCAAAGTGTGGAGGTAACAAGCATGTACTGGTTCTTGGGCGTACCTACTCTGGGTGGGTGGAGGCCTATCCAACACGAACTGAGAAAGCTGGTGAAGTAATCCCTGTGCTTCTTCGAGATGTGATTCCTAGATTTCGACCGCCCTTATGGATCGGCTCAGACAACGGGCCTGCGTTTTTGGCTGCCTTGGTACAGAAAACGGCAAAGGTATTGGGGATCGCACGGAAACTACATGCCGCCTCCCGGCCTCAGAGTTCCGGAAAGGTGGAGAGGATGAATCGGACTATCAAAAATAGTACTACTGTCTTCCCCGCTGGATATTTAAAACAACAGCACAAGGGGCGTCAAACCACCTGCTAAATTGGAGGCAATGTTATCCTCTCCCCTCCTCCCCCGGCCCCGGATATTAGAGACAACAACACAGAGGTGATGTACACCCACTGCTTTATTGTGAGTAATATCATCCTCTCCCTTCTTGGATAGTAGGAACAGTATCACACTGTGCGTGTAGGCCTGTCGCGAAATTCAATGGAATGTCATCCTGCGCCTCCCTGGATATGACGAACAATATCACGGGGGATGTACAACTTCTGAGATATTGGGAGTGATGTCATCCTCTCCCCTCTGGAAGTTAGGGACAATATCACAGGGGTAGTGTACACCCTCTGGGATGTTGGGACTAATATCTCACAGGTGTCTGAGAATTCCTCCTCCTGGGACTCTCAGAGGATCCAGAACTGCAGCCGGCCCTCGCTTTGCTGTCCCTGTCCCTGTCCATGTATCTGGTCACGGTGCTGAGGAACCTGTTCAGCATCCTGGCTGTCAGCTCTGACTGCCCCCTCCACACCCCCATGTACTTCTTCCTCTCCAACCTGTGCTGGCCTGACATCGGTTTCACCTCGGCCATGGTTCCCAAGATGATTGTGGACACGCAGTCGCATAGCAGAGTCATCTCTCATGCGGGCTGCCTGACACAGATGTCTTTCCTGCTCCTTGTTGCATGTATAGAAGGCATGCTCCTGACTGTGATGGCCTATGACTGCTTTGTAGCCATCTGTCGCCCTCTGCACTACCCAGTCATCGTGAATCCTCACCTCTGTGTCTTCTTCGTTTTGGTGTCCTTTTTCCTTAGCCTGTTGGATTCCCAGCTGCACAGTTGGATTGTGTTACAATTAACCATCATCAAGAATGTGGAAATCTCTAATTTGGTCTGTGACCCCTCTCAACTTCTCAAACTTGCCTGTTCTGACAGTGTCATCAATAACATATTCATATATTTCGATAGTACTATGTTTGGTTTTCTTCCCATTTCAGGGATCTTTTTGTCTTACTATAAAATTGTCCCCTCCATTCTAAGGATTTCATCGTCAGATGGGAAGTATAAAGCCTTCTCCACCTGTGGCTGTCATCTAGCAGTTGTTTGCTGGTTTTATGGAACAGGCATTGGCATGTACCTGACTTCAGCTGTGTCACCACCCCCCAGGAATGGTGTGGTGGCATCAGTGATGTACGCTGTGGTCACCCCATGCTGAACCTTTTCATCTGCAGCCTGAGAAACAGGGACATACAAAGTGCCCTGCGGAGGCTGGGCAGCAGAGCATTCGAATCTCATGATCTGTTCCATCCTTTTTCTTGTGTGGGTGAGAAAGGGCAATCACATTAAATCTCTTTATCTGCAAATCCTGCCCCTTAGTCACATTCTTTTTGTGGCTTGATGGTTTTTATTCCTTTCCGCATTTCCTTTGTGAATATTGCTTTCTTCGTTATGCCTTTATCTGGAATGAGTGACGATTCTGGGATCCTTGGTTTAGCAGAAACCTCATGACAGAATCTTCTATACCTAGGTGGCCTCTTTTAGTCTCTGAGCAATAACCATGTCATCCAGGTGGAATCACAACCATCATTTTATATACACGAAGTCCTCACTTCGTTTTGGAATTCCCTGAAAACTGACTTTATGGAAACAATGTACAGAAGGTCCTCCAACAGCATTGGTTGTTCAAAGTCGTGTAGTTATACTGTTGATGAAAAATAAGTGGTTTCACTGTACATAATTTTGCTTCAAGGTGAAGTTTCCAAGAGACTTTCAAAGATGTTAAGTGAGGACATACTGTACATCAAATTCATATCCTCTTCCACAGTTCATGTGGAATTTCTTTATAAACTTCTTCTAGAGAATCTATTTAGGCAGGTTCTGTGTAGATATCCATGTCGCCGTTCCTCAATCTTGGCTTTGAGTCAAATCACCTGGGCAGCTTACACATGATGAGGACTGGTTCTCAATACCTGAGATTCTGATTTCCTTGCACCTGTGTGAGTGTGTGGATTTTTTTTTTTTTTCTTTTAAAGCACCAGAGATGGTTCCAATGACGAAGTTTTTAGAGGCATCAAGCTGCAATGAGTAAGAACAGAAATTAATTGTAATATGATTTCTTCAAATATTATCTTCAAATGCATTGTCCATCAACGCCATACAAATGTTTATTATGCTGTTTTTTCTTACCATTTCGCATTTTCTATTTCCTTCCTGTCCTTTTTTTTTTTTTTTTTTTTTTTTTTGAGTCAGAGTTTCACTCTTGTTGCCCAGGCTGGAGTTCAATGGCACGGTCTCGGCTCACTGAAACCTCTGCCTCCCGTATTCAAGCAATTCTCCTGTCTCAGCCTTCCAAGTAGCTGGGATTACAGGCATGCGCTACCATGCCTGGCTATCTTTTTGTTGTTGTTGTTGTTGTATTGTTAGTAGAGACAATGTTTCTCCATTTTGGTCAGGCTGGTCTTGAACTCCTGACCTCAGGTGATCCGGCCGCTTCCGCCTCCCAAAGTACTGGGATTACACGCATGAGGGACCGCGCCCAGCCACCACTTAGCATTTACATTTTGCAATTGTTGAAGTTATAGATTTATACACACATCAATTGCTGATTTGTTATACACTTGCATATACATAAGATGGGAAATAGAAAAGAATAAAATGGGCACGGTATCCCTGAAGTTTCACATTCTGAGACTTTAAAAATATTTGCTCTTTAGAAATTTGTTTCAATAAAGAAACTGTGGTATACACACCCAATGAAGTATTATTCAGCCTAAAGAGGAAGAAAATCCTCTCTGCTGCAGACAAAATGGATGTGATTGCAGGTCTGTATATTAAATGAAATAAGCCAGGCACAGAATGTCAAATATTTCATGTCCTCACTTCTACGTAGGAAGAAAAAAGGAAACCTTGACCAGGCGTGGTGGCTCAGACCTGTAATCCCAGCACTCTGGGAGGCCGAGTCGCACGGATCAATTGAGTCCAGGGGTTCGAGACCCGCTTGGCCAACATGGTGAAACCCCGTCTCTACGGAAAAAACAAACAATTAGCCGGGCGTGGTGACGCGTGCCTCTAGTCTCAGCTACTTGGAGGGCTGAGGCCCAAGAAGCGCTTGAACTCGGGAGACGGAGCTTACAGTGAGCCCGGATTGTGCCTGTGTACTCCAACCTGGGCAACATAAAGAGACTCCATCACACACCTACACACAAAAGGAATCTCAGGAAGGTGGAAAGTATAAAGGTGGTTAGCAGACGCTAGGAAGAAAAGGGTTGGGATGGGGAATGAAGACAAGTGGATAATTGGGTCCCAAAATACAGAAAGATGGAATAAGTGAGTTCTAGTGTTTGATTGTACAGTATGAAAATTTTAGTTCACAAGAATTTCTTGAATATTTCCAGATGCTTTGGTAAGAAACTTCCTAATTTTCTCATTATGCTGGTTTTTCAGCTCTTCTCTTTCTGCTCTTGAAATCATGCTGGTTTTTTGTTTTTTGTTTTTTGTTTTGAGATGGAGTTTCGCTCTTGTTGCCCAGGCTGGAGTGTCATGGTGCAATGTTGGCTCACCGCAACCTCTGCCTCCTGGGTTCAAGCAATTCTCCTGCCTCCACCTCCCGAGTAGCTGGGATTACAGGCATGCGCCTGTAGTAGAGACGGAGGTTTCTCCCTGTCGGTCAGGCTGGTCTTCAACTCCTGACATCAGGTGATCCGCCCACCTCGGCCTCCCAAAGTGCTGGGATTACAGGCTTGAGCGACGCGCCCAGCCCATGCTGTAACATTATCTGTTGTCTGCTGTTGTTTGTTTATTTTGGAGCCCAGAAATAACTTGTCACCTGTATGTTCAAATGATTTTTAACATGAGTGGTAAGAAAGCTCATTGGTGGAAAAACAGCCTTTTCAAGAAATGGTGTTGGAGAAACTTGATTTCCACATGCAGAAGATTGAAGGTGGACCCTATGTCACACCAGGGGCAAAAATTAACACAAACTGGATCAAAGACCTCACCCCAAGCGCTAAAAGAATCATTCGCCTAAAGGAAAACATTGGCCATGCTTTCATGACATCAGATTGGGCAATGTTCTCTGGGATGTGACACCAAAAGCATAGGCAACAAAAGAAAATTAGATTCCTTGGATTACATCGAAATGACAGACACTTTTGTGCAGCAAAATCACGGCAAACTGAGTGAAAAGATAACCCATGGATTAGGAAAAATATTTTCAAAGCGTATATCTGAAAAGAGGCTGATATCCATCATACATAAAGAACAGGCAGAACTAAACAACAAGAAACCCAAAGCATCCCATCAACAATGGTCAGAAGACTCAAGTAGACGTGTTCCTAAAGAAGATATAGCAGTGGCCAATAAGCATCTAAAATGATGTTCAAAATCACTCATCATAGGGAAGCGCAAATCAAACCAAGAATGTGACACCACACATTAGGATGGATATGATAAACAAACAGGATTGGTGAGACTAGAGGGAAGTAGGAATGCTCGAATCTGATCAGAGGGAATGTAAAACCGTGAAGGAACGGGGAAAATAGTATGGTGTCTACTGGAAAAATTAGAAACAGGATGATCAGATGTTGCCGCAGTTGCATTTGTGGGTACCTACAAAAAAGAAGCCAGGAGTGGAAGACAGATTTGTGTACACCCATATTCATAGCAGCATTATTCACAAGAGCCAAAATGTGGAAGCAACCCAAGGGTTCGTGGACAGATGAATGAAAAAGCACACTGCAGTTCCTTCATACAATGGAAGACTATTCAGCTTTCAAAAGGCAGGCACTTCTGGCCGGTGCGGTGGCTCACGCCTGTAATCGCAGCGTCTTGGAAGACCGAGGTGGGCGGATCACCTGAGGTCAGGAATTCAAGACCAGCCTGGCCATCTTGGGGAAACCCTGTCCCTACTGAAAATGCAAAAAATGAGATGAGCATGGAGGCGTGTGCCTATAGTCCCAGCTACTCGGGAGGATGTGGCACAAGAATCACTGGAACCCGGGAAGCGGAGGTGAGCCCAGATTGTGCCACTGTACTCCAGCCTGTGCGACAGAGTGAGACTCCATGGAAACACAAAACAAAACAAAGTCAAACGAACAAACAAACAACAACAACAACAAAAAAAACAGACAGGCACTTCTGAGGCAGGCCGCAACATGGATGAACCTTGAAGACATTATCGTCAGTGAAATAAATAAATCCCAAAAGGATAAACAGGCCCAGGCTCAGTGGCTCGCACCTGTAACACCAGCACTTTGGGAGGCTGAGCCAGGCGGATCACTTCAGGTCAGGAGTTCGAGACCAGCCTGGCCAATATGGTGAAAGCTCGTCTCTATTAAAAATACAAAAATTAGCTGGGCGTAGTGGTGCAAGCCTGTAATCCCAGCTACTCGGGAGACTGAGACACAAGAATCGCTTGAACCCACGATGTGGAGGTTGCAGTGAGCCGAGATCACGCCACTGCACTCCAGACTGGGTGAGAGAGAAAGACTCTGTCTCCAAAACAAAAAAATTAAACACGGTATGATTCCACTTATCTATCAAGTGTCTAGAGTAGTTAAACTCATAGAGTTGCAAACTAGAAAGGTGGCCCCCAGGGGTGGGTGAGAGAAAGGAATGGAGAGCTTGGTGAATGGGTGGAATTTCCATTTTGAAAGATAAAACTGTTCCTGAGATGATGGCGGTGATGCTTGCTAAATAATGTGAACGTACTTAATGTCAATAATCTGTAAACTGAAAAAGAGTGGAAATTGTAAATGTTTATACTGGCCATTCTATATGAACTAATATATATTTATAATTTTTAATATTTATACGTGGTATATTTTCCCATTATAAAAGATGAAAATTAAAGCAGTTGGATGTTTAAAAAGAAAAGAAAGAAGCGAAGAATACACACCAGCTTTCTTCTGATTAGAGGAGGAGCCCCAAAGTTTCTATGGACACTCACTTTTCTCTTCTTCTTCTTGCATTATTGTGAGGACATCCTTAGAGGTTGGGGAACTTGGGCAGCTTTGGCTAATGAGGAGCTCTGTGCCTGAGCCCCCCAGGCCACAGGATAGTAAATACTCAGTCTGTGCCTCCAGCCCTGCAGTGTGAGGTTGCAGTCCTGTGGTCTCCACAGCCGTCACCTGTATCAGGAGGCTCATGTCTCACCCTGTCTTCTTGCCAGCCTTGAGGACGGAGTCTGAGCCTCCATGGTGCACCACGCAGGGAGGACAGTGGACCTGTTCTCCGTGGTCATGTCCCAGCAGAGGGGAGAGGCAGTTCAGTGAGTGTAGGGAAAAGAAAGAGAGATCAGACTCTTACTGTGTCTATGTACAAAGGAAAGACATAAGAGACTCCATTTTGAGAAAGACCTGTACTTTCAACAATTGCTTTGCTGAGATGTTGTTAATCTGTAGCTTTGCCCCAGCCACTTTGCCCCAACCTGAAGCTCACAAAAACATGTGTTGTATGAAATCAAGGTTTAAGGGATCTAGGGTTATGCAGGACGTGCCTTGTTAACAAGATGTTTCCAAGCAGTATACTTTGTAAAAGTCATCGCCATTCTCTAGTATCAATAAACCAGGGGCACAATACACTGTGGAAAGCCGCAGGGAGACCTGCCCTTGAAAGCAGGGTATTGTCCAAGGTTTCTCCCCATGTGATAGTCTGAAATATGGCCTCGTGGGATGAGAAAGACCTGACCATCCCCCAGCCCGCCCCCCGTAAAGGGTCTGTGCTGAGGTGGATTACTCAAAGAGGAAAGCCTCTTGCAGTTGAGAGAGAGGAAGGCCGCTGTTTCCTGCCTGCCCCTGGGAACTGAATGTCTCGGTATAAAACACGATTGTACATTTGTTCAATTCTGAGATGAGAGAAAAACCACCCTATGGTGAGAGGCGAGACATGTTTACAGCAATGCTGCCTTGTTATTCTTTACTCCACTGAGATGTTTGGGTGGAGAGAAACATAAATCTGGCTTACGTACACATCCAGTCATAGTACCTTTCCTTGAACTTCCTTATGAAGTAGATTCTATTTCTCACATGTTCGTTGCTGACCTTCTCCTTATTATCACCCTGTGCTCCTACTACATTCCTTTTTGCTAAAATAATAAAAATAATAGTCAATAAAAACTAAGGGAACTCAGAGGCCTGTGCCGGTGCAGGTCCTTTGTATGCTGAGCGCCGGTCCCCTAGGCCCACTGTTGTTTCTCCATACTTTGTCTCTGTATCTTATTTCTTTTCTCAGTCTCTCGTCCTACCCGACTGGAAATACCCACAGCTGTGGAGGGGGAGGCCACCCCTTCAAGTGAGTGCTGAGGGACGTTCGGGAGACTTGTTTGTTTCCTCATCCTCAGGACAAACAGGAGAGTGCGGTGGGCAGATGTGAGGAGACCAATATGCAACTCTCTGCTCAGCAGACTGTGCAGTTTATGTTCTTGGTTGTGCTGGGGGTCTCAGAAATCTTATTCAAAATTTTGCTTTCCTCCCCCACTGGTTGTCCTTCTCATAAACATCTCACCCATGATAGCAGGGAATCAGCCCCTCTAGCTATTCCCTAAGAACAACAAAGAGATTATGAAGGTGATGATGAGGATAAAGAGGATGACGACAGACACCATGGCATCATGAACCCTTACTGAGGGCTTCCTAAAGGCCAGGCTCTGAGCTCTGTGCTCTATGCAGCTTGTTTCATTTCATCTGCATAGTCTCCCAGTTATTAGTGCACATTTCATGATGATTTTACAGACTAGAAAAAGCTCAACGGATTTTCACGTAGCTTGTACCAGATCACGAAGTCAAAAAGGGTGAAGTCCAATTTGAACCAGGCAGTCTAAGTCCAGACACATGTCATTTGGGAAGTCCTCTCCCTGCAACCAACCTGCCCTCTCAAATCCTCGTCACTCAGGCGGATGCCCCTGCTCACTGTGCCCTTCCCTTTGGGGGTTCCTTGTAGACCACAGCTAGACCAGTGGGTGCCACAATCACTGTGTCATGTATAGAAAGGGCAGCTGAGATCACATCAAGGATTCCAGAAAGAATTTGCACAGGATCATTCGGGACGCATCTCTCCCTTGCCCCTGTTCCTGGCTTTCCTTACAGCTCTCAACTTCCTCAAAGGAGTCATCAATTCGGAGTTTGGCTTCCATTCCTATTGAGGAAGATGGAAAGTGTTTCAAAAATGCTCCTCCGATGTGCCTGTGGTTAAGACCTCTGAGCTCTGCTTAAAACTCTTTGAAGCTGGGCGCGTTGGCTCACGTGTGTAATCCCAGCCCTTTGGGATGCTGAGGCAGGCGAATCACAAGGTCAGGATTTCGAGACCAGCCTGGCCAACATGGTGAAACCCTGTTTCTACTAAAAATACCAAAAAAACTCAAAAAAATTAGCCAGGCATGGTGGCATACGCCTGTCATCCCAGCTACTGGGGAGGCTGAGACAGGAGACTCCTTTGAAGCCGGGAGACAGAGGTTGCAGTGAATCGAGATCACGCCACTGCACTCCTGCCTGGGCAACAGAGCAAGACTCCGTCTCAAAAAAATAAATAAATAAAAATTACGAAAAAAAGTGCTTGGATGGGCTTGGCAAACTTTAGCCATTAGCTCACGTACCACTTTGGAAGGGCATACCTTCAGTCACTTCACCCTTTAATCCCTTTGCTCAAGACTAAAGTTCTGAGAGGAAGACTAATCGGCTGAGTTGTGTCCATGTGGGCAGTGCAGGAAAGGATGCAGCGGGACGCTGCTCCAGGGACGTCTTTGGCTTCCATCATGGGGGAGCAGGCGCCTGGATTATCCACCCTAACAAATCTGGGCAAAGGAAAACGAGGTTCTCCGAGGAAGGAGACATAGAGCCCAAGGAGCTAACCAAGAGACAAATAGTCATCCTGTCTTGTCATTTTCTTTTACACATGTGTGTACATTATTTTACACTTATCACTTTGTTTTCTTTCTCTCCTTTAATTGCACCCTGCTGCCAAAAGTTAAAATAAAATGAAAGTATTGAGATAGCTCAGTAACTGACTTTTGGTCAATTGCCTTTTCATATAGTGAACAGCTGCCCAAACGATTGTCTCTGTCACTGTGCAAATTTGCAAGCGTTTGCATGATCACTCCCACTCCCCCAATACAGAGCTGTGTTACAGCACAATTTAGTTCAGTGTTTTGCTCTCTGCAACAGGGAGGTTCTCATCCATTACACGTTGCAGTAAAAACAGGGGTACCATAAGCAACCAGCTCTTTCCTCAACGAGGTGATGAAAGCAAAAGCCAAGTAGCTCCATGTATCCAACTTAAAAATATAAAAGTTACGCCCGTGGGCTGCAGTTGGAGCTATGGCGGCGGCAGCTGTCACTGGGCCTAGCCCGGGGTGTGGACCTGGGGACTCCCCAGAAGGGCCCGAGGGGGAGGCTCAAGGAGCGTCGGTGGAAGGCGGACAGGATGCTGAAGTTTTACAACGGCCTCTCGGAAGTGGAGGCGGTGGGACTCCCCGCGGGGACCGAACCCCTGGACCCCACTGATCTGAACGGGGTGCACTTCGACCCGGAAGTTTACCTAGACAAGCTTCCTAGAGAGTGCCCTCTGGCCCAGCTGATGGATAGTGAGACGGACATGGTGCAGCAGATCAGGGCTCTAGACAGCAACATGCAAACCCTGGTCTATGAGAACTACAATAAGTTCTCATAGACCCAGCCACAGAAATTGACACACAGCATAAAACTGTAAGAGGAATTGCAGGAGACCCAGAATTTCCCAAATAACCTTGTAAAAGAAGAACAAATTTGGAAGACTCACAAAAAAAAAAATATATATATATATATATATATATATATACACATTATATATATACATATATATATAAAGTTGTGTTTTCATTCAGTTGTAAATGTTTAGTAATTTCTATTATGATTTTTCATTTAACTCATGAAAGGATATTTTTAATTTTCCAAATATATGCTTGCGTTTAGCTATCTTCTTGCTGTTGACTTCTAATTTTGTGGCATTATGGTCAGGAAAATGTGCTCTGGACACTGTCAATCGTATAGTGGATTTTGTTGAGACTTATTTATGGCCTAATATGTGGCCAGTTTTTTTTTTTTTTTTTTTTTTTTTTTTTGCAAATTTGCCACATGTGGTTAAAAGGAATGTGGATTTTTTTTTTAGGAGAGTTTTTATTTTTAAATAGATAAGGTTCTCAGTGTAATTGAAATCTAACTTCAGTTAACAATATGCTAGACCTCTCAAACCTCAGGATGTTAGTCAGTGTAACAATAGACTGCTGCTGAGACGAATAAACTCTGAACTCTCAGTGGGTTGACACCCATAGCATAGTCTGGTGCAGGGTAGGGGTTCTCTTTGGGGGCCCTTGTCCAACAGTGATTCAGAGATTCTGCAGGTTTCCATCTTTTAATTCTGCCATCTCAGAGTTTTTCACTTGTAGCCATATGAATAGGAAGAGAGGGAACATAGCTCACACTTTGATAACCTTGGCCCAGAAGTGATTTCTTACATTCCTATTGGTGGAAATGCAGTCACATGGTTCCAAACTAACTGCAAGTGAGGCTGGGAAATGTAGTCTTTCTGCATGTCCAGGAAGAGGAATGGTGTGAACACAGTATTGTCTTTGACACACTAAGCATGTGCTGAAGAGTTCTTACTCTCATAGGAGGTTTGTCTGTCCTGTGTAACTTTCTCAGATTTTGCTTAGATAGTTTCAGGCAATGCTGTTTGGTGCATTCAGCTTGATGATTATTATGCCCTCTTGGCAAAGCAGTCAAGATTCCCATCAGTTTGAATGAAAGTGTTTTACAGATAGGTCAGGAAATGTTAATACTTTAAAAGGCCCTTCTATTCCTCCACTCTACAGATAAGAACAACAGAGTCTTAGAGAGAGGAGGTCACGGGTCTCACTCATGAGTGGCAGAATTGAAACCAATGTGGCACTAACTTTGCCTTTCCCCCATCATGTTGTTCTCCTTCTATCTTCACTCTGCTGATTTCTTCACTTGCTCCATACAGACCTCCCAGTGCCAAGTGTATAAGTGTGTCCAGAATTGGTGGGTTCTTGGTCTCACTGACTTCAAGAATGAAGCTGTGGACCCTCCTGGTGAGTGTTACAGTTCTTAAAGGTGGTGTGTCTAGAGATTGTTCCTTCTGATGTTCAGATGTGTTTGAAGTTTCTTCCTTCAGGTGGGGCTCGTGGTCTCGCTGGCTCAGGAGTGAAGCTGCAGATCTTCACGGTGAGTGTTACAGCTCTTACGGCTGCAGGTCTGGAGTTGTTCATTTCTCCCAGTGGGTTCATGGTCTTGCTGGCTTCAGGAGAGAAGCTGCAGACCTTCTCGGTGAGTGTTACAGCTCATAAAGTCAGTGTGGACCCAAAGAGTGAGCAGCAACAAGATTTATTGCAAAGAGCAAAAGAACAAAGCTTCCACAGTGTGGAAGGGGACCCCAGTGGGTTGCCACTGCTGGCTCGGGCAGCCTGCTTTTATTCTCTTACCTGGCCCCACCCACATCCTGCTGATTGGTCCATTTTACAGAGAGCCTGAGTGGTCTGTTTTGACAGGGCACTGATTGGTGCGTTTACAATCCCTGAGCTAGACACAAATGCTCCCCACGTCCCCACTAGATTAGCTAGATACAGAGTGTCCAAACAAAGGTTCTCCAAGTCCCCACCCTAGTAGCTAGATACAGAGTGTCAATTGGTGCATTCATAAACCCTGAGCTAGACACAGGGTGCTGATTAGTGTGTTTACAAACCTTGAGCTAGATACAGAGTGCCAATTGGTGTATTTCCAATCCCTTACCTAGACATAAAGTTCTACAAGTCCCCACCAGACTCAGGAGCCCAGCTGGCTTCACCCAGTGGACCCAGCACAGGAGCTGCAGGTGGAGCTGCCTGCCAGTCCCTCTCCATGCACCCACACTCCTCAGCCCTTGGGTGGTCGATGGGACTGGGTGCCATGGAGCAGGGGGCGGTGCTCATCGGGGAGGCTTGGGCCGTACAGGAGCCCACAGAGGGGCGAGGCTAAGGAATGGCGGGCTGCAGGTCCCGAGCCCTGCCCCGCAGGGAGGCAGCTAAGGCCCAGTGAGAAGTCGAGCACAGCAGCTGCTGGCCCAGGTGCTAAGCCCCTCACGGCCCGGGCCGGCAAGGCCAGCCGGCAGCTCCTAGTGCAAGGCCGCCAAGCCCACGCCCATCCAGAACTCCAGCCGGCAGGCAAGCAGCACACGTAGCCCCAGTTCCAGCTCATGCCTCTCCCTCCATGCCTCCCTGCAAGCTGAGGGAGCCAGCTCTGACCTTGGCCAGCCCAGAAAGGGGCTCCCACCATGCAGCCGTGGGCTGAAGGGCTCCTCAAGTGCTGCCAAAGTGGGAGCCCAGGCAGAGGAGGTGCCGAGAGTGAACGAGGGCTGTGAGGGCTGCCAGCACGCTGTTACCTCTCATAAGGAGTGATTAATCTGAGCTTCTCCAGAAAGTCCATTCCTGGTAGGCACTGGGAATAAGAAATCTCAGAGTATAAAAAAACATCAAGTGGTAACACTTTTGTGAGTGGCTCCCAAATTAGATCCTTTACCTTTTTTTTCATGAAGCACAGTTGCCCAAAACACGCTTAGCCTGAGGTGAAGCACATATTAGAGAAAAGTTCTCTCTATAGCATTATGTATTACTCAAATGAGCATTAAAAAGAGGAGACGGGACATGCTCTCTCTAGCTATTATTACCTGCACTATAGAGTTGACATACACAAGCTCATTATTGCATTATGTTTTATTCAACAAAATAACTTTAATGTTGAAGCTTAAACTGAATTCGCTAAAACATCTGTCTCCAGCATAGTGTGCCTCAAGTGTCTCCTTGGTGCCTGAATTTTCTCCAGAATTATCGTGCTGAAGCTATGGAAATGGTGAAATTATATGCAATCTGCAAAACAATGTGGCTATAACGTGGTAATTGGCCTTCCACATAATTAAAGGAACATTTCCTCGTCAGAGCTGTTCCATCAGAGACCCAAAGGCTATCGTTGTACAAATCACCCACTTAGGAAAACCTTTATTCCCAGTAGCCTATAAAAATCTGCTTATGCAAACAGATTTGCTTATTCAGTAACATTAATGGCTTCTCATAGTTAAAAAGTCATCAATGTGATTGACCTATAATCTGCTTCCTCTGTGACGAAGTGTCATTTTTATTTTGACAGTTAGGAGCCTTTTGACTCTTTCACAGCTGGCATGAAGGCACAGGGAGGGAAATCTCAAAAACCAACAACCTGTGTATTCCCAGCCTATTAATCAATAGAAAATCACTTCAACTGGATTAGGGTCTTGTACCTGGCAGAAAGGCTCTTATGGACATTGGAATTGGATTTTTACACTTGATATGACACCTCCTTGAGTCAGATCAGATTCGTGTTTGATAGACACTTGCTGAAAAATTGCTCCAGGGTCTGTGCAGTAGCTAAAGCCTTTTTATTGTTGTTGTTTTAAAAGCAGCATTAAATATTTTCATGAAGACCTTCCCAGCAGTTATTTTATTGGGAATATGGTCTTTAGCTCTGGTCCTGAATAACTCACACTGAGGAAACCTCTAACAAGTGTTTTATTGGAAGATGTCTGATGGATGGTTGGTTTTAATAACAAATCTCTTCCCTTTTTCTGTCCCCTGTGTTCTATTCTCCTTTCTTACACATTATTCTGGGAGGATTCACCTATTCCCAAAGTCCTTTCCTCTTTATTTCCATTCCAGAGCTCTCTGTATAACTCCAGGCTGATGAATCCAGCTGCCCAGTTGTTATCTCCACTTGGCTGTCTGTCTTGCATTGACCTCATCTTACCTTTCCTCTCCTGATTTCCTCTTCTGCCAGGGCTCACCACGTCAGATTCACACCACCATCCACCCAGCTTCCAAATCACCTGGGCCTCCTCCTTCATTCCTCCCTCTTTCTCAGTCAAGTTAGTCTACTGTCTCCTCTCCATCCTCACTGCCACAGCCTTGGTCCAGCCAACCATCTTGTCTCACTTGGCGTATTGCAGCCTCCTACCTGGTCTACTCACCACCCACTCTCCTCCAGCCAGACTACTCTTCTTCTAGCACAAAGTGGATCATTACTCCCCTGCATAAAAACATCTACTGTCTCCCTTTGTCTACAGGATAGACACGACAAAGAGCCTTTAAGATTTGCCTCCAACTTACCTCTATATTAGTCACTTTTTACAATTATATGAACATCTCTCAACTCCTCACCCTCCACGTCTCGATTTTTACACATGCTCTTCCCTCTGCTGGGAATGATCTTCCACACCTCTCCTATCAACCTGGCTAGTTCCTTCCATTTTCTAGTCTTCAACTGAGGAGTCCTGTGGTGGAGAAGGATTTCTCACCACCTGATATAGATTGCATGCCCACCCACCTCCGAGCTTTTTCTTTTTTCTTTCTTTTTTTTTTTTTGAAAGAGTCTCGCTCTGACCATGCAGGCTGGAATGCAGTGGTGCGATCTTGGCTCACTGCAATCTCCACCACCCGGGTTCAAGCAATTCTCCCACCTCAGCCTTCTGAGTATCTGGAATTACAGGTGCCCGCCACCACATCTGGCTAATTTTTTTGTATTTTTAGTAAAGACAGGATTTCACCATGTTGGCCAGGCTGTTTTTGAACTCCTGGCCTCAAGTGATCCACCCACCTTGGCCTCCCGAAGTGCTGGGAATACAGGCATGAACAACTGCACCTGGCCGATTGGGTGCCCCTTCTATGTGCTCCCATTGCCCCAGGCATAGTGTCACCATAACTCTTACCATTCTGAGTTGAAAATGATTTTTTTTTTTTTGCTTTTTTTTCTCTCATTAAATGCAAAGCTTATTGAAAAGAGGACAGTGGTTGTTCACTGTTGTACTCCTAACCTTTGACTCAGTGTCCTTAGGTTGGCTCTACAGCTGTGCACACATGTTCAGACATTGGAGCACATCTTGTCTAGCACCTCTTTTGTGGTGGCTTAGAGAAAAGTCAGTAGGTACTTCCCCAAGGATGAAACAGAAGCTTCACCTAAACCAGTTCTTCAACTTCAGCCTGCATTAGAATACTCTGAGAGCTTGTTAAAAATACCATCTCCTGGAGCCCACTCTTCAAGAGTCGGTGAGTTTCTTCATCATCAAAATATACACAGAATTCAGGCAGTCTTCAGCCCCAGCCTGGTCTGAGCCTCTGTGGACTCCCACCTGCAGAATGTCCCTGCTTCTGCTCTTACCTTCTTATTAACCATTCGAGTAGCCGGGGTGATCCTTTTTAAAAATTTTTTTAAATTTTTTTGTGATGAAGTCTCACTCTGTTGCCCAGGCTGGAGTGCAGTGGTGCTATCTCAGCTCGCTGCAGCTCTACCTCCTGGGCTCAAGCAATCCTCCCACCTCAGCCTCCTGGGTAACTGGGAACACAGACATACACCACCACACCCGGCTAATTTTTGTATTTTTTGTAAAGACACGGTCTTGCTATGTTGCCAGGCTAGTCTTGAACTTCTGTGTGCACCCACCTCAGCCTCCTGAATTTTTAGGAGGCCCCTCTTGTAGGGATTTTGATCCAGATGCCTGGGTGCCTCATGTCTCCTCCCATCTCTCTCTGTCTTTCTGTCTCTGTCTCTCTCTCTCTCTTTCTCTTTGCCTTATAGCTGCCCTGAGGTCTAGACTCTCCCTTAGGCATCCCTCTGGCTCTTGTTTGCTTTTATACTGAGGCTGCTTTAAATTGCACCTTGATCTGAAGCCTTGGGCTTCTGTTCCTATTCCTTGCTTTTGTTGGAAGGGCCGTGCAGCTTCTTGACAAATTGCAAAGGTGCCCACGAGTTTCCAAGTCCCCAAGAACCAAACCAGATGACAAACAAGGATGCAGTCCACAGCTGTGGAGACAGATTTCATGTCCACACAGAGACTCCAAGATGCTGAACTGAAATCCACCTCGAAACCTGTTTTCTCTCTCATTTAAGTTCATTGTCACCTGGGGGCTTGCAGGGCAGAGCTGGTGACCATTCTCAGGGCAAAGATGCTTTGAAATGTCAACTGAGAATGGTGTGGTGGTTGACAGATGGCACGTCAGAGCATAGATTAACATGGAAAGAGAAACTCACCCCTTGTGGGGAGTGTGTGAGGCTGGCAGCCACACAGAGGGCTTTTCCTGTGAGCTCTTGCATAGATGCAAACAGCCAGGAGGTTTTGCTTTCTGATCCTAAGTGGAAGCATGTTCTTCCCTGCAAATTGCCGCTCTGCAGCAAATGTTTATTCCTGTTGCATTGATTAAAAGTGCTTACCAGGCCGGGCGCGGTGGCTCACGCCTGTAATCCCAGCACTTTGGGAGGCCGAGGCAGGCAGATCACAAGGTCAGGAGATTGAGACCATCCTGGCTAACACGGTGAAACCCCGTCTCTACTAAAAATACAAAAAATTAGCCAGGCATGGTGGCGGGCACCTGTAGTCCCAGCTACTTGGGAGGCTGAGGCAGGAGAATGGCATGAACCCAGGAGGCGGGGCTTGCAGTGAGCCGAGATTGTGCCACTGCACTCCAGCCTGGATGACAGAGCAAGACTCCGTCTCAAAAATACAAAGTGCTTACCGAAGTGGTTTGAGGGCAGCGGTGACACTGTGAGTTATGGCTCTGCCGGCTGCCAGTGGAGCCAGCCTCTCTGCACAGCCGTGCAAGGGTGTTTTGAAAAGTGGCTCAGCCGGCCAGGAGTGACTGGCTGTAAATATTGCTGCCAGAACATCTTGTAGCCTGATTGGGGCCGTGTTTGCAGAACCCCTAAACCACTACACTTGTTCAGGCTTAAAAATAAGCTTACATTTTTTTGTTTGTTTTGTTTTGTTTTATGAGATGGAGTCTAATTCTGTCACCAGGTTGGAATGCAGTGGCATGATCTTGGCCCACTGCAACCTCTGCCTCCTGCGTTCAAGTGATTCTCCTGCCTCAGGCTCCCGAGTAGCTGGGACTATAGGCGTGTGCCATCATGGCCAGCTAATTTTTGAATTTTTAGTACAGACGGGGCTTCACCTTGTTGGCCAGGATGGTGCGATCTCTTGACCTCGTGATCTGCCCGCCTTGGCTTCCCAAAGTGCTAGGATTACAGGCGTGAGCCACCGTGCCTGGTCAAACATAAACTTACTTTCTTACCTCTTCTGCTGAACTCTATGTGCTTCTTTTCGCAACTTCTGCTGAACTCTATTTTGCTTCTTTTTCCTGGATAAGGCTCTTGTTTATCCAGAAGAACTTTTAGCAACAAAGTTACCCAATGCCCTTCCCTAGTCTCTCCTTGCAACTGGTTTTCAGTGGTGGGGGTGGTGGGTAGGAGGAAATCCTTGACAGAACCAATTTACATGACTGTTTGGAGGACTCTCACTAGCCCCAGGAGGTGTTTACATTTTGAAATTGGTTACTAGTGTCAGAATGTTTCATGAGTAAGAGCACAGCCTCTAAGTTGGATACCCTGAATTTAAGTCTCAACATGGCCATTTTGTATATAAGCAGAGGATGGATTTGGGGACCCAATGGATCTACCATGACATGAACTTGGACCAACATTCACCTGACCTCCAAAATGCCTATTCTGACTGGTAGACCCTAGTCTCGCCCTAGTGCCAGTTCAGAGCCTGTGTCCAGTGGTCTTGCACAGGTCCCATTAGTTCCTTTTCTCCTATTCAGTCATCCCGGTAAAGGCTGTGTATTCCCTTGGGGCCAGGCTGGGAGAAAGATTGACAGTATAAATTTTTGGCAGTGGAGCAGAGTCCTTTCTGGAGGGGACCTGGCTTCCCATTCAGACAAGGGACTCCAGGTCTGTGAACTGGCTTATGTCTGGGAATTGACGGGGGACTGTGACTCTGTTTTTATGATTCAGATTAGACTTCTGCTCACCTGACCTAGAATTCTTCTGCAAACACAGATCCAGTAAAAATGTGGCAGGCTTCTTATCTATTTCAGTTCTAGGAAAGCCACGATCAGCAGGCACCATAGGTCTCTGCGAGTCAGGCTATTCTGGTTGCAGCTTTGACTCTGCTGTCTTTTATGGTAACTGCATCCACCTTGCCTTTGGGGATTGAGTGCTCTGATCACTTGACCCCAGCCCCTGTAGTGTGCGTATGTCACTTACCCTCTTTATACCTCAGTCTCCTCCTCTATAAAATGGGCATCCTCATTGCACCCACCCCCAGGGCTGCTGTGAGGTATAGATGGATTAGCATATGGAAAGTAATAGAAGAGGGTCTCAAAGCCCATGTGTCGTTATCAGAATTATTTCATGATGGGGAGAGCTGGAGGAGAGAGGAAGGTGCTGAGCAGACCCACGTGCTCTCCCACCAGTGTTTCCTGAGCACCTACTATGTGCTGCCCACTGTGAGAGCTGTTAGGGTTGAAATAGGGAGCACAGCAGGATAGGAGCTGCCATTAGGAGCTTAGTGGGGAAACCGTTGTGCAACATGGTTACAGTGCTTGGGGTGGGGAAGGTCAGGGAGTACGGGGGCCTAGGATCCAGGGCAGAATCATGGAAAGGACACAGCCGCCCCAGCCTCCCCTGCCTCCCCTGCCTCCCTGACCTCCTCTCTTCCCTGGCCTCTCCTGCCTTCCTGGCTTCCCCTTCCGCCCCGGCCTCCCCAGTCTCCCCTGTCTTTCCTGCTTTTGAGGTGGGCCAGGAGCTGCTGGTGCTCACTTAGTCTGTCCTGGACTCTGGGTGTAGCACTTCGATGTCCAGAAAATACCCCCGGGTTCAGCTTATCACACAGCCAAGAAAGGAGCTCCACACTGACACTAAGGGTGCATCCTGGGCTCATTCATCAGGACATGCCTCCAAAATATTTCTCCATGTCTCCTCCCTTTGCCCACCTGCATTGTCTCTGTGCGTCAGCCCCAGCTGGGGGCCTGCAAGGATCCTCTATCTCCTCTGCCCCTGCACGGCTGGGTCTCAGACAATCTGTCTGCCCACCACACCTCTCTCCTGTTGCCCACCACGCTCCAGCCCCACAGTCCTCTTTCTGCTTCTTTCCCAGCCTCTGGGCTTTTGCACACGCTGTTCCCTCTGCCTGAACACCCTCCACTGGGCTGAGAACAACTCTCTGAGACCTCTCTCAGCTGTTGCTTCCTTTGGAAAAGCCGCTGCTTCTGTCCCTCTCCCAGCTCAAAGACGTGCTGAGCCTCCTGTCTTTTTCAGTTCCCATGCCCCCAGCACTTCTCCTTGGCCTCCTTTGGCCCAGTTGACAATGTCCATTCTCAATGCCTTCCCACCCAGAGCTGAGCCCCACTGGGTGAAGGCAATGCCTGTCATGTTCTCCACAATATCCCCTCCCCCATCACCACGACTGGTCCACAGTGATGCTCAAAAAAGATCTGTTGGTAGGCAATGGGAAGGTGCATTCATGTCATCCTGCAGGAGGAATTCTCCACGAGTTTTGAGCAGCCTCGGGTTTCCCACCACCTCCAAATCATGGAAGACACAGGGTAAGAGCAAAGACAAGGTGGCTTTGGCCGATGTCCACCCTCTCGTGGCGTCCCTTCTCTTCTCTCCTCCTTGAGCAGGGAGACCATCGGGGTGCAACCTGGCCGGGGCGGGGAGGAGGTGCAGGGCATTGCCAGAGCGGGCCTGTCCATGGGCAAGGGATAGCGACCTCCTGGGCCAGGACATGTGAGAGCTACGCAGGCCTGGGCCCGGCGTGGCGGAGGTGCGCGAGAGCGGCCAGAAGAGGGCGCCAGAGTGCCAGGAGCCGCCCGCGGAGGAGCCCGCACCGGCCCCGATACCCAGCTCCGCGCCGCGCGGACCCACCGAGCCCGTGCTCAGACGCCCCAGCTCCGCCGAGAGGCCGCTCGCGCCGTGTCCTTCTTCTTCCCCAAGTTCAGGCAGAGCCCCCGGAGCCATGGCCAGCCCTTCCAGCAGCTCCGAAGCCACTGGCAAGCCCCGAGGCAGGGATGGCCGGCCCAGAAGGGAGGAGGAGGAGGACGTCCCTCCCGAAGAGAAGAGGCTGGGGCTGTAGCTGGAGGGGGGAAGCGCACAGCCCGAGGACTGCGAGGACAGGGAGGACCCGCCGCTGCCGGGCACGAAGGAGACCGGCACCCAGACAGGTGGCGACGGCAAAGGAGTAAGTGACGCGGGCGCGGGGGTGCCGGGGACGCGACGAAGGGACGTCGGGAGGCTCCGTGGCCGTCCCCGGGTTGAAGTTGGGAGTGCAGCCTTCATTCTGAACCCATTTAGGCAGCATGGGCAGCCCTCCTCGCCATGGGCAGGATCAGAGCCCCCCCGCCCAGTCTTGGGGTTGCTCCTGGATGCTGTCTGGGAGGCTTGCTCATGGTGACATCCTCATCTCCCCGTCCACGTTACCGCATTCAGAGCTTGGGTCACCTGGACACTGAACTCAGGTGAATTTTCTCTGAGATCCCGGGAGAAGGAGGACAGTTCTTTGGAAGGTTTTCCAGGGCCGATCACGGAAAGGATGAGAAGGGAGAGGTCCTGGTCGGGGACACAATTATGGTGGCAGTGTAACGCCGGGAAACTTTATTGCATGAAGTCCCTCTCACTCCCTCTACCTCCCTCTTTTACGTGGACTCTGCCAAAGACCAGGATACCAGAATGCGGTGGAGAGGCCAAGTGTAGTGAGACCTTGGGAATGCGATTCTGGAGCCAGGCGGCTGGGGTTTGCATCCTGGTTCTGCCCTTCCTTAGCTGGCTGACATGGCACAAGCCACTTACCCTGTCTGAGCCTTACTGTCTTCAGTGGCAAATGGATCTGTCAACAGGCTCCATTGCCTGGGGTTGTTGCTGCTGAGATTAAGGGAAGCTCGTCCATAGAAGCACTTAGCGTTGTGCCTGGCACATAGTGTATGGTGGATAAGTGGGACTTAAGACTAAAACTCATGCCCTGATGTGTTTTTGCAGTGATGTTTTGTTCTGGAGTACTTCACAAGAGACAAGGTCCTTGGCTGGGCATGGTGGCTGAAGCCAATAATCCCAGCACTTTGAGAGGCCGAAGGGGGAGGATCGCTTGAGCCCAGGAGTTTAAGACCAGCCTGGGCAACATGGTGAAGCCTCATATCTACCAAAAAAAAAAAAAAAAAAAAAAAAAGGCAGTTATGGTGGTGTGTGCCTGCAGTCCCAAGTACTTGGGAGGCTGAGGTGGGAGGATTGCTAGAGCCTGGAAGGTTGGGTTGCAGTGAGCTGTGATCACGCCACTGCACTTCAGCCTGGGTGACAAAGTGAGACCGTTTCAAGGAAAAGAGAGAGAGAGACAGACAGACCCACAAGAGTCTTAAGCCAGAATCTCCATGTTAAAATGCTTTCTGGAGGCTAAAAGGATGATATGTTGATAATGAAATGTTTAAAAGGCAGAAACCCCGCTGAATTTTTTGGTCCACAGAGGGAAATGGGAATAGCATGACCTGAAGGATGATGGATGAACTGAATAGAAACCATCCTTGTTTCCTGAATCTGAACATGGCACCCTCTTTTCATGGTGCCTGTATCTGCTCAGTCCGGCAGCCCCTTGAAAAGAGGGAATCTTGATTTTCAAACTTAAAATTTGGCCCAAAGCTCGCTGCTGCCCACAATGCCCGCCAGACACATTCCTCTTCCCTTTTAGTTCCTATGGGAATACTCTCTTTGAAGAACCCATGAAGCAGTGTCAGGCTGGTACGAGGATCAGCAGTGATTTCTTTGAGGAGGAGAGCCCGTTTCTTCACTCACAGGCCATGTCTGAGTGGATCAAGAAGAACAGAGTGCCCTTTTATGAGATTTTGTCTGCGTAGACCACTAGCTTGGTAAAAATGTCAAAACCATCCTCGTTCTTTAATAACAGATTATTTTGGACTTTTCTCTGCAAGAAGCAGCATGGGCATTCAGATGCTTTTAAGGATAAAATGTTCTTTCTCATCACCAGGCCTGGTGCTCTGGATGGCTGAGGTTTTAATGTGACTGGATGTCCCTTGGAGTGGCTCCCAGGCTGTGCTCTTGTGGTTGGGTGGCAAGCGGTTGCTTTATTCGGTGGTGGCTAGAGGATGTTTTAGCAGATTAATCGGGACCCCAGGAGCCCTTGAGTGTCAAGTCCTGCTGCAGGGCATGTGTTTATGGTGGGGAGGTGGGGGAGGGGGGAGGATGGGGGCATTGATTTCCTCCCAATATCAGAAGTTTCACAGGCTTCTTGCTTATCCACAAACACCCACCCCATTGAGAAGGCCTAGAAAATCTGCCCCTCCTCAAGCCTTTATTGACCGCTTGTGAATGATCCCAGTGTGTGTCTGACCCACAGCTCCTCCTGGAGGGAGAGAAAAGTCTCTCCTAGGTATTTGGTTGTCCACCTCAACCACTTGCTGAGTCTTCCGCAAGACCAGGCACCTCGGCAGAGATTTCTGGGTTGTCAGGCAGAACCGAGCATTCAAGGGTGATAACTCACTGGAGTCCCTGAAATCCCTGATGGACGCACCAGGTAAAAGCATCCAGGGTTGAAACCAGATCAGGAAGCTTATTGTCAGCCTGGGGCTCCTGTAGAGGTGCATCCACGTTGCAGGGATTTTCCTTTTTGCTGAGGAGAAACCTGGGTTTCTCAGCTTTGGCACAGTCAGAATATTTGTGGTGAGACCATTCGTGGTGCTGGTGGTGGGGCTGTCCTGTGTATTGAAGGATGGTTAGCAGCATCTGTGGTCTCCATCCTCTAGGTGCCATTCTACCTTCCCTGCTATGGCTACCCCAGACGTCTCCAGATGGTTTCAAATAATGTGGGGCAAGGGAGCGGTACGTGAGCAAAACCACCCCAGTTGAGAGCCATTGGTCTACACTTGTGGAAATGTTTGAGGGTGAGAGTGTCGAGCTTGGGTCCCTGCTGTACCCTTTATGAGCAATGCGGTCTTGTAAAATTAATACTACTCCAGGGGCCTCAGTTTTCTCATCTATAAAATGGAGATAAATGAGATACACTTTGATAGGAAGGTTATATGGGATTCACCGAGATAATAAGACAGTACATGGAAAATGCTGGGCATAGCATTTATTTATTTTAATTTTTTTTTAAGACAGAGTCTTACTCTGTTGCCCAGGTTGGAGTGCAGTGGCATGATCTCCGCTCACTGCAACCTCCACCTCCTGGGTTCAAGTGATTCTCCTGCCTCAGGCTCCCGAGTAACTGGGACTACAGGCGTGCGCTATCATGCCCATCTAATTTTTGAATTTTTAGTAGAGATGGAGCTTCACCATGTTAGCCAGGATAGTCCGATCTCTTGACCTCGTGATCTGCCCGCCTCGGCCTTCCCAAGTGCTGGGATTACAGGCGTGAGCCACCGTGCCTGGCCAAACATAAACTTACTTTCTTACCTCTTCTGCTGAACTCTATTTGCTTCTTTTCCCAAATGTCTTTATCCAGAAGAGCTTTTAGCAACAAAGTTACCCAATGCCCTTCCCTAGTCTCTCCTTGCAACTGGCTCTCAGCAGTGGGTGGGGGGAAATCCTTGACAGAACCAATTTACATGACTGTTTGGAGGACTCTCACTAGCCCCAGGAGGTGTTTACATTTTTAAATTGGTTACTAGTGTCAGAATGTTTCATGAGTAAGAGCCCAGCCTCTATGTTGGATGCCCTGAATTTGAATCTCAGCATTGCCGCTTTGTATATAACCAGAGGATGGATTTGGGGACCCAATGGACCTACCGTGTCATGAACTTGCACCAACATTCACCTGACCTTCAAAATGCCTATTCTGACTGGTAGACCCTAGTCTCATCCTAGTGCCAGTTCAGAGCCTGTGTCCAGTGATCCTGCACAGGTCCCATTAGTTCCTTTTCTCCTGTTCAGTCATCCTAGCAAAAGGCTGTTTATTCCCTTGGGGGCAGGCTGGGAGAAAGATTGACAGTATAAATTTTTGGCAGTGTAGCAGAGTCCTTTCTGGAGGGGACCTGGCTTCCCATTCACACAAGGGACTCCAGGTCTGTGAACTGGCTTATGTCTGGAAATTGACCGGGGACTGTGACTCTGTTTTTATTAATCAGATTAGACTTCTGCTCACTTGACCTAGAACACTTCTGCAAACACAGTTCCAGTAAAAATGTGGCAGGCTTCTTATCTATTTCACTTCTAGGAAAGCCAGGATCAACAGGCACCATAGGTCGCTGCGAGTCAGTCTATTCTGGTTACAGCTTTGACTCTGCTGTCTTTTATGGTAACTGCATCCACCTTGCCTTTGGGGATTGAGTGCTCTGATCACTTGACCCCAGCCCCTGTAGTGTGCGTATGTCACTTACCCTCTTTATACCTCAGTCTCCTCCTCTATAAAATGGGCATCCTCATTGCACCCACCCCCAGGGCTGCTGTGAGGTATAGATGGATTAGCATATGGAAAGTAATAGAAGAGGGTCTCAAAGTCCATGTGTCGTTATCAGAATTATTTCGTGACAGGGGAGAGCTGGAGGAGAGAGGAAGGTGCTGAGCAGACCCACGTGCTCTCCCACCAGTGTTTCCTCAGCACCTACTATGTGCTGCCCACTGTGAGAGCTGTTAGGGTTGAAACAGGGAGCACAGCAGGGTAGGGGCTGCCATCAGGAGCTTAGTGGGGAGACCATTGTGCAACATGGTTCCAGCGCTTGGGGTGGGGAAGCTCAGGGAGTTCAGGGGCCTAGGATCGAGGGCAGAATCATGGAAAGGACATAACCTCCCCAGCCTCTCCTGCCTCCATTGCCTCCCGGGCCTCCTCTGCTTCCCTGGCCTCTCCTACCTTCCTGGCTTCCCCTTCCGCCCCGGCCTCCTCAGTCTCCCCTGTCTCTCCTGCTTTTGAGGTGGGCCAGGAGCTGCTAGTGCTCACTTAGCCTGTCCTGGGCTCTTGGTGTAGCACCTCAATGTCCAGAAAATACCCCCGAGTTCAGCTCATCACACAGTCAAGGAAGGAGCTCCACACTGACACTAAGGGTGCATCCTGGGCTCATTCATCAGGGCATGCCTCCAAAATATTTCTCCACGTCTCCTCCCTTTGCCCACCTGCACTGTCTCTGTGCCTGAGCCCCGGCTGGGGGCCTGCAAGGATCCCGTATCTCCTCTGCCCCTGCACGGCTGGGTCCCAGGCAATCTGTCTGCCCACCACACCTTCCTCCCCTTGCCCACCATGCTCCAGCCCCACAGTCCTCTTTCTGCTTCTTTCCCAGCCTCTGGGCTTTTGCACACGCTGTTCCCTCTGCCTGAACACCCTCCACTGGGCTGAGAACAACTCTCTGAGACCTCTCTCAGCTGTTGCTTCCTTTGGAAAAGCCGCTGCTGCTGTCCCTCTCCCAGCTCAAAGACGTGCTGAGCCTCCTCTCTTTTTCAGTTCCCATGCCCCCAGCACTTCTCCTTGGCCTCCTTTGGCCCAGTTGACAATGTCCATTCTCAATGCCTTCCCACCCAGAGCTGAGCCCCACTGGGTGAAGGCAATGCCTGTCATGTTCTCCACAATATCCCCTCCCCCATCACCACGACTGGTCCACAGTGATGCTCAAAAAAGATCTGTTGGTAGGCAATGGGAAGGTGCATTCATGTCATCCTGCAGGAGGAATTCTCCACGAGTTTTGAGCAGCCTCGGGTTTCCCACCACCTCCAAATCTTGGAAGACACAGGGTAAGAGCAAAGACAAGGTGGCTGTGGCCGATGTCCACCCTCTAGTGGCGTCCCTTCTCTTCTCTCCTCCTTGAGCAGGGAGACCATCGGGGTGCAACCTGGCCGGGGCGGGGAGGAGGTGCAGGGCATTGCCAGAGCGGGCCTGTCCATGGGCAAGGGACAGCGACCTCCTGGGCCAGGACATGTGAGAGCTGCGCAGGCCTGGGCCCGGCGTGGCGGAGGTGCGCGAGAGCGGCCAGAAGAGGGCGCCAGAGAGCCAGGCGCGGCCCGCGGAGGAGCCCGCGCCGGCCCCTATACCCAGCTCCGCGCCGCGCGGACCCACCGAGCCCGCGCTCAGACGCCCCAGCTCCACCGAGAGGCCGCTCGGGCCGTGTCCTTCCTCTTCTCCAGGTGCAGGCAGAGCCCCCGAGCCATGGCCAGCCCTTCCGGCAGCTCCGAAGCCACTGGCAAGCCCCGAGGCAGGGATGGCCGGCCCAGGAGGGAGGAGGACGACGTCCCTCCCGAAGAGAAGAGGCTGGGGCTGTAGCTGGAGGGGGGAAGCGCACAGCCCGAGGACTGCGAGAACGGGGAGGACGCGCCGCGGCCAGGCAGGGAGGAGACCGGCACCCAGACAGGTGGCGACCGCAGAGGAGTAAGTGACGCGGGCGCTGGGGTCCGGGGGTGCCGGGGGCGCCGGTAGGGGCGGCGGGAGGCTCCGTGGCCGGCCCCGGGTTGAAGTTGGTATTTTAGCGGCAACTCCGAAGGGCGCGGAGTGACAGCGCGTGACGGCCTCCGAGACGCCAGCTGCCGCTTCTCGGCTGTGTGGCTTTGACTTCCTGATTCTCCCACGACGTCGCTGGCTGGGAGACCCACTGGACTCTGCGGCTGGCCAAAAAGAGAGGGGCAGCCCCGCGTCCTGGGGGCCCCTAGCAGGGGAAGTGGCGGGTGTTGCGCTGGGCATCCTGTCTGGGGCATCTGTCTGGGACCCTGTTGGTGCCTCTCACCTGGCGAGGGGCCAGTGGTGGGGGTAGGGGGGAAGTCCCTGGCGCCAGGCTTGGCCAAGCCCTGCTTGGCTGGACTGCGGGCTGGCGGCGCTCACCCAGCTCCTCACCTGTCCCGCATCTTCCTGTTTTTCTTCCCTTTCTGGTTGGGCAGCAAGAGTTGAGAGGAGGCAGATGGCTTCCATCCCAGAAATCGCTCTCCTCTTTCCATCCCTACAGAGAAGGACAGAGAGGCAAAGTTCCTTGCATCCCCGGGGCGCTGTCCCTGTGAGCTCCCGGTGTCCTGCAAACGTTGGCCCCTGAATCACCGGGCCAGTGTGTGTGGGATGGGGCTGCGTAGCCAGGCTGGCCTCCTGGGGTTCACTTTCTGCTTTCCTACCCCAACTCTTCCTGTGTGGCTTTGCTGGCCTTCCACTGGGGAGGCATGTGGGTTTGGAGGGCAGATGAGGGCCCGCTGGAGAACTGTACCCCTCAGTGAGGGCCGCCACCTTGATGGTTTTTAATGGATAATGGGGTTGACCTCTTTGTTCCTTCCACATGTTTTTATGTTTGACCATTTGCTCAGCTGAGCTTGTCTTAATAATTGGATTCGTGGTTAATGAGCCCCACATGGGAGAGAGGGCGGTCTTCATTCTGAACCCATTTAGGCAGCATGGGCAGCCCTCCTCGCCGTGGGCGGCATCAGAGCCCCCCCGCCCAGTCTTGGGGTTGCTCCTGGATGCTGTCTGGGAGGCTTGCTCATGGTGACATCCTCTTCTCCCCGTCCACGTTACCGCATTCAGAGCTTGGGTCACCTGGACACTGAACTCAGGTGAATTTTCTCTGAGATCCCGGGAGAAGGAGGACAGTTCTTTGGAAGGTTTTCCAGGGCCGATCACGGAAAGGATGAGAAGGGAGAGGTCCTGGTTGGGGACACAATTACGGTGGCAGTGTAACGCCGGGAAACTTTATTGCATGAAGTCCCTCTCACTCCCTCTACCTCCCTCTTTTACGTGGACTCTGCCAAAGACCAGGATACCGGAATGCGGTGGAGTGACCAAGTGTAGTGAGACCTTGGGAACGCGATTCTGGAGCCAGGCGGCTGGGGTTTGCATCCTGGTTCTGCCCCTCCTTAGCTGGCTGACATGGCACAAGCCACTTACCCTGTCTGAGCCTTACTGTCTTCAGTGGCAAATGGATCTGTCAACAGGCTCCATTGCCTGGGGTTGTTGCTGCTGAGATTAAGGGAAGCTCGTCCATAGAAGCACTTAGCGTTGTGCCTGGCACATAGTGTATGGTGGATAAGTGGGACTTAAGACTAAAACTCATGCCCTGATGTGTTTTTGCAGTGATGTTTTGTTCTGGAGTACTTCACAAGAGACAAGGTCCTTGGCTGGGCATGGTGGCTGAAGCCAATAATCCCAGCACTTTGAGAGGCCGAAGGGGGAGGATCGCTTGAGCCCAGGAGTTTAAGACCAGCCTGGGCAACATGGTGAAGCCTCATATCTACCAAAAAAAAAAAAAAAAAAAAAAAAAGGCAGTTATGGTGGTGTGTGCCTGCAGTCCCAAGTACTTGGGAGGCTGAGGTGGGAGGATTGCTAGAGCCTGGAAGGTTGGGTTGCAGTGAGCTGTGATCACGCCACTGCACTTCAGCCTGGGTGACAAAGTGAGACCGTTTCAAGGAAAAGAGAGAGAGAGACAGACAGACCCACAAGAGTCTTAAGCCAGAATCTCCATGTTAAAATGCTTTCTGGAGGCTAAAAGGATGATATGTTGATAATGAAATGTTTAAAAGGCAGAAACCCCGCTGAATTTTTTGGTCCACAGAGGGAAATGGGAATAGCATGACCTGAAGGATGATGGATGAACTGAATAGAAACCATCCTTGTTTCCTGAATCTGAACATGGCACCCTCTTTTCATGGTGCCTGTATCTGCTCAGTCCGGCAGCCCCTTGAAAAGAGGGAATCTTGATTTTCAAACTTAAAATTTGGCCCAAAGCTCGCTGCTGCCCACAATGCCCGCCAGACACATTCCTCTTCCCTTTTAGTTCCTATGGGAATACTCTCTTTGAAGAACCCATGAAGCAGTGTCAGGCTGGTACGAGGATCAGCAGTGATTTCTTTGAGGAGGAGAGCCCGTTTCTTCACTCACAGGCCATGTCTGAGTGGATCAAGAAGAACAGAGTGCCCTTTTATGAGATTTTGTCTGCGTAGACCACTAGCTTGGTAAAAATGTCAAAACCATCCTCGTTCTTTAATAACAGATTATTTTGGACTTTTCTCTGCAAGAAGCAGCATGGGCATTCAGATGCTTTTAAGGATAAAATGTTCTTTCTCATCACCAGGCCTGGTGCTCTGTATGGCTGAGGTTTTAATGTGACTTGGTGTCCCTTGGAGTTGCTTCCAGGCAGTGCTCTTGTGGTTGGGTCGCAAGGGGTTGCTTTATTCGGTGGTGGCTAGAGGAGGTTTTAGCAGATAAATCGGGACCCCAGGAGCCCCTGAGTGTCAAGTCCTGCTGCAGGGCATGTGTTTATGGTGGGGAGGTGGGGGTGGGGGTGGAGGATGGGGGCATTGATTTCCTGCCAATATCAGAAGTTTCACAGGCTTCTTGTGTATCCACAAACACCCACCCCATTGAGAAGGCCTAGAAAATCTGCCCCTCCCCAAGCCTTTATTGACCGCTTGTGAATGATCTCAGGGTGTGTCTGACCCACAGCTCCTTCTGGAGACAGAGAAAAGTCTCTCCTAGGTATTTGGTTGTCAACCTCAACTGCTTGCTGAGCCTTCCCCAAGACCAGGCACCTTGGCAGAGATTTCTGGGTTGTCAGGCAGAACCGAGCATTCGAGGGTGATAACTCACTGGAGTCCCTGAAATCCCTGATGGACGCACCAGGTAAAAGCATCCAGGGTTGAAACCAGATCAGGAAGGTTATTGTCAGCCTGAGGCTCCTGTAGAGGTGCATCCACGTTGCAGGTATTTTCCTTCTTGCTGAGGAGAAACCTGGATTTCTCAGCTTTGGCACAGTCACAACATTTGGGGTGAGACCATTCGTGGTGGTGGTGGGGGGGCATCCTGTGTATTGTAGGACGGTTAGCAGCATCTGTGGTCTCCATCCTCTAGGTGCCATTCTACCCTCCCAGCTATGGCTACCCCAGATGTCTCCAGATGGTTTCAATGCTGTGGGGCAAGGGAGTGGTACGTGAGCAAAACCACCCCAGTTGAGAGCCATTGGTCTACACTTGTGGAAATGTTTGAGGGTGAGAGTGTCGAGCTTGGGTCCCTGCTGTACCCTTTATGAGCAATGCGGTCTTGGAAAATTAATACTACTCCAGGGGCCTCAGTTTTCTCATCTATAAAATGGAGATAAATGAGATACACTTTCATAGGAAAGTTATATGGGATTTACTGAGATAATAAGACAGTACATGGAAAATACTGGGCATAGCCTTTATTTATTTAATTTTTTTTTAAGACAGAGTCTTACTCTGTTACCCAGGCTGGAGTACAGTGGCATGATCTCTGCTCACTGCAACCTCCACGTCCTGGGCTCAAGTGATTCTCCTGCCTCAGCCTCCAGAGTAGCTGGGATTACAGGTGCCCACCACCACACCTGGCTAATTTTTGTATTTTTAGTAGAGATGGGGTTTCACCATGTTGGGCAGGCTGATCTCAAACTTCTGACCTCAGGTGATCCACCTGCCTCGGCCTCCCAAGTTGCTGAGATCACAGGTGTGAGCCAGCACACTGGGCTTGTCATTGCATTGTAACACAGACAAAGCACAAAATACTTGGACAATATATTTTTACATTTGGCTTGTCTAGACTCCATCCTCCATCCCCTCGTGCACTGGTGTGGTGCAGACCAGAATATCGCCCTCCTAGACTGCAGAGTGGATTTGGGTGGCATCTTGGCTTTCTGCACAAGACTTGCCTGCTCCCCACCACATCCCCCTGGTTCTCAGGGTCCAGGATTCCAGGAGGCCGGGATGTGGGTAGACAGGTCAGGTGGCCCACCCAGTTCACTCTCACACTGGGGACCTGCAGAGCCAGCTCCCTGAGACAGGGTGTTTTGACCAACATCTGGGTTTTTGGATTTCCATTTGAGCACAGCTGGACTACACAGGCTGAAGTTCTCTGCCGAGATATAGATATTTCCCTGGCGATGATCTTTCAAGTTGACATGAAGACATGGCCACCCGCTGGAACATCGTGGGTCTGCCGTGGCGCTCTTGTAATTTGTGAGGCAGGCTCCTGATGAATGCAGTGAGTAAGTGGGAAATGGTAGGATGTTCTCCCATCCTCCCCTTGCCGAAAGTGCTGCCTGCGCAGGTTGGTGGACGGTCCTTTGAGCAGGAAGAAGACACGGAGCACATTCCTGTTAGCTACGACAGAGAGGGGCAGGGTACACACTGGACATTTCAAGCCCCTGTAGAGAAGCAAGTCTTACTGTGCTGGGAGTACTTGTGGAGTGGGGGCTGTGTTGCCCTGGGCTTTAATTATTTCAGGAACATTTAACCACAGGGCCAGCAGGCTGGATCTTGATATGTGTTTCTCAGTTGGAAAGATTTTGGACCATAGAGAAATGTCTTCTCAATTCTTTTAATTTCATTAAGGTGGTCATTTTTCTTCTTGTGGCCTCTGGAATGTGACACAGAACTCAAGGGACAGGAAGGAGATGAGTTGCAGGCTGGGACAGGGGTCCCTGCCAGGGATGCTGGTGACTCACGTGACGGTGTTGATGTGTGGAGTCCGGTGCCTGGTTTGGGGAATGTTCGTGGGATATGTTCCAAAGGACTGACGGACCTATCAGGTACTGGAGGTGAATGGTCAAGTCTGATCTCAGGGCTGACAGTGTCAGGCAAGGACAGGAAGTTGGCATTGGTCTCATTGGCTGAGGTTGCTGGGGACCCAGGGGGCAATGTGTGCCAGGACAGATGGGTCTGGGGCTAGGAAGGCAGGTTTGGGCTGGCGACCCGGGCTTGGGAGGCATCCCAGGTAGACAGTGGTTGAGGCTGTGGAAATGACGGCGATTGCCTGGGATGAGAGTGGAGACAGACAAGATGGGGGTTTTGCTTTAAGCCTGGGGAGCCCACCTCCCAGGTTCAAGCGATTCTCCTGCCTCAGTTTCCCAAGTAGCTGGGAATGCAGGTGCGTGCCACCATGCCTGACTAACTTTTGTATTCTTAGTAGAGATGAGGTTTGACCAGGCTGGTCTCAAACTCCTGACCTCAAGTGATCGGCCCACCTTGGCCTCCCAAAGTGCTGGGATTACAGGCATGAGCCACCATGCCTGACCATTTTTAAATATTAATTTTTATGCAATATTTTCAAACACATTTTACTGTACATTGGAAAAGTCAATCATGATTTGAAAACTTTATAAAAATCCAATCAAATATCAATTAACCATTTAATTGTGGATAAGTAAGGAGACTATTTTGACCAAAACATGTTAGAACAATTACCACTTATAGAAATAATCTGTGTTTTAATGTTTTAGTTGAATTAAACAATCTTTTATATTCTGTCCAGGTGCAGTGGTTCACACCTGTAATCCCAGCACTTTGGGAGGCCGAGGCTGGCGGATCACCTAAGGTCAGGAGTTCGAGACCAGCCTGGTCAACATGGCAAAACTGTCTCTACTAAAAATACAGAAATTAGCCAGGTGTGATGGCACACACCTGCAATCCCAGCTACTTGGGAGGCTGAGGCAGGAGAATCGTTTGCACCTGGGAGACAGAGGTTGCAGTCAGCCGAGATGGAACCACTGTACTTCAGCCAGCCTGGGTGACAGAGCGAGACTCTGTTTCAAAAATAAATAAATAAATAAAATAGAATTCTGAATTTTATTTTTAACAATTATTTTTGTAAAGAGAATGTCTTGTTTTTTGGAGTTGTTGAATTTATTGAATTGGCAAAAATTATGTACAAGAGGGTATACAACATGATGTGATTGAGGTATGTATACATTATGAAATGGCTAAATCAAGCTAAATAACATATCACCTCCCAGACTTACTTTTTGGGGTGAGAACACTTAAACAATCTACTCTCTTAGTGATTTCCAAGTATATGATATGTTGTTATTAACTATAGGTACCTTGTTGTCCCATGGATCTCCTGAACTTATTCTTCTCTAAAAATGACATTCTGTGTCCTTTGGCATCTGCCCACTTCCCCACCCTGGCAACCATCATTCTACTCTGCTTCTGTGAATTCAACTTTTTTCTTCTCTTTTTTTTTTTTCTTTTTTTTGAGAAAATCTCCTTCTATTGCCCAGGCTGTAGTGCAGGGTTGTGATCATGGCTCACTGCAGCCTTGAGGTCCCAAGTTCAATCAATCCTTCCACCTCAGCCTCCTGAGTATCTGGGAGTACAGGCATGCACTACCATGCTCCACTAATTTTTGTATTTTTTGTAGAGATGGGGTATTGCTATGTTATGCAGGCTGGTCTCGAACTCCTGGGCTCAAGCAATCCTCTGGTCTCAGCCTCCCAAAGTGCTGGGATTACAGGCGTGAGCCACCATGCCTGGCCGAGTTCAACTTTTTTAGATTCCACATGTAAGTGAGATCATGTGGTATTTGTCGTTCTGTGCCTGGCTTATTTCACTTAACATAATATCCTCCAGGCTCATCCATGTTGTCTCAAATGGCAGGATTTCCTTCTTTTTGAAGGCTGAATAGTATTCCATTGTGTACATACACCACATTGTTGCTGGAAGTTTAATGGAGGCCAGTTGGGGGAGGATGGGGAGAAGATTCACTCTAAGTCTAGATGCTCCAGTACCCACGCAGGATGTGTGCAAGGAAGTGCAGGATGCTCCTGGTCTTGCAAACTGTGGTTTGTGGGACTCCAAAGCCCCTATCCTTCCACGATGCTTTCTGTCCTGTTATCACATTTCCTTGGAGGAGAACCCAGCCTTGGTGGAGAGCCCTGCTCTGGCTTTGTCCCTTGGCATGAGATGGCAAAGGATGGTGCCGCTGGGAGACCCTCACATCTGCACACTGGGGGCTGTTTGCCTTCTCCATTCCTCCTTCAAGTATCTGAGCAGCTCCTGTGTGCCAGCTGCTGGTCTACAAGATGGATGGGTCCTTGGAGATCACCCTGTAGCAGAGGAGGCAGGCTATAGCCCACAGGCCAGAACCAGCCCCCTGCCTGTTCACACAAATAAAGTTTTATTGGAACACAGCCACACCCATTTCAGTGCCTATTGTCTGTGGCTGCTTTCCTGCTACAATGGAGAGTGGAGAGTTGAATAGTTGGGACAGAGACCTATGGCCTGCAAAGCTGAACTATTTACCATCTGGCCCTGGAGAGAAAGGAAAAAAATGCTGATCCTTGTACCCCGACAGTCTTAGGTTAAGAGGACTTCGTACCACTCTGACGTCCCAGGCGGCCATGAGTCCAGCCACCCTTGAAATGTACACAAGTCTGGGCTGAGGTTGCAGCAGGTGAGGCCCAATTTTGCAGGTCTTTGGTATCAGGGGCACAACCCAGGATTTTGTGTGGGGTTTCTTCCTCACTGTGGCTGGGCACTGGGCAAGGGTGCTTTCTGATTTTTGTATGGGGAAGAGAAAGGAGGGAGGAAATGGCAACTTGTTGCCCTGTTCTAACATTTTCCTAAGATGGGTCTCGAGGCCAGGGCTTGGGATCTCACCTTGCACAGCTTAGAAAACCCAGTGAGGCCGGCTGTCTTGGCGCTGCCACTCTGAGGGATGGAGCCCACAAATGACTAGGAAGGGAGATAAAAGAATGGTTTCTGCAAGCACAAGAAGTGGCGTTATTGAAATTAACATTTCCCCCAAGTTTTACAATGTCTAGGCATGCATATTTAAGTGTCTGCCTCAAAAGCTCATGCTAATAAGGAGATGGTGCATTTAATTTCCTTTTTTTGTTCTCTGAGCAACATGCAGCTTCCTGCACAGCCCTCCTTGCAGGCAACTGCACTGAGGTGACAGTCCTCCTGACTGCCAGCACAGATCCCCAGGGCCTCTGAGGGCCCTGTATTCTGGGGGCAGTCTTTCACTTTCTATTCGGCCCCAGCTGGAAGGGAGCAGTTTAACCACAGCCCAGCACAGGTCTCCCGCCTTAGCTTCTCTAAGGAGTCTGGCTCCCTCTGACACTCTAGACCTCACCAGCTGAGGATCAGAGCCCCGGGGCAGGAGCCAGGGCCAGGGGGCATTGGGGCGTGGTTTGAGAGTGCAGCTCTGGAGGGGGGCAGTGCGGGCCCAGGAAAAGCTGCTCAGGGGAGACTGCAAAGAGATGGCAGAGTTAGTACAAGAGGGTCGGGCATGGTGGCTCACATCTGTAATCCCAGCACTTTGGGAGGCCGAGGTGGGCGGATCACCTGAGGCCAGGAGTTTGAGACCAGACTGGCCAATATGGTGAAAACCTGTCTCTACTAAAAATACAATAATTAGCCAGACATGGTGACACCTATAATCCCAGCTACTCGGGAAGCTGAGCCACGAGAATTGCTTGAACCCGGAAGGTGGAGGTTGTAGTGAGCTGAGATTGTGCCACTGTACTCCAGCCTGGGCAACAGAGCAAGATTCCATCTCAAAAAAAAAAAAAAAAAAAAATAGGACAGGAGGAGGAGGGAAGAGAAGGGAGCTGTGCGGCAGCGGCCAGGACCTTAAAGGCACAGAAGAGGAAGCTTGGATTTCCAATTCCAAAGGACATGAGGAAAATTCACACACCTTTATTTAACCTGCTCCTGGTGAGGCTGGGCTTTGTGTATTTTCCTTGTTTTCCTTTTCCTTGTATTCAGGCTGTTGTAGAAACAGGTACACAGGGGCTCTGTGTGGCGCCCTGTTCTAGTTGCCTTCAGGAAGCATGGGGTGCCCTGGTTTCCTTGGCTTCGTGTCCCCCTTTCCTCCTGCCACCCCTGACTGTGCCCCCCACCTTGTCCCTCAGAACATCTTCCTGGAAGGGCCTGGCCAGGGCTTGTGTCCTTGCTAGTCTCTGGGGAGGAAGACTCTGTGGCTTGAAAGGCTGTCGGCTTAAGTTGCAAGATGTAGGTGCCTGGGAGGGCATGTGCACGGCCCTCTTGACTGATCCATTCATGTTTTCCTTTTTTGACTCTGTTCTATGTTGTCCTGATGGAGGGGTAAGCCCCTGCCTTCTGCCTTTCCTGCCTTGGACTCTTGCAATTGGACCAGATGAGAGGGTCCATGTGGTCTGAGAATTCAAGCAATGCAGGCCAGACGTGGTGGCTCACACCTGTAATCCCAGGACTTTTGGAGGCTAAGGTGGGCAGGCCAGGAGTTTGAGACCAGGTGGCCAAAATAGTGAAACCCTGTATCTACAAAAAATACAAAAGTTAGTCGGGCTTGGTGGTGCATGCCTGTAATCCTAGTTATTTGGGAGGCTGAGGCAAGAGAATCCCTTGAACCCAGAAGGAGCAGGTTGCAGTGAGGAGCAGGTTGCAATGAGGAGGAGGTTGCAGTGAGGAGGAGGTTGTAGTGAAGAGCAGGTTGCAGTGAGGAGGAGGTTGCAGTGAGGAGGAGGTCGCAGTAAGGAGGAGGTTGCAGTGAGGAGGAGGTCGCAGTAAGGAGGAGGTTGCAGTGAGGAGGAGGTTGTAGTGAGGAGCAGGTTGCAGTGAGGAGGAGGTTGCAGTGAGGAGGAGGTTGTAGTGAGGAGCAGGTTGCAATGAGTAGGAGGTTGCAGTGAGGAGGAGGTCGCAGTGAGGAGGAGGTCGCAGTGAGGAGGAGGTCGCAGTGAGGAGGAGGTTGCACTGAGGAGGAGGTTGTAGTGAGGAGGAGGTTGTGGTGAGGAGGAGGTTGCAGTGAGCCGAGATTGTGTCCCTGGACTCCAGACTGGGCAATAGAGCGAGACTATGTCTCCAGAAAAAAAAAAAAAAAAAAAAAAAATTTATATAGAAAACAGAAAGCAAAACTACCTCTTGATTTGCTTTTCTTGTTCTTGCATCTCAGAGGTAACACTGGGAAGGGTTGGGTTATACCTCTCCCCACCTTTTTCTTTGATTTCTTTTTATTTTTTATTCTACGTTCTGAGATACATGTGCAGAATGTGCAGGTTTGTTACATAGATATACATGTGCCATGGTGGTTTGCTGCATCTATCAACCCGTCAACTAGGTTTTAAGCCCCACATGCATTAGGTATTTGTCCTAACGCTCTCCCTCGCCTTGTCCCCCACCCCCGATGGGCCCCGGTGTGTGATGTTCCCCTCCCTGTGTCCATGTGTTCTCATTGTTCAACTCCCACTTATGAGTGAGAGCACACCGTGTTTGGTTTTCTGTTTCTGTCCACAGCTTTTTCCTCTGTGCACACAAGCACATGTATTTGCACATAAGTGTTTATTGTAATATTTTTAAAAAAGTAAAAATGAAATAATGCTATATTTATTCTTTGGAAAGCCTGCTTTTCAGGCAGCATGTCTTTGACATTGTCTCACGTTGGAACCTGGGTACCACCTTCTTCTCCCAGCAGTTATTCTGACCTGTGGATGCACCACGCTTCGTTTAACCAGCCCTGCACCGATACGTCTTTGGATGGTTTCCGCCTTTTCCCAGTCACAGACGGTGTTCTGATGAATTTCCTTACACACATCACTTGGTGCTCTGTGCCTGCATTTCTGTGAGATGTTCCTGGAAGTGGGCTGTCTAGGTCAGAGGGGGATCTGTGCTCAATTTGCATCCTGTGCAAAATTCCATCCAGTCATCCACCTCCCCAAGGGCTCACATGGTACTGTCCTCTGTAGACATCATCTTCTGCAGATGATGGCATGACAGCCCCTCTTTCTTTTACTCACACCAGTCTGCACCCTGGTGTCCTGGGGGTTCCAGCCCCTACCCACTTGTCTGCCCTCACCCCACAGTGCCCCCAGCCCCTGCTAACAGGGACTCTGGCTTCTGAGCTCTGGCAGACTGCCTCACTCTGGAGAAGTTTGCTTTCTCAAACATTCCTGGCAATGTTACTGCAAATCTCGAGGCCTGCATTTGCCTTCTTCAGGCCTCAGTTTCCTCAAAAGTAAAATGGGGATAATGTGATGCTACTGTCTGCATCCTAGAGCTGCCATGAGGGTTCAGTGAGATCACTGTTGAGAGCACGTTCACAGCGCCGGCCTTGTGCGCAGTCAGCACGTGTGGGGCAGGGCTGTTGCTGATACGTGGTTGACTGTCATTGCTAGACTGTGGCTTTACCAGGGTCAGTGTCTTTAGTGCTGAGCCCAGAGCCACCCCTAGTACCTGCTGTGTTTATAGAGTGATTGAGTGGCAGGGTCAGAGACTGGGGCAATGGCAGCAGAAACAGAGGAAAGAAGTGGGGCTTCTAATAGTTCCTGCACCAGTGGCCCTTGAGATGAAGCCTTCTTGCCAAGGTCTGGGGCTGTGCTGTGTGTTCTAGGCCCGAGACTGGAAGCTAGGCCTGGCTACAGTCCCAGCTGACCTGGGGAAGTGCATGTCAGCATCCTGCTTCATTAGGACACCTCCAAGCCCAGCTTAGACGTGGATTCCAGGTGACCCCCTGTTTACTCTGAGCCCAGACAGAGGACAGAGAAGTGTGCAAGGGTGGGGACCCTCATCACAGCCCTTGACTCTGTAAGGCATATGGGTTTGTGCACGTGTGTGAGCACGGCCGTGGCTTCTCTGTGAGTTTCAAGCTCGAGGTTGTGTTTATGCAGGGTTAGGCTTGCCAGGTAAAATACAGGAGGTCCAATTAAACCTGAACTTCTCATTAACCTTTTTTTTTTTTTTTTTTTTTTTTGGTGCAAATATATCCCATGTAATATTTGGGACCTGCTTACCCTAAAAAATGATTTGTTGTTTATCTGAAATTCAAGTTAAGCTGGCATCCTGTCTTTTCACTTGCTACGTATGAGAGTTCCGTGTGGGGGTTATCAGTGTGCATTTGTGAGTTCCCATGTGAAGGACTCTCTCCAAGTGTCTGTAGGTGCCAGGATGGAGATGGACAGAGAAGGTCCTCTTGGGCTGCTTTAGTGGCACCTAGAGGCTGTGGGGTTGGACACTTCAGCCCCAGGGGCCTGGGCAGCACTGTCCAGCACGTGCCTGCTCCTGTCTTCTCCACGGGGGCTGACTTCCCTGCCATCTCTCTCCAAATACGGTGGCAAGAGCTATCCCATCTGCCCCCATCTGGAGCTCGGCGTCCCAGCCAGACAAGATGGCAAACAGTGTGCAGAGGGTTGCAAAGCTTTCCCCAGCTCCTTCTGCAAGGGGCCTGCAGATGAAAGGGAAGCCCTCATCCTCACCGCCTCCCCCTTCCAGAAAACCCAGGCAACAGCCACCTCTGAATGCTGCTTTAGAAGCTTCTCCCTCCTGGTGATTAAACCACCACAAACAAATAAAGCACTGCATTTCCACCATAGACTTGTTCATATGCACGCAGCCAGTTGTCTTGGATCTGCCCCTGTGCCTGATTCATCAGGGTGAGGGGTTCTCCTCTGAGGTGCTTGCAAAGAGCTGCCTAATTTTCATGTGAAAGACTCTCTGTAGAAACCAGGCCCAGCTTTGGAAGAAAGCCCTTTCTCCCCCTTTAGCAAATTCGGTGTCATTTTTTTTTTTTTCTTTTTTGAGACGGAGATTCACTTTTGTTGCCCAGGCTGGAGTGCAATGGTGCAATCTCAGTTCACTGCAGTCTCTGCCTCCTTGGTTCAAGCGATTCTCCTGCCTCAGCCTCCTGAGTAGCTGGGACTGCAGGCACCCACAACCACACCCAGCTATTTTTTTTTTTTTTTTTTGTATTTTTAGTAGAGAGGGAGTTTCACCATGTTGGCCAGGTTGGTCTTGAACTCCTGACCTCAGGTGATCCACCTCGGCCCCCAAAGTGCTGGGATTACAGGCATGAGCCACCACGCCTGGCTGGAATTC